>NC_000007.14:70688597-70991627 GCF_000001405.40 Homo sapiens
TGGGAGGATCGCTTGAGGCCAGGAGTCAGAGATCAGCATGAGCAAGATAAAGAGACCCTGTCTCTACAAAATTAAAAATTAGCCCAGCGTGGTGGCGCATGCCCATAGTCCCAGTACTCAGGAGGCTGCTGCAAGATGACCCCGTGAGCCTAGTAGTTGGAGGCTGCAGTGAGCTCTGATTGTGCCACTGCACTCTAGCCTGGGCAACACAGCAAGACGCCATCTCAACAAAACAAAACATGCTTCTGCACCAGTAAGACATCATTTTTATAGTCGTAGGCAAAACGGTAGTCCTCTTAAAACTGGAAATTACAATTTAACATGTCTAAATGACATAATTGGGATGCTGCTATTTTATGTTTTAAGAAATTGAAGCCCTCACTATTAAGAGTTTCATCACATCTTAAGGCTGGCAGGCTTTTATAACATTTTGCTGGATTCAGGGTCGACTTTATAATCTACCAAGAATATCCATGTGGCTGGGTGCAGTGGCTCATGCCCATAATCCCAGCACTTTGGGAGGCAGAGGCAGGAGGATCACTTGAGGCCACGAGTTCAAGACCAGCCTGGGAAACATGGCAAAACACCATCTCTAGAAAAAAATTTTTAAAAAATTAGCCAGATGTGTTGGTGCACACCTGTGGTCCCAGCTACTCCCAGCTACTCCCAACTACTCAAGAGGCTGAGGTAGGAGGATCACTTGAGCCCAGCAGGTCGAGGCTGTAGTGAGCTGTGATGGCACCACTGCACTCCAGCCTGGGTGATAGAGCAAGACCCTATCTCAGAAAAAAGAAAAAGAAACACCCTTATTAGGAGACCCAAGCTATCCACTGTCCAGGTTCTGACCCTGTCTGGAGGGATTCTTTGCAGTAGGTCCTCTATAAAGATGTCGTTCCCAGCCAGGCACGGTGGCTCATGCCTGTAATCCCAGCACTTTGGGAGGCTGAGGCGGGCAGATCACGAGGTCAGGAGATCAAGACCATCCTGGCTAACACAGTGAAACCCCGTCTCTACTAAAAATACAAAAAATTAGCTGGGCATGGTGGCGGGTGCCTGTAGTCCCAGCTACTCGGGAGGCTGAGGCAGGAGAATGGTGTGAACCCGGGAGGCGGGGCTTGCAGTGAGCCAAGATCACACCACTGCACTCCAGCCTAGGCGACAGAGCAAGACTCCGTCTCAAAAAAAAAAAAAAAAAAAAAAAGATGTCGTTCCCTAGTAGAGATGGTACAAACCACTGTACCCACTTTATGGGACTGGTGTCATTTTGATGTTCATGTGGTTATTTTCATTATTGTGGTGATCCCCACTGGGAGAACCCAGTAGAAGGCAAGGCTATGGCCATTGTGGCCCTAATAAAATAGACTTTTATTTTGTTGGTCTCCACGGTAATCAAAAGAAGTGTGTCATCTGTAATCATAATAGACAACAAATATATCCTCCTTACTAAGTGCCAGGCACTGTTACTGATGAAGGCCCCAAGAGGTGTGGCTCCTGTTATCTCACTTTCTAGATAAGGAAACTGAGGCAGGGAGAGTGAAGAGATTTACCCAAGCTGTCCTGGCTCAGAAATGGCAGAGCCACAATTATTAACCTGATGCTGGCTCCAGGGCCCAGCTCCAAACCTCTACCCTGAAGAACAAGTAGAAACTTGGATTTTCAGAGCTTGCAGAACCTTTAGAACTTGAAAAGAATGGAGACTTCCATAGTTTCAGAAATAAACCAGGCATGGTGACATCCTTGCCGAGGCTAGTTGGAGTTATCACCCTCCTTCAATCACCTAGTGATCTTTTAAAACTACATCATCCATAACGAAAGGTTCGAGGAAATTCTGGTGAAGACTTCCTCTTCCTTTAAACCACCTCAAGAAGCACACAGCACATGCGCTGTTAGAGTGCCTGAACTTCATTATATTTAGGAGGGGGAGCACAATGAAATTAATGAACTTTCTCTGTATAAAACGCTTAACAGAAGACTATAATTTGTAAGAAATATTTTGCTAAAATATATTTAGCTTAAATCTGGTAATTTGTGATATAAATTGAATCCCATCTCAGATTATAATTTTTAAGAATTTGCAAGTATAGGCCAGACAGAGTGGTTCATGCCTGTAATCCCAGTACTTTGGGAGGTCAAGGTGGGAGAATCACTTGAGGCCAGGAGTTTAGGACCAGCCTGGTCAGTATAGGAAGACCTTGTCTGTACAAAAAATAAAAATTAGTTGGGCGTGGTGGTACACACCTGTAGTCCCAGGTACTTGGAAGGCTGAGGCGGGAGGATTGCTTTAGCCCAGGAGTTCCAGGTTATAGTGAGCTATGATTGTGCCACTGCACTCCAGCTTGGGTGACAAAGTGAGACCTTGTCTCTTAAATAAGTTAATAAATTCATAAGAATTTGAAAGTATAGATTGACTTACAAGAATTTCCCTTTGTTTTTAAACCTAGTTTAAATCTTTAGATGTATTTTTGAGATTTGAGGAAGAAGGCTCCATATTTTAACGTAGCTTTACATTTTTTTTAAACTGATTAATCATAAACTTGGCTAAGATCTTTGGGCATATATTAAAAATTATTTCTGAAATCATTAATCTAACACCAGAGTGGAAATTGAGTCCACATTCTTGCTCTCTGCTTTCTATTAGAAAGGGTTGCCGCTTTCTAAGACTTGTTCTCCTTAGATTGGGTTCAGAGGCTAAAGGTGATGTTAAGAAGCCATTAGTGTTTAGTATGTTAATCCACCTCCATGTAACAGAAAAGATAGCTTCCAGCCTTTGACTTGGCATCTTTATATTAAAACTCCAATAAAAGGAAATTAAATTTCTCAAGGAAAAAAAAAAAAAACAATCTTCCTGATTATTGAAAGCCCTCTGACCTGGATTCAGTCCCTAATATATGGATTATCAAATTTAGTCTTCTTTCTTCCTTCTTCCTACTTCTGATGCTGTTGTGTACCTGGTCCCCTCCAATTTTGACATTCATTCCCATCCCCGCTTCCAGAAAGCATAGGGAATAGAGCAGTTTGGAAACCAGTCAGAAATGGGCTCATTTGTGAGTCTGGAGAGAGGATGAGAAATGGAGCAGGTCACAGTGGGTGGTGTTCTGCAACCGGGCCAGCCAGGGGACCCTGGGGAGCAGCACTGGAGGTGGCCACAGTGGTCAGAGGCTTGGCTTTTGGCGTTCCCAGGTTCCTCTTGATGAGAGATCATCAAAAGATCTGGACACATGCAGATCTGGCTGAGGCCGTCATCTGAGGCCTAATCCCTGGTAACCATTGATGACAATTTTTTTTTTTTTTTTTTTGAGATAAAGTCTTACTCTGTTGTTTAGGCTGTAGTACAGTGGCATGGCGTGATCTCGGCTCACTGCAACCTCCACCTCCCAGGTTCAAGCGATTCTCCTGCCTCAGCCTCCCAAGTAGCTGGGGTTACAGGTGTGCACCTCTACACATTTTATTAGTAGAGACGGGGTTTCGCCATGTTAGCCAGGCTGGTCTCAAACTCCTGACCTCAAGTGATCCACCTGCCTCGGCCTCCCAAAGTGCTGGGATTACAGACGTGAGCAACTGCGCCCAGACTGATGACAATCTAATGCAAGGCATGATAAATGTCAGAAGTGCCACCTAATGAAAGCACCCTGGAGGGCCAAGTGGTTTCAGCTGGTCAGCTAAGCTGCCATGCCATCGTGCTCTCAGTTTACCCTGTAGGGGATGGTGCAGGAGCTCAGGCAGTTTCTTCCCTGTAACACCGATTTTGCTAGAACAACAAGATAAGAAAACTGTTCCATTTTGATTGTTCCAAAAGAAACAACCTTTTAATGTCTTCTCTAGAACATTTCATGTCCACCTTTGAGCTATCCTGGTATTGTCTAAACAGCTTCAGAATGAATGCCGCCTCCCTGGAGGACCACAGCTGGGTATTGTGACATCTTGTAAGCAACTGGAAAATCCATCTCCAAACCTATACCTTCTGAGATGCCTTTTCTTTTGACTTCTCAGGAGGCAGTGGTAGAGAAAAATCACTGTTACCTATATTTTTAAAAAGACTTGTATAACACCACATTGTGCTACCAGTTTGGGGGAGGGGGTGATGAAGCTAGAGAGAGAAGGCTTCTTATTTCCAAACTTAGAGGCTAGAGGAGGGGGAAGTATGCCATACAGCAAGCACCCCCACCTTTTTTTTTTTTTTTTAACTTGAGAGGTTTTTCAAGAGTGCCATGAAATCAAATAGTGATAGACATGCAACTTCAAAGAGGCAAGGAGTGGCCATCATTACTTTAAACCAGTCTGCATGTCATTCATATGTGGTGTGCATCTCTCCCAACCCCTGTTCTCTTCCTCTCTTCCTCCAGCCACACTCCAGGTAACGGTGGCACTGGGAGGGGACTTAGAACTGAAGTTTTCCTCTCACCCCACCTTGGTGTGCCCACTGTACTCCACAACCCTACCGGTTGCAACCTAGGGCTTGCTTGCTCTTTTTCTTGTACTAGGAAAATTGCAGCAGCTTTTCCTCTGCACCAAGGAGGGACCTTGTCAAGCTGCAGGTGTGGAATTAAAACTCCAGATGTTTTCAGAGGGTTTCCTCGCCCGGGGTGCGTTCTGGTGGGAGTGGGTTGCTCAGGGGAATCTGCTGAGTGCCTCATTTCTGGCCATTCAGTCCCCCACACCCTCTGGGGGCACTGCACTGTGCTCTAGGGGATACAGACACGATACATGTTAGGATGATAGACGTAACTGCTGCCCATGTAGCGAGGCTTTGCCATTGCTTTCATTCTTTCCCTACATTCGGTGAATGCCAGGGGAAGCAACAGGCTCCACTTTTGTGGATGCAGGGTGTGCACGTGTCAGAGGGTGTGAGGAGCTGGGAGGAGAGGATTTCTAAGTGGCCAGTTCATGCTCTTAAGTTATTCATCAAACCGAGCACACTGCGGTCAGTCGGCTGTGGTGGGGAAGGAGGTTAGGTGAAGACCTTTGTGTCTGAGACCCAGACCGTGATCCCCGTCTCCATTTTCCACAATGCAATGATTATTTTGTATTGAGCGCCTACTATGTGCCAGGCCTTTTACATACATGACTTTACCACTGAGCCCTCACAACCGCCCAGAGAGCCTGCTCTTTGCAGATGTGACTGGCTTGGTGGCAATTCAACCCCAGGCTGCGGGCCTAGTGGCCTTTCCCTGCCATGGCGCAATCTTGGAAGCGGCAACTGCGGGGAGGGCGAGGAGCGGTGCAGTTTCCGCCGCGCCCGCCCGCAAGGAAGGCAGCCGGGGGGAGCCGAGGGCTCGAGCCGCGGGGGGAGCAACAGCTGTCGATGTCGCGCCTGGGGACCGCGCCTCCGCTGGGCCGACCCGGCGCCGGGGACGAGAGGAGGGGCGGCGAGGGGCGGGGCGCGCGGGGCGGGACGGAGGAGGGGCGGTGGCACCGGCGGCTCGGGCTCGGCGCGCCGAGGAAGTCCCGCTCCGAGAGCTGCGAGCGTCTGGAGGAGGCGCGCTCGGCGCAGTCGGGGAGCGAAGTCCGGAGCAAGGGGCCCCCGCGTAGCCGCCGCCCCCTCCTGCTACCGTCCAGCCAGGGAGCCCGCGGCGGCCGCCGATGGAGTTCACTTGAGCTGTGAACCGGCGGGAGAGGCAGGCGCCCGCAAGCCGAGCGCGGGCCGGAGCCCAGCCAGCCCCGGGCGCTCACCCGCCAGCCCGCAAGCTCCGGCCAGAGGCGCCGCCGCCCCGCGCCCCGCCGTTGCAGCGCCTCCTGGGCCGCGCGCCGGCGAGATCCGCACAAAATCCAGACTCCCGGAGCGGCTCCCTCCAGCACCGCGGCGGGCCCAGGACCAGGCAGCCCGCGGCGCGGCTGGAGAGGCGGGACCGGCTGTCGGGGAGCCCCGGGCGGCCGCCGGGGAGAAGCCGCCGCGCGCCCTCCTCCTCCTCCTCCCTCTCCCTCCTCCCTCCCTCCGCACATGGTCTCCTTTGTCCTGTCGCCGCCGCCGCCGCCTCGCTCTTAGCTCCGCGCGCCGCGGCGGCGGCTCAGGCCGCTCTTCTCCGCCTCGCCCTCCCGCCGGCCGGCCCGGGACGCGCCTTGTTAGCCCCCGCCGCGCCAGCGCGGCCCCGCGCGCCGCAGGAGCGGCGGGGAGACAGTGGCGAGCGCGGGCCGGGCGATCTCGGCGGGCGCGCTCCTCCCGCCGCCCGGGGCCTCGGCCGCGCTGGATGTGTGCGCGCGGCGCCGGCTCTCGGTCGCCCCGAAGCTGTTGCCCGGTTCGGATCTGGTTCGGCGCCTCCGCTCTCGGACTTTGGCGAGGAAGGAGCCCAGAGACTCTTGTGGACAGAGCCGGGTCGAGAGTTGGGCGTTTTCTCTTCGTGTGTTTTGGTGGTTTCCCCCCTGGTCTTTGACGATCGCCCTTCGGGAGCCCTGCTAAAGAACCAAACCATGAACTTGGGGCTGACCGGACCGTTTAACCCTTTGCAACCAGGTAATGAAGCCCCCGGGGCGCGGCTCGCTTGCCTACCTCTCGCGGTCGGAAGGGAGGCGGCCGGATCGGGGGTCTTTTGTTGCGGCGGCCGGGCCGGCGGGCAGGGGTGGCAGGGGCGGGCTTCTCCCGTCTGGCGCGCCCAAGCGCCCCTTCGCTACCCCTCCTCCCTTCTTTCCTCCCCCCTCTGCGGCCCTGTCGCCCGCCTTTGTACTTTCCTCCCTCGGCCGGCCGGGCTCGGCCGGAGCTGCGCGGTCGTGCCCGGGAGGGCCTGGCGTTCGCCGCCAAGCTCCGATGTGAGGAGGGGGCCGGGGCCTGCGTCCGCTTGAGCTGGGGGCCCTAGCGTGGCGCTGCCCGCTCCTGGGGTCGCGCTTCCCCAGCGCGGAGGTCGGGATCCCGGCCCGCACCCGGTGCCAAGGGAGGCGAAAGGAGATCTGGGCTCGGGTTCGGCAGCGGGAGAAAGAACTCGCGCTTAAGTTTCCAGGAGGTTTCTGTTTTGTTGTTCGAAAGCCCCCCTTCTCGCCTGTGCGGGTGCGGAGGGCGGCCCCCGGGGTCTGCGTCCGAAGGGAGTGAGGGTGGGCCTGAAGCAGGAATCGCTGGGTCCCACCCCGTCTGCACGCACGGCTTTTTATAAGTTTTCCTTATTCTCCGCGTTCCCGCCTCCAATCTGTTTCACTTACTTAACTTTCCTTTAAACGCCAACTACGGCTTCTAGCAATATTTTTTTTACATCCAAAAAAACAAAAAAACATATTCCCCCTTCCCTTAAATAAAAAGCAGCCAAAAGAGAGCTTTGGTTTTCTGTCAGTTTTAGATTCAACCACTTCATGCCCCTACCCTCCAAAACCGAGCGAGGGGATGAAAGGAAGTGAGTAAAATCTTCAAGTCTGTAGCGGGTAGAGGTGCCCCCGTGTTCGAGAGAAGGAAGAGCTCAATTCGTCGGCTCATTCTGGGCTCGCCGCTTTTCCATTTGAATAATAATTTTTTTTAAAAAGCCAGGAAAATGGTCCAGGTAATAGAAGGAAATGCAGACTATTTTCTGAAAGCAACGAAAATGATAAACATCCCCAAGATTCAGACCCAAGGAACAAATCATTTGTACAAATGCCCTAAAACCCTAAGTAGAAGGAAAGTTCGTTGAGGAAAAGCAAAGGGTACTCGTGTCGTTTCCCCTGAAGATTTTGGCAAAGAATCTCTCTTCTGACTTGTTAGGACAGTGGCCGGCCACAGTTGTAACCACCTGGATAGGAGAGAGAAGGGATCCAGAATGTTTTCACGGTCAGCCAGAGCCCCATTGCAGTCGTCATCTTTTGGGTGTTTTTCTGGGGAGGCCTTTCTGAGACACCCCCTTTCCCAGTTGCAAGAGGCATGGTGTCCAGCCCTGTGACTTGTATCAGCCAAGTAAGGGCTTAGAAAGCTTTTAGTCGAAGATACACTCCTAAGCCTCTCTGAATATCCGGTCAGACTTACTTCCTTAATAACTTACTGATCGGCATCATAATAATGGCATCCTCAAGTTTGGTTCAGACATGAGGATCACGTAAGTGTCTGTCTGAGAATCCCATGTGGAGCTGACAAAGGTGGCAGAAGCAAAAGGCCTGTTCACCCACAGCTTCTGTCCTTTTCACTCGAACACACACACACACACACACACTAAGTGCAAATAAAAACTTGGTCAGGAACCATTTACTTTCCCTGTTTATGCTTTTTGCATTCAGAGACAGTAATTTGTTTTTACATTTCTTGGGGCCAATTAGAGTCACTTTAATAGGTAATCCCAGAATTTTCAAAGGTTATGTCAGTTTGGTAAAACACTTTAATAAACAGGCTTTTTTTTCCCCTTCTATCAGTTCATTAATTTTGTAAGCCATGAATTTAACATGAATTTACATTCAAAAAGAATTCCAACCCGTTCTAAGAAACACTTTTTCATGAAAGGATGGTAAAATACACATATCTCGAGTTTTTAGCTGGGAAACTCACAGTCCTAGAAATCTCACTTAATATTTCAGTGTAGCATCATCATGCAATTTTTGGCTTTATAACTCACTATTCTTGATCTAGGTATGACTTGTTTCTCTCCCATTAACATTTTTTTTTGGCAGTTTGTTTTTATGTAAAGGTACTGTTATATATAGTTTAAGATGTCAGGAAGGCCCTCTGTATTTTTCATTATTCCTGCAAAATAGGAAAAAATCTATCTAGGGTTTATGTTAAACTGCATGTATAAATGTATGCACTTCAATGTTCGTTTTGCACATACATTCATTGTTTCTGGATTGGTTAATCATATGGACACCCCCATAAAAGTAATGTTAGAATTAAAATAAAGCAAAAAACAGTCTTAATACAAATATTTTGTCTTTCTATATCACTTGCATTGAGAACTAGAACATGTCCCCCAGATGTACACAGGAATATTTCATCTTTGTCAGTATTACATGGAAAGACTAAATTGAATATCCTCTTTGTCCCTAAAAGCTAGCCCCAGAGTCAAAATATGCTGCACTTCAGAATTCCCCCCCCCCATTTCCTATATTTCCTTTTTCCATATTTATTCAACATTCTAGGCTTTTGCTTTCTCAGAATATGCATCTCTGTGTATCAAGTGTGAAAGATGAGTGATTTCTCATGAGGGTTATGTAGTGAAAACAGCACAAATATAGCTTGGCCATTATAACTTTAAATGCAGATATATCCTCACGTTATGTAGTGGAGATGCTTAATTTTTATTTTTTCAAGTTCTAGAAATATTCAGTGCTGAAACATTACAGCATTTTCCTTCAAACCGACTTCCATGTTTATTTTCCAGAACATTAGTGTATAATTTAAATTGGCTTTAGTTTTACTGTTTAAACAGGCTTATTTCACCTTCCTCAAGCCACTGTAATAATTAGCAGACATGTTCTCTAGAAAATGGAAAGGAAATAATGCTGGTGGCATGCATAGTGGTCGGATTTTGGGGCAGGCCGGCTTGCATCTTTTTGAACACCAAGGTCGTTTGGTTACTGCAAGGGACAGGGATCTTGGAGTCATCAGATGAATCTTAAAAAAAAATTAATTTCTGGCAGTGTTGGCTTACACTTTTTAGTGAGGAAAAGCTTAGCATTAAATAATAGGCATTTCTGATTTGTGAAAGAAAATTGAAAAATTGGCATGTCTGCAAATACCACGAAAAACATAACATTTCCAAAATAATGATCTGTCAACGAAATTGCAAAATCATTATGTGAATGAGCTGAATTGCTTTGTGTATCATCTCATAGAAATATGTTTTGCACAGATAATGTGTCTAATAAGGACACATTTTTAAAATCAGATTTTTTTCCCCCCAGCAAATAGCTGCACTGCAGGTCTCTCTCAAGCAGTCAACTAGCACCACCTTATGGATGATTTGGGGACATTGCTGCTTCCCTGCTAGGCTTTCGTAAAATGTAGTCAACTGATTTAAAATAATGGGAATGTTGATGGTGATGACAATATTAATGACAATAATAATGCTTTTTTCCCCCTTCTTGTTTTTCAGGCATCAGATGCCAGCTCTGAAAAACTCTTCAACACTGTTATTGTAAACAAAGGTAAGACCCATTCATTCTCCTGAGTAATGGCTTATTTTTATGTTAGTTTCATTGTCATTGCCTAGGAAGAAAGAAGAGCTAGAGTGATCTTTCTCTTATAATTCTGAAGCTACTGTTGATGTTTCATGTTTTTGCTTGAGATGGAAGTCTGCATACTTTGTGATGCATTAACATTAACAACCAGTTTATTTTAAAAGAATACATTGAGTCCCTATTTAAACTGATTTGACTAATCACTACTACTATGTGACTTTAATATAGAAAGCTGTACTCGAGAAGAATAGTTCTCAAAATGCCTGAACTTTATTGTTACTTATCAACTACCCAGCAATAGGAGAAATATAAATAGCTGATGTGCATTGCAGACTCCAGTAATCAATGGATGTTTAGAATTCACAGTATTATGGTCATAAACCAAGCCTTACTCTGCTGTGGGCTTTCTGTAAAGTTAATAAACGAGCGAGAGGGCAGAATTTAAATATGCACTATCCCATTAATTTCTTCCAAACCACGATCTAGAGTAAGAGAGGCTAATGATATAGCAGTACATTAAGGGAAAACTAACCTTAAATCATTGCCAGTAGGTTTCTGCGCAGCTTTCATTTGTTAGCAGTATCGTTGGAAATAAGGAAATTTAGGGGAGTCTGTAATCACTGGCTCTGAAAGGTGTGTAATTTGAAAGGGACAAACCATATAAACTATTTAATCTTCCCCTTTCCACTGTCGAGCCTGATTTAGGGGCTGGCATGATAATTGCTAAGTAAAGATGTGCTTTCTGTGATAATCTCTTTCTGGGTTACATGGGCGACACTTGGTAGCACTTGAACAGACTTGGGCCTTCACAAAGTGAAATTTGAGACCATTTCAGCCTTCTGTAGTTGCCTTGGCTAGCATTTTTGCTAGCTGGTTAGTAAGACATTTCCAAGTGCAGTTATTTTGAGCTCCCAGATTATTTTAGAATTTGAACCAATTGCAATTTTAAATAGTACATTATGTTTAGAGTTCCCTTGAGGTGTATGTGATTGCCGTTACTCCCAGAATTACTGTCATATTGAATTTTATCTTTTTTTATTGCATAATGGAGTATTCCAGTTTTATATTTCATCATATTTTCTGATGGACTGAAAGTTTGTATAAATGTGTTATCCATAATGCTAAAAGCCCAATAAAAGAAGATGTGTGCCATTCATAGCATACAGTACTCGTGTGTAAAAATGCACAATTGTCTACCACTTGGCGTTTCCTTGTGAGAAAGGAGGGTGATGGGAGAGGGAGACTGGGGTAGAGGGCAGGTCACCAAAGGCAGGGCTTCTTCGTTTCTGCAGCCCCCCAGGACCTCTGCCACATGTGACTGTGTCTGTCTTCTGCTGATTTGCTACTGAAAGCTTTGGAATGTATTTCCCCTTTCTGGGATCAGGCCCTAGAATAAGAGTTGGCTCCAAGACCTGCACTCTGGCCGCCACTGCCCTGAAAGATTGTCTTCAGGGCGGATGAACAGCTCGCCTCTGCCTCTTCCCTCTGGTTCTTTCCCCCCCTTTTTTTCCTTTTCCAATCAAACGTTTCCCACATTCTTATTTTTGTTTACTTACAGAGTGTGATTTGTGGCATCTATTTGGTTGTGAATAGCCCTCCCCCTGACAGGGTGCCTTTCTTCTGAGCTGCTTTTCTAGGGGTGATTTAGTTGCCTTGAAAGGATTAAGGTTTCTTTGTGTACACTAAAATCAACATAGGCTTTTTCTAAGCTTTGCTTGGGAAACCATACACAAATAAGCATTTTAGTTGATGGCAGATTATTCCTTTGCCCCTTATTTCCATCAAAATGGCCTTTCTTTTCTCCTCCAGAGTTTCCCCTTAATGCCTTATGCTAATTCCTGTTGGTAACATGAATGACAAGAGACGGAATCAGTGCGAATCCAGGTGGTGCAAAGTAGACTGACTGGTATCCCGCACCCCCTTTCCTCCCTGGGGAGAAAGAGATTAAGGGGGGTGTGGAGGGGGAAAGCATCGGGGACAGTTTTGTTAAGGGGATTAGTATTCAAACTGCTAAATATCAGGAAAACAACTTCAAAAAGGGATTCATTGTGTAGCGATAATGTCAATAATTGCTTCAGGACAGGTGCAGAGTCTCCTTATAGGCTTGTGGTTTTGGGTCTGTTTTTACTCCGGGTAGTGGCAGTGTTTACAGGATGAATGGCTGACAAGGCCTTCAAGGAACTGTCAGCTTCATGCACATCAAGTTCAAGTTTTCCTGCAAGGCGGCCTGCCTGCCTGAAAGTCAGGTCTCCTATCTTTGTCCAGTATCTTTAGCCAAGAGCAATAAAAAGCATCATAAGAAAGGGCAAATTTACACCAGGTAACAAACACAACTGGGGAAATCTTCAAAGCCCCAGCTTATGGGACAATCTAACCAGAGTGCAGGGGAGCTGACACGTGTATCCCTCCACCTCCAGATGTTTAAGTTACACATCACTTCTCCCTCTCAAGAGACTGGTAGTATTCTGGCCTTAGAGGAGTGTGGCTTTAAGCTGCTGGTGAGATTATGCTGCTGAGCCTGGTGGCAGGCAGATTTGGTCCATAAAATTTCACCGTGGGAGGGCAGTGCTAATCTCACAAGCTGATTGTGGTGGGGGTTGGGGGGGCGCAGCCCTGATGTTGGGCTGCACAGTGCGGAGATGAAGCTCAGGCAGAGGCAGCAGGGGCCGTGGCTCGAGGCCCATCAGTCAGCTTGTGAGCTTGAATAAGTCATTTACCCTCTTTAGGTCAAGATTTTCAATCATAACAAAACCTATTCCAGGGCCAACATCTCTGGTGGGGATAAAACAATTAATTGGGAAGGGGCAGGGGTTGAAACAGAGTGGATACAGTGAGTATATTTTATATCACGTTTGTTCATCGATTTTATTTTGACTTTCCCTGTGTTATAGATGCCATCCAGTTTCATAGAGATTTTTGTGTTTAGGTGTTCCGAATGGTCGTTTTCTTCTCCTGCCTTTTATTTCCTGCTTTAAAACAAGTTAATCAAACAGCACATGCTTGCATGTACACACAACATGCCTAATGAGGACTGAGCATTTCGAAAGGGGTGTGGCATTGAGCAGGGCTTAGCGTTGTAGACACAAAAAAACAGTTTAACTTTAATCAAGGTCATAGTTGCCATATTTAATCTTTATGTGTTTAAATGTTTACAGGATGTTCATGTGAATTTTATGAATCCTTCTGTCTTTGTGATTCAACCATCTGCCAAAGAAAAAATTAATTTTCCCACTGAGACAGAGGCACAGAGAGAGACTTAGTAACCCTATTTAGTTGATTGAAATGCTATAGGAGCAACAGGACCTGTACCCCAAATTCTGGGGTATTTATTCTATAAAGGAACTTTCAGTCTATTCAACATGGCTAGTATTTATTATCCTCTCTTGCCTACTGTAGATCCTTGCTGGTGTCACCAGTTTGGTCTGTAGACAAAAGTGCAGAAAATGAGTTCTTTGCTGCACACAATTATCCTGCCAAGATAATGAATCTTTCCTAAAACTCTTGGATTGCTCCAGAGCAGAGCTGCTTGAGGAGGAAAGAAAAGAAGGGAAGCCTGTCTGGGAGGAAGGACAACACTAGTCAGGCGTCAGGAGTTCTGTGGAGCCCTCTGTTTATAGGATGCCAGTCCTGGCATGTGGCTGTGGTCTAGGTTAGGGGAAGAGAAAAATCCCTGAATTGCTCTCCCTTCTTGGTTCAGAGCCCTCCTTCCCAGGATTTAGCCCGTAACCAAGACAAGTCACAGATAGACGATGACAAGTCAAGACAACTCATAGATAGACGGTGAGAGGGGCACAGTGGTGTATTTTACCCCGTGACTTTCTCACCCCTTCTCTTTCCTTCAACTTTGTCTCAAATTGCAGAACTGGGTACTCCTGGGGAAAAGCCTCCTGAGTGAGCCATCGGGGAGCTGTGCCCAGCTAAATGGGCATTTCTGAATGGTTTCCTCCAGCAGGGAATGAGGCCCCTCATTCTGCTTCTTTCTACTGTGGGCACCCAGTGTCTCCTGAAATGTGAACAGCAACAGAGCAGCTGCTCACCCTCGTAGGCAGGACCCCACCTCACCTCCATCAGCCTGGGAGGTTCTAGTGGATAGTCACTCACCAAGAAGAGCACCAGACGCAACGCTCTGGCCACCTGGAGCCCTCTCTGACCAGGACTGCTTTTCCTCTCCCGGGCCCTACCAGGCCTATTAGTGGAACACACCCGGCCTCTTCTTGGGGTTGGTTTTGCACTGAGAATTTCCGGTGGAACACAGATGAGGTTGGAGCCTTTAGGTTAGTGAAGCCTTTGGATATTTTTGGCAGTATGGTTCTATCAGCATTGTAGAAAGAAGACCTAGCTTAAAAATTGCCTGAAATCTGAGGAGATGAGGTAAGAAACAAGTTACCCAGCGATACTGCTGGCTTAGTAACCAGGTACCTAATAAATTCTTCCATGGCGACCATATGACCTTATTCTTTAGGTTTAGACACAAGGGATTTCCTTGGTTTGGTGACAGAAAGGTAAGAGTTATATTACCATCAAGGTCACCATTTGACTTTTAAGAAAAACCCATTCCCGCCGAGCATGGTCACTCATGCCTGTAATCCCAGAACTTTTGGGAGGCTGAGGCAGGAGGATTGCTTGAGCTCAGGAGCTCAAAACCAGCCTGGGCAATATAGCAAGACCTCATCTCTACTAAAATTCCAAAAACCTAGCTGGGGTTGGTAGCGTGTATTTGTAGTCTCAGCTACTTGGGAGGGTGAGGTGAGAGGATCACTTGGGCCCACAAGGTCGAGGCTGCAGTGAGCCCTGATTGTGCCACTATAGCCTGGGCGACAGAGTGAGACACCATTTCAAAAAAAAAAAAAAAAAAAAAAGGCCTTTCCATAAAATAATTCTATGCATGAAAATAATGCAGTTGACTGTGGAATAGCTCTCTTAAGAAAAAAATTTGGTTTACAGTTTAAAATCCCTTTATAATGAACATATGGAGACCATTTTACAATTCCTCCTAGGGTCTTGGGTTTAGTCGCAGGGAGGACATGATGTAAAGTGCATTTCCGATGTGCACAAGAGCAAACTGCCCGTTTCAGTCTCTGTAAATTAGTTTGGTTTTTGTCATGCCTTAAATTCCACATAAGGGAGAGTTAGAACATCACTCATTTATTTTTCTCCCTCTGGACCTTCTTTGTACTATTTCAGAGCATTTTCTTGAGTTTTTAGGAGATAGAGATGTCTGGAGAGTTAAGTAGTATTTAAGGGTAATTGGTACTTGATGCAAGAGACAAAGGAGTTATGAGTAGTTCAGTCCCTCCTCCTACTCCATACTGCAAATAGCATGCAATCAGCTCCTTTTGTTATGGAAATTGACCTTCCTATAGAAGCCGACTCTTGGAGAATTTGTTGTATAGAATCATCCTTTGAGCGTTCTTGGAAACAGATGCCTTGTACTGTTAGTGTGAAACCACCAGTAACAGTCAAAAAATATTCCATGTTGCATGAAAGTGTCTCCCGAAAATTTTCCAATAGTTGCTTTGGCCGAACTGATCTTTTGCCGAACTTGTGAATGCGTGTGGTGGTGAATCCTGGGATACTGGATCCCATCACTGGAATTGTGAACCGGGTGGAAGATTCCAGGCATTCGAAGTGATCTTGATGATGCCTTTTGGGTAGAACTTTTGACAGCTGCCACTTTTCCATCCTGAGTGCCCCTGTGATGGAGGAGGCGTAGATTACAGTGTAACCCATTCCATTCTTTTAGTCAGATGTTCAAACATCACTCTGGTTACTTTTGAGCTCAGTGGAAAGCCCTTGACTTATACTGGGCGATTACTGCTGTCCTTTGAAAGAGTTTTCTCTATCCTTGGCAATATTGACCAAAAAGCTTGAATGTTCATCAGCCTCTCTTCAATCCATTCATATTTAGCGTTTTGTGTAGTTAATGATGTAGTTAGTATTTGGTTGTCTCAGAAAGTAATATGCATTCATGATAGACAATTGGAATTGAAAAATATCAGATCAGTTCTCTAGAGTCTAATGAGAACAGTTGAGTGACAAAGGGCTCAATCACGCGGGCCAACCCCAGACAGGAGGGTTCCTAAATGGAGGAAGCCCGTGGCTAGCCCGTGGCCTCTGGATTATTTCTAGTTTCTGACAACTGCAGAAAAATGTTGTTTTCTCTGAATATGTATGTTTATTTAACTAGGTTTCTTTTTGCTTCACAATCTGGATTCCATTCAGTCAGTTACCACTCCAATTAACTAACAATTATTTAACATTAACAGTAATTACAGACGCCAGTTAAGCGCCTACAGATGTCAACTGTTAGCTTTGTACCTAATCACTCAATGAAATGGAGAAAGTTCAACAAACATCAATTAGCTAAGCAATTAGTATGAGTTAGGAAAGAGCATGTTATCATGTGTGAGCTGATTCAATTTATTTTATTTTGGCAGTAAAATACACACAGGCAAGCAGCAATAAGTTCCTCAGATAAGATAAAACTCTATTGTTTTGCGGCTTATATAAGAATTCCTTCCTTTCCTGTGCATAAGTCAAATACACTCTCGTCTGGAATTTATTTAACAGAATTTGTCTCAATTACTCAGAAAGCGCAGTCTCAGGAAGCACCTTTGGTGAATTATGAATCCAGTGACTGTACTGTATAAGGAAATGCCAGAAAACTTCAGTGGAGAAAATGATTGATTCCCACTCGAGTAATCCGCTCCGTGCATTTCGGATTTTTACCAGTTTATTCCTGAACCTCTGGTGGAACGAGTGCAACAGTGATTTTATTAATTTCATAGTGCCTGAACTTTTACTCAGCTGTCTTTTATTTAGCCCGGAGCTAACATCAAAGTATTTTACCTACTTGCCCAGTCTGTGCTTTTAAAAAGTAGAAACAGCTGTCTATTGAAGAGCCATTTCATGAATTCACCAAGGAGATTCCAGACTCTCCTGAACTCAGAGGTGCTGTTCCACTCTCTTTTTTCCCCCTTCGCCTCCTCCACCCCACAGACTTGACTCTTGTCATTAGCTGAGCTTGCCTGGACTTACTGGGAGAGTGCACTCTGAGGCCTGATTGTATGAAGTGGCCCAGAAAGTGGAGATTCATTTTACCTCCAAGAGGAAAGCTGGGCATAGGAGCTGGGCCTCTGGGTCTCCTCCTACAAATGACTTCTCATCAACCCTTAAAGCCCTTGGATAGGAGTGGAAGAAGTCAATCCCTCGTGGGGTGCTCTGATAGGTCTGTGTGCATCCTATGTGCAGAATTTTCCATCCGAACAAGCCTCTCAGCATGAACTGAATGTGGGAGTAGGGAAAAAGTATTCTGCCACTGGTATGGCTTGGGGTGAAGGGCCACCTTGTCCCATGTGCAGTTTCTATTATAAAGCATTTCCTCGTATACACCACGACCCCAGTACATGCTGGATCTTGACAGATGTCTGCTCTTCTGCATCAAGTCACTGGGTCTCTGTGAGTCTGCTTTGTCAAATTTTGCTGCAGTAACAAAATAGCTCAGAGTCCTACAACAACAAAAGTCTTATGTTAGGTGTCATCTGCCAATCAGCCGCAGGTTTCTTTGTTTTTATTCTGGGATCCAGGCCAAAGGAGGAGTCCCCATCGTGGTTATTCGGCTGGTAAAGGGGAAAAGAGCAGAGACAGAAACAGAGAATGCCTCCACTTGGAGGTGGGTGTGGCGTTTCCAAAAATCTCATTGGCCAGACAAAGTCACATGACCAAGCCTGCCATCAATGGAGTAGGAAGTAAACTCCTACAGGGAGGAGCAGAAGAGAAGAGGGATCCACAGGGATCCACAGGGCCTTGGAAGGAAGGGAAAGCAAACCCTGCATGGGTAATGCTATCTGCCACAGGCCCATCCCAGAAACCTAACAAATCAGGAGCTGTTGCCTCTTACTGTGTTAATGCAAATGGGATGGAGGGTGGCTTGCATAGCTTTGATGATCTCCGTAGGCTTTTCTGTTAGAGACCTGGTTCCCTAATAGCCATTTGGTTGGAGTTTATATTAAGTTAGATCTGATAAGTTGTCAAGAAATTAAATGCTTTTTTATTGTTTATCTGGATTAACTTATTGCTGGCTTGGAAGGACTTATGGAAAAGTTGCCCCAGAGTGCAGAAATGACTTCAGTGATTTGCAAAGAATAATTGTTGGACTGGCCAGATGTTTAGACTCTGCATAATTAACCTGAGGAAGCATGATTGCTGTAAAACTTTACTGCAAAGTAGTATGCGTTGTCATGGTTACCTTGAACATGGGCTTTGGATTTAAGATTCTCACAGACACTGCTTTGAATCTCAGTGCTTTGAAGACGCTTACTAGCTGTGGAACTTTGGGCTAGTTAAAACACCTTAGAACCAATTTTTCCTTCTGTAAAATGGGAATAACCAAACCCATCTCTTACAGGTGCTGTGAGGATGAAACGAGGCAATGGATAGAAAGTGCTTAGCCTACCTTGTACCATATTTTGATCTAATGATACAGTGGGCTAAGTATTTTACATACATTCTATCCCCTAATCTTCACAGCAGCTCTTAATTTAGAAAAGAATTTAGAAATAGCATCTGCATTTTATAGGCAGGGAAACTGAAGTTAGATATGAATAGCTAGCATTTATTGAGGACTTTCTTTTTGCTAGGTATTGTTCACTTTATATGTAATTCACTCATTTTTTAAGTGAGTAAACTGAGGCTCAGAAATGAGGCAACTTGTCCAAGGTCGCGCACCTAGTAAGTGGTGGAGCTCGGTCCAGCTGACTCCTAGACATGCTCATAGCAGTCATACTGTGCTAGGCTCTGGGGATATGGCAGAGAATAGAAAGGAGGAGGATCTCTGTCCTTCCTGAGGGAGACACAAAGCGGGATGGTAAAAATTCGGATTGGGGGAAACTGGGTTCTATGGGAAGACACTGGCAGGAACCCTCAACAAGGGCTTCCCTAGGGCTTTTCCTCCCATACCTTCCCAAAGTATTTAATCTTCTCATAAAACATAAGGTCCCGGAGGTTCTCATCCAGGACTTCTCCAGGATGTCAACCATTATCCCATCACCTGTGGCCAGAGTCGCCATAGTTACTGCAGCGCAGTGGGGCTCAGCTTAAGGCACCTCCAGTTTCCTCGCTCTTCCATGCCCATTCTTGTGCCTTTGCGTGAACTGATCTTTACTTTTCAGCCAGATTTTATTAGAAATGATTTAGGAATTTCAAGCAGGGGCATTTCCCTAGCAACCGATGACATAAGCACAAGGCCCAAATCTGTGCTGTTAACAGGGAATGGCGTTCTGTGGGCTCCGATCTGCGTCTCTGACCCTCGTAAACCTTGTCTTCTAAAGGAGGAGGCTGAGAGCACATCATTGCTTTTCTAAGAGTCCTTTTGAAGAGGGAAATGTCTCAAGTGTGCCCGTTAATAGACTGATGTGGGAGGCAGTTATATTTGGATGCCTTTAAAAGCCACTTGGAAAACATTTTCCCCCTCTTATCTATCACCTTTCACATCTCTCAGCAGAGTAACACTAAAACCTAATTTTAGCCAAGATTACATCATTTTCTCATTCTCTGTTCATAGCTGGGAAAGGTTTTTCCATAGTAAAGCTCCTCTCCCCGAAAACCCAGCTCCTCCGCAGGACCTCTTGGGCTTCTGTGAAGGCTTCTTTATCCATAAAGTTTAGTTTGACAAGGGGTCTTCTGAAAGCAGATTGGTCAGCTGTTAAAGAAATGACATCAGTGGTGATTCCATTGATTCGTTCAATTGGCTTAAGGTGGAAACCATATTGAAATGAATTCTTTTCATTCACATATTATTGAGCCCCAACCATGGAACAGGATCTGGAGGTAACAACACTGAATAATAGATGACACCCACCTGACCAGAAGAGTAAAAGAGTTTAAATGTATTTTGAAATGTTTTTCAAGTGGTATAATAGCAAACTCACTAATTAAAAAAAAAAAAATAGCCTTAAGACTTTCTTAGGTGGAAAAGCTTATCTGAGGTGAGCCCCGAAGGGTCAGCAGACCAAAAATTGACCAGCCCTCAAACTGCAGAATTATGTCTCGCATTTAGAGAGCCCCAGAATCTGCCAGCTTGTGCTCATCGTTAGACTAAAACCTACCCCTTTGAGTTTTCCATTTTAAAAATTGATGCTATTGTTATATGAGTTAATTAAGCTATTGCAAAGGTTTTTGGCAGTGCCATAAAGATCTGTACATCACCTATCAATACAGTCCACTTTTTTCACGTTTCTTCAGTTAGATTTTATTGTTTAAATACTTTTTTTTTTTTTTTTTTGAGACCAAGTCTCACCTCATTGCCCAGGCTGGAGTGCAGTGGCACCATCTCGGCTCACTGCAACCTCTGCCTCCCAGGTTCAAGCGATTCTCCTGCCTCAGCCTCCCGAGTAGCTGGGATTACAGGTGCCCGCCACCACGCCTCGCTAATTTTTTGTATTTGTAGTAGAAATGGGGTTTCACCATGTTGGCCAGGCTGGTCTTGAACTCCTGACCTCGTGATCCGCTCACCTCGGCCTCCCAAAGCACTGGGATTACAGGCGTGAGCCACCGTACCCGGCCTTGTTGTTTAAATTCTTACCAGGTTGGCCCACCGCAAGGAGGTGGCAGGAGGGAAGCCCCATGCCCAAGCCTGAGCAAGACTATTTGTAAAGTTGAGCAGATCACTCCATTTGACTTGCTTTTCTCATGGGTATCATGAGAAACTGGGGGGTGGCCTCCAAGACTCCTTGTGAATCTAAAGACCAAAGTTTGTGTTAGAAATATTCTAGGGCCAGCCAGCACAGTGGCTCACGCCTATAATCCCAGCACTCTGGGAGGCCGAGGCGGGCGGATCACTTGAGGTCAGGAGTTGGAGACCAGCCTGGCCAACATGGCGAAACCCCATCTCTACTAAAAATACAAAAATGAGGTGGGCATGGTGGCACACGCCTGTAATCCCAGGTGCTCGGGAGACTGAGGCACGAGAATGGCTTGAGCCCAGGAGGTGGAGGTTGCAGTGAGCGGAGATAGGCGCTACCACACTCCAGCCTAGGCAACAGAGCAAGATTCTGTCTGGAAAAATATTTACATATATCTTTTAGGGCCTCTCAGAACCTGACGCTTCTGCTGAGGGCACACATTTTCCCTGCTAGCTGTGAAAGAGATTCTGAACACTTAGCATTCAAAAGCAGTAGTGCCTCGTAGCCGATACCAGGACTTCAGTCCTGAACTTGTGAACAGGAATAAGCCTCTCTCCTCTTCAGGAGATTGCATCTGTGTAAGAAAGATCTTAAAGGTAAGAGGGGATTGAGCCCCGGCACAAGGGAGGAGTGGAAAAGACAGTGGCTACAATTTGAATACCAGCTGTTAAGGTATTACGGTATTAACCTCCAGAATAAGAGTAACAATACAGAGTCCTCCTTCTCTGCTTGCCTGCATCTTGGGTGCTGTTAAAAGAGATGATTTATCTGCTCAGTAAATGTTTATAAAACCCCACTGTATATATAAGTACTTAGGGTTCCTTTGTACTTGACTTCTCAAGTGGAATGACTGTCATTTGGACCACTTCCTAGGCAGGGATTGCTGCAGGTTAGATGAGGGTGGGGGGCAGGGGCGAGATACCAGAGAAAGTGCCCAAGAGCACCCCAGGGGCAACTGCCAGGCAGCTTCTTTTTCTATGAGATGACTCATTTTACCACCACGAATTGAAATGAGGCTTGCATGGGCCATTGTAGATAATCGAAAGAATGTCACCACCCTCCCATCTGTCTTCAGCTGTCACAGACTCACACACCAAGCATTTCATCAGAGTTCTAGTTCTTCAAGTTCATCTAGGTCTTTTTGACTGGAGCAATCTGACTTCCTACTTTTCTTTTGCTAGAAGGTGATAATAATTGCAGCTTCATTCACTCAGTGCTGCATTTGCTGTTTGTTGGTTTGTAATTCGATGCGCAGTCTTCTTGTGTCTTTGCGGGAGAGTTGGTTTTAGAGGTGGCACACACCAAAATCATGAATGGATTTAAGGAGGGAGAGGCTGAACTAATTTGATTGTTACCAAGTCCATAATGTGTTCCTTGGGAAAATTCCACTTGTCTGGACTGTGCTCCTCACTTTCTGAGATTGAGAACTGGAGAAAGGAGGAACGTCACAGACAAGACAGCAAGAAGCTTAAAAAACAAATTCCTGGATTTGGAGCAGTGTGCTCTGGTGGAATATTAGATGATAAACTACACTTTGTGGTTTTGTTTTGTGCAGTTGGCTGTAGAGGCCACATGGCCCTGTATAATGACCTCTTCCCAAGATGTTAGACATCAAATCAGTTTGATTTCTACCCCCATGGGAAGAGGAACTCCGGTTGTAAAGAGGCAGCTTGAGAATAACTGGTAAAGGGTGACTTGCCATTTCCCCGCTGGTCTTGCCTCCCAGGAGTAACTGTTATTTGACCACATGACCCAGTTACAACCTGTTACCCCTGTGTGGCCAGGGCCTCACCCCCCCAGAGCACACCTTCGGGTCAGGCTCATGCCTGATTTGTGCCTTCTTTCCTTCTCAGGGCCCTCCAGGTTGAGGGAAGACAGCTTTACACCTCCACCTTCTGTATTAGCTCCAGGATAAACTTGAAAACTGCCTACTCTGAGGGTTTTTTTGGCATTTTAAAAGTTAAGTCTGACTTTCCGAGCCCTCTCAGCATCCTGCCAGGTATCTTATCTTATTCAAATATCCTAATTGCTTCTGGGGCTGCACATCATCCTAGCACCTAACTGACAAAATAGACCTTCACCTGAGGGCCTCATTATGCTTTCTGCCTGTGCATCAGGCCAAAAATACCTCCACAATACCTGCTCGACATCCTGGGCTTCCAAGTGACAAACAAATAATTGGGTGAAACAAACCCTGGGCGCCGAGCAGCTGCCATCAGTGTCGGAGCACAGAAGAGTCCACGGCAGTAACAGTCACAGCGCTGCCTGGTTCATGTCAGAGCAAATCTTTGAACAGTGGGTTGTGCTGACACCAGAGAATGACAGCTTTGGAAATGGCATGCTAGTTACTGCTGCAAGTGAGGCCTCTCATGTAGACCATGACAAGCGGCTGTCATTTCCATACAGGTGAACAACTGACATCCTAGAAGGGGGAGGGCGGGAGCCACGCAGGAGGCTGTGTTTGGCAGTAGGTGGGGCCAGACTTCGGAGAGGGGTCCCAAGTACCGGTGACCCTGGCGAAAACTAGCCTAAAAACACAGTCTCTTTCCATGCCCCTTTACTCACTCCCCACACATCTTCTCTGTTACCTCTTTGGAGTTCATCTGAGAGAGGGCTACAGAAATACAACCCAACATGCTTAAAGGATGTTTGCATTTTCACTCTGTTCCCTCCACATCTTTTCTTCTTTTTCTTTCCTTTTTTTTTTGAGACAGGGTCTCACTCTGTCGCCCAGGCTGGAGTGCAGTGGTGCAATCTCGGCTCGCTGCAACCTCCACTTTCTGGCTCAAGTTATCCTCCAGCCTCAGCCTCCCAAGTAGGCTAGGACTTACAGGCACAAGCCACCATGCCTGGCTCACTTTTTTTTTTTTTTTTTTTTTTTTTTTTTTTTTTGCAGAGACAGGGTTTCACCACATTGCCCAGGCTGGGCTCGAACTCCTGAGCTCAAAATGAACCGCCCACCTCAGCCTCCCAAAGTGCTAGGATTACAGGCATGAGCCACCACGCCCAGTGTCCTCCACATCTTGATATGTCAGGGATTAGCTTTCCGGTCGCAATGCTTAGTTTTATAGAGGATGGAAAAGGCAAGGTTTCTGCTGATAAGGAACTCACCATGAAAAGGAATGGGTTAGATGAAATTAAGTGCAGAATTGGGTCTAGACCGGTGGTTCTCAAAGTCTCCATCAGCAATATCTGCATCCTCTGAGTGGTTGTTAGCCATGCAGAATCTCTGCCCCACCCCAAACCTACAGAATTGGAAACTCTGGGGTAGAGTCACAACTCTGTTTTCACAAGCCTTCCAGGTAGTTCTAATGCAGACGACTGTGGTCCAGAAAAAACGAGGAAGAACATTTTGGCAGTGAGGTTTTGTAAATGCTCAGACGATCCACAGAGTCACTGGGTGAAATCATACTCTATTGCACAGGGAATAGGTCTAGGTTCGTAGTTGGGCAGCCTTTTTTTTGGAGGGGACAGAGTCTCAATCTGTCGGCCAGGCTGGAGTGCAGTGTCACGATCTCAGCTCACTGCAGCCTCCATATCCTGGGCTCAGGCAGTTCTCCTGCTTCAGCCTCCTGGGTTGGTTTGTTTGTTTGTAAATATCAACTTCACCTGATCTGTTCAAAGTGCCCCTGCACCTACCATTTCCAATCCTTCCACTCTCTATAGCCTTGTGAACAGGCCTACTCATGTTTAGCGTGGTTCTGACAGATGCTAGGCCTGTACCTAGGGCTCTGCTCATCTGAATAGAGTTTGAAACCATGACCTTGGGCCAATGTTATGCTGTAACCAGCTGAGCTAACTTGCTCAACCGCTTCTGAAAGACAAACTGTTCCATCGAGTTCCTTCTTGGCAGGTGCTGCATCACCAATGCCGGCCTGCCATCTGTGTGAAGGGCTATCACAGCACACAACACACACACATACTGGGCAAATGTGCCGTGATTACCACTAACTATTTTGTAAACAAAGTACTGTGTTAATTCTGTTTTAAACTGCTTTATCCAGGATTGTAGAACAATGGGCAGAAGTGTTTTGAAATCTTTTTTTCTTCTGTATTGAATATTAGAGTTTTAAGGCCATAAAATTAACATGTAAATTGAGTTTTCCCAAAAAATGTAAAACTCTTAAGAAGTTTAAGTAAGTTACCTAAATAGTAAAGCTTTTTCAGTTGTCCTTCAAGAATAGGCATCTTCCAAAACTAGTTGTGTTAAAGTAGTGGTTCTCAAACTTTAGCCTGCATCAAAATTAGCTAGAGGACTTGTTAAGATACAGCTTGCCGGCCGGGCGTGGTGGCTCACGCCTGTAATCCCAGCACTTTGGGAGGCCGAGGCAGGCGGATCACGAGGTCAGGAGATTGAGACCATCCTGGCTAACATGGTGAAACCCCGTTTCTACTAAAAATACAAAGAAATTAGCCGGGCGTGGTGGCGGGAGCCTTGTAGTCCCAGCTACTCAGGAGGCTGAGGCAGGAGAATGGCATGAACCCGGGAGGCAGAGCTTGCAGTGAGCGGAGATCGCGCCATTGCACTCCAGCCTGGGCGACAGAACAAGACTCCGTCTCAAAAAAAAAAAAAAGATACAGCTTGCGGGGCCCCACCTCCAGTGATTTCTGATTCAGCGTGTCTGGGCTAGGGCTCCAGAACTTGCATTTCAAGTAACCAGGTGATACTGATGTTTCCAGTCCCCTAAGAGCACTGTGTGATCTACATGGGTTAAATTTAAATGCCTTTTTCAATAGGGAATATTTTCAACAGGGAATATCACACCACTCAAAGGTGTGAAATGTATCTTTACATGTAAGATGAAATTGACACATGAAAGTGAATTCAATTTTATCATGAATCGGGAGCTTTTTACAAAATGAAAATTTTCAACTCTAATTCAATATAGAAAATGTAGAAATGAACCCCCATATATACCCATTACCTAGATTCATATTAAGACTTTTCCACAATTATTTTTAGGTGATAGGCTGGATAGGGCGATGTCCACCTTTTTTTTCTTTATTGCTGAAATATTTTAAAGCATGTCTCAGACTTCATATCATTTTACGACTACATACTTTAGTGCACATCTATAAAAAAGAACATTTCTTACAAAATCACATGTTGTTATCACACTAACTAAATATGCAGTAATTCCTCAGTGTCATCTGAGGAATATACCCATCCATGATCTCATCTCCATGATTGTCCCACAAGGGGTCATTTTACGTGATCTGTGCACATCAGGATACAAACAGACACACATACTGCATGTCTTAAATCTAGAGTGCTCCACCCTCCCCAGCTTCCCATTCTTTCAAGTCATTGACTTGTTGCAGAAACCAGGTCAGCTGTCCTGAAGACTGCCCCACATTCTGGAAGTCCTTGCGGTGTCATTTAGCTTGTTCCTCTGTCCCTCGTATTTCCTGTAAATGGAAGTTGGCCGTAAAGCTTTGATTAGATTCAGGTTAGAGTTCCTGGCAAGAAAACTTCATAGGCATTGCAACGAACCTCATGTTGCCTCACATCTGGGAACACACAGTGTCTGGGTGTCCCAGTTTTAGTGATGTCAAAATTATTCAGTAAGTTTAGGTTGTGGCAACCTGATACTTGCATTGGCATGTTCCCCGTCAAGCTTTTATCTCATGGTCTCATCTATTGATGATGCTTGCCTGATGCAGTAATTCATTAGAGATGGCAGAGGGTGACTTTTCTAGCATTATTCCACATTTATTGGCTGAAATTCTTCAGTACAATGGCACTTTCCCTCATCAACTAGAGTTCTTTGGTTACACTCAAATATAATACAAGGAAAAAAGTAAATGCTCAATTCTCTCCTTCTAATTGCATGTTTTCAGAGCAAAAAGTTGGTGCTCTACCAGGAGTTTATTAATAAGTCTGAACAGTTCTCTGCATTTTTCTTACAATAAATCTAACCTATGCTTTCAGTGCATTGAGCTTTTCTTACATGGTTTGTGTTTATCAATTGGAGGGACAAAATATCTAAAAATTAGAAAGGTACTGCAAGAACAACATCGTCAAATGAGGTCATACACACTTAAGTGTGTGTGAATTTAGTCATACCTGCCCTTCATAGCTCTGTTCAAATGCCACATTCTCCAGGAAGCCCTCCTACCTTCCCAAGGTTTGAACCTTTCCTGTGGCACTTCCTGCATCCTGCCTGTCTTTTTTTCTTTTCTTTTCTTTTCTTTTCTTTTCTTTTCTTTTTTTTTAAGATGGTGTCTCACTCTGTCACCCAGCCTGTAGCAGTGGCATGATCTCAGCTCACTGCAACCTTCGCCTCCTGGACTCTAGTGATTCTCCTGCCTTGGCCTCCCAAGTAGCTGGGATTACAGGCGCATGCCACCACACCCAGCTAATTTTTGTATTTTTAGTAGAGATGAGGTTTCACCATGTTAGCCAGGCTGGTCTCCAACCCCTGACCTCAAGCCATCCACCTGCCCTGTCCTCCCAAAGTGCTGGGATTTACAGGCATGAGCCACCATGCCCACTGCCTGCCTGTCTTTTATTGAAGTTGTAGATGTCCTCTTCCCCTTTTCTCTGAATTCTACCCCTATCCTACCCATGGTGACCCACAGGGTGCTTTGAATTAAAATGAATTAAAATATAATATCCTAAAAGTGATTTCAAACTTTGGAATTTAGGTTATATCCTGAGAATCTTAAGTGACTTGATTCAAGAAAGTAGGCAAAAACCTGAATCGTGTTTGGTCTGATCAACCCATTTGGAATTAATCGAAAATCTGATGATCCCAACTGGGTACTTTTCAGGAAAGGAGTGGGAGGCTGCCCACGTATATTGAGTGCCTACAGTGTGCCAGGGCACCTGCTGATTTATTTGATTCATACAGTAGCCTAGCCAGGTCCGTCTATTACCTGTGAGAACACTGGTGACTGGTAAGTGACAGTGAGTTCTTGCCATCTCCTGTTCTTTGCCCTTTCTCTTATACCAGCCCAGCATAAAGAGGATCGGGGGCTTCAGTTTGGTGAATTTAAAAATGTCTCTTGTTAAAGGCCGGGCACAGTGGCTCATGCCTGTAATCCCAGCACTTTGGGAGGCTGAGGCGGGTGGATCACGAGGTCAGGAGATTGAGACCATCCTGGCTAACACAGTGAAACCCCATCTCTACTAAATATACAAAAAATTAGCCGGATGTGGTGGCAGGCGCCTGTAGTCCCAGCTACTCGGGAAGCTGAGGCAGGAGAATGGCGTGAACCCGGCCGGGAGGCAGAGCTTGCAGTGAGCCTAGATGGCGCCACTGCACTCCAACCTGGGTGACAGAGCGAGACTCCGTCTCAAAAAAAAAAAAAAAAAAAAAAAAAAAAAGGGAAGTCTCTTGTTCACAACACAGCTTCTCATCCAGCCTGACCTGTTTGAAGTATGTCTGGGGTGGAAGATCCTGGTGATGCAATTCCAGCCTGGGAAAACTTGAGGAGAGGTTCAGTATAGCACCATGGGCGGCAGGCTGTCAGTGTGTGTTAGATGTATTCGGTTACTTCGTTTTATGGGAGATTTCATGTGATACTAAGACGTAACCTCCCACAAAATGAGATTTATAGAATTGGGTATATGTCTAATCAATAAACATCAAACTGGAAAAACTGTAAAGGCATTTCAAGTGATAGTAGTTATGGCTGGAAATCTCAGTGGAGTTATTTTTTTTTTTTTTTTTTTTATTACTGTTTAAGCCTTGACACTTTTATTTATTTAGACACTGGGTCTCACTCTGTCACCCAGACTGTGGTGCAGTGGCACGGTCATAGCTTACTGCAGCCTTGAACTCCTGGGCTCAAGTGATCCTCCTGCCCCAGCCTTGCGAGTAGCTAAGACTATATAGGTGCATATATACGTGCGTGCCACCACACCTGGCTAATTTTTTAATTTTCTATGGAGACACCGTCTTGCTATGTTGCCCAGGCTAGTCTGGAACTCCTGGCCTCAAGTGATCCTCCTATCCCAGCCTCCGAAGTAGCTGGAACTACAGGCCTGTACCACCATACCCGGCTAACTTTTTAAATATTTTTGTAGAGATGGGGTCTTGCTGTGTTGCACAGGCTGGTCTGGAACTCCTGGCCTCAGGCGATTAATCCTCTCACCCCTGCCTCCCAAAGCATCGAGCTCCTGGTGCACTTTCTAACTCACCCTTCGAGGATGTGTGTATTTATATGTGTCAGGGAGAGGAAATTGATCTCCTGAGGGGTGGGTGGAAGAGCACTTGTCCCTAGTTAATCCTTTTTTGCCTGTTCTTTAAAAAGCGTGATAGATAGGCCAACCCACTATGAGTTTTCTGGTGGCAAAAGTACAAGAAATCCCTGCTATTTATCCACTATCTGTGTAGCTTCCTCTTTGAAGCACCTCAAGCCCTCGCCAGCCTCTTCTTGTCCGTTGCTGATCTTTGGCTCTGGGTGCCAGTCAGCCTCAGGGGCGGTGCTGCCTTTTTTGGCAGAGTATCACTGTTAAGCCACTTTTTCTCTTTAAAAAATGCTACACAGAGGTTTTTGAACCTGAAATGCAATTATTTTAAAGGCATCCTCACCACTCACTTCCCGAGTGCTCTGTTACACCCAGCGCCACCTGCCAACCACAGTGAACATCCAGCCATGTCATTTCTTCCATTCCTGCCCTGGAGTAAAGTAGATTTACTGAGCTGATGACTTGTGTGCATTTGTACATTGCAACCTTAGCTTACCTCTTGAAGCATGTAGAGCATTCATCACCCACCATTCATTCACTGCCTACTCCCACCACAGCTGTTTCGTGGTCTGTCTGCTCCCTGTGCCACCCCCACCCCATCAGGTGGGCCTTTTGCAAGTGATGAAGTCACCTGTGGGGGAAGAGCTTTCCTTTCCTCTCCTCAACTCAGAAGGCCTCTTCCTCTTGCTCAAGAGGGTGCTGCTGCTTTCTGCCTCCTTCCCCGGCCGGCCTCCATCCCAGTTCACCTTTTCAGACATGGCCCCTCAGTCAACTCTTCCCTTTTCTCCTGGCTTTTTATTTCTCCCAGTCTCTTAAGAGTATCCTTAGCTTTAAAAACAATAACACAGAGGATGGGTGCAGTGGCTCATGCCTGTAATCCCAGCACTTTGGAGCCTGGGGCGGGCGGATCACTTGAGGTCAGGAGTTGGAGACTAGCCTGGCCAACATGGCAAAACACCGTCTCTACAAAAATACAAAATATTAGCCAGGTGTGGTGGCGCACACCTTTGATCCCAGCTACTTAGGTGGCTGAGGCACAAGAATCACTTGAACCTGGGAAGCCGTGGTTGCAGTCAACTGAGATTGCACCACTGCACTCCAGCCTGGGCGACAGGGTAAGACTCCGTCTCAAAAACAAACAAACAAACAAACAAAAAAACCCAATAACACAGAAATGCAAACAACAGATCTAGCCCTGCTGCTTCTTCATATACTTCAAACAAAGAAACCTTTTTTGATATCTTTTTTTCATTCCCCCTTTGTATAAAATACCTTGCATTGGTATATCTTTTTGGTGATAATTAAGGTGACTATATAACTTACTGTCCAGGCCTGGACACTTTTGAGAGTGAAATCGACTGTTTCTTCATCATTATCCTGGGACAACAGGCCTCACCCTGGACTGTCCATGTAAACCAGGGCATATAATCACCCAAGTGATCATCCAAGGTTTTTCAGTTTGTCAGAGTGGTTCAATCCACTCGTGATGATACTGCCATTTATTGAGTACTTACTATGAGATGAGCTTTGTTCTGATCACTTCAATTAACCCATGGAACCCTCACAGTGCCCTTTTGAGGTAGATGGTATTAACACTGTTTTGACTGTGAGGAAACTAAGGCTGAACAAGTTGCTCAAGGTTACACACCTAGTTACGTCCTCCACACTCACCCCATGCTACATCAGCCCCCAAGGTCAACATCCATATCTCCCCTGAGCTGTTAGCAGAGATTTCTAAATGTCTGCTCAATTAAAAGGAGTGTACACTGTAAACAAGAGTATCGCCTTCCAAAGTAAGCGTTTAGGGTTGCCTGGTTGTCAAGGGCTCAATAACAGGAGTGAAGTACTTAATTCTTCTCTCAAATAGTATGTGGAGCCGGCTCGGAACAAGCAGGGCTTCCCCTATCACTAATATTCTCTAAAACACACTCCCCACCCCACCCACCCCCGAAATGGAGTCTCACTCTGTCGCTCAGGCTGGAGTGCAGTGGCTCTGTCTCCACTCACTGCAACCTCTGCTGCCCTGATTCAAACGATTCTCCTGCCTCAGCCTCCCGAGTAGGTGGGATTACAGGCTCCTGCCACCATGCCCAGCTAATTTATGTATTTTTAGTAGAGACCGGGTTTCACCATATTGGCCAAGCTGGTCGTGAACTCCTGACCTTGTGATCCACCCGCCTCAGCCTCCCAAAGTGCTGCGATTACAGGCGTGAACCACCGCACCCGGCCAAGACACACATTTTTAAAACAAAGAAATGGAAAAGTCTAGACTCTAAGCTGGTTACACCCCACACAGTGAAATTCTGGTTATTTGTTTCTGCTGATTTTTCTCATCTCACAGGTTTCTCATTCCCGAAGGTAATTTAGGATGATGTTACTTAAGAACTGGAGTTAACTTAGTGACCAGATATTAAGCCATGAATTTCTTGGTCTTCCTAGGAATGGGAATTTTACACAAGTACAAGCATCTCTTTTGAGAACTTAGGCCTCTCACAGATCTCTAGCCTGACGTCTCATTCGTATCTCTTTTCTTTCCCTTGCTGTTGCTGTTCTTCTTCCCCTACTTTAAAAAGCCTTTCCTGCCAAAATCTGAATCGTTACTCCACGGAGTTTATTATTTAGGCAGATCCGAAGATCAACACGAAGTCTTTTTGTTGTTGTTTTCTTGTATTTTTTTTTTTAATGCCACCAGGGTGACAGGAAGATTTACTGAAAGCTGAACTTATTTTGTTTGCTCTAATATTCACAAGCCTCAAGAGTTTAAGGAAGTGGTAAGTACACCCGCTGCCTCGGGGAATACTGTTAGGGTATGAGCATAAAGTTATCCACACTCGTCTCCAAATCGCAGGCGTCAATCTGTAGGGATTATGCAGCGGGGGAAGAAGGTGGCTATTACCCAGAAGAGAGCTGCTTGAGAGCTTTTCAGCATTCTTCCCCACGGGCACAGAGCATCTTCTCTTCATGTTCCTACAAAGTGTTATGGAGAGGAAAGTAGTTGGTAGGGATCTTTTTATTGTACATATGTTTTAACACACACACACACCCCTTTCTTTCAGCTCTGGTTCCCTCTAAAAAGGTCCTGTTCTCATCCTGGCCACCAGACTTCTTCCACCAGGGGTCCCTTCTCTCTTTCTTTGTCACCAGGCCAAGTTTGTTAACCATCTTCAGAATTACAGGACTTTAGTAGCTGAGGAATTCCTTTTAAAGTGGTTCCAAACTCAGCACCTTTAGGCAACACAGCACATTGTTCTGCTTTGTTAAGAGAAGCTTGTTTTGAAGAGCTAGGAAAATGAGTTCAAGCTCAGATTTCTCTGGGTAGAAAGGGTATCCCATATCAGATGATGATGTGAAGAAGCAGATTGTGAACTGTAAAGTGAAAAGGTCTTAAACACGAGAGATAAGCAAAGGGGTGTGTATTTCAGGTAACATACAAACACAAGGGAAACAGACCTCTGGCATCTCATCGCATCTATAAATCTGGATGATTTCAGGCAAAAATGAAAACATTTGCTTTTCTTCAATCTTGGGAATTTCTAAAACATTGAGTTTTTTAATAATAATAATAATAATAGCACCATTTGCTGAGCCCCAAATATATGTCTTCTGCTCTACTGGGCTCCTGATATACGTTCTCTCTAGTGGGCCCAGGACCTGCAAGGCTGGTATTGTTACTGCTGTATAGAGGTTCAAGGAGATGACATGCCAGAGGCCACACGACTGACGTGTGTGACAGCCAGAATTTCATTCGTGTGTGTGTGTGTGTGTGTGTGTGTGTGTGTGTTTCCGATGGAGTCTCACTCTTGTTGCCCAGGCTGGAGTGCAATGGCATGATCTCAGCTCACTGCAACCTTTGCCTCCTGGGTTCAAGCTGTTCTCCTGCCTCAGCCTCCCGAGTAGCTGGGATTACAGGCACCTGCCACAATGCCCGGCTGATTTTTTGTACTTTTAGTAGAGACCGGTTTTCACCATGTTGGCCAGGCTGGTCTCAAACTCCTGACCTCAGGTGATCCACCCACCTTCTTTTGTCAATTTATCCAGTGATCAGGTATTTGAGTGCCTACCTGACATTGTCTGAGAGACAGTGGACACTGAGATGTTGTACATAGCTTTGCTTGTAGCAGTTCATGACCTGCTACTGGGCTAGTCAGATATTGACCCTGAGTCTATTGGACCGTAGCTCACTTTCTTTTTATGTTGCAAAATTGCAAACCTGTAGAAATGTTGAAAGAACAGTATGACAAACACCCATATACCCTTCACCTAGATCCACTGTTCTTAACATTTTTCTACATTTGCTTTAGCTCTCTTTTTTTTAGATAAGTCATTTCAATGTTAAAAGTATCATGATGCTTCAGTATTCATCTGCTGCACTTTCTGCATAATCTCATACCATTATCATACCTCCGAAAGTTAGCTGTGATTCTGTAATGTTATCTAGGATATAATTCATATTGAACTTTCCTTGCTTGTTTCCAAAGTGTGCTTTTTTACAAAATAGTGAGCTTTTTTTTTTCTTTCATTTTTGAATCCAGGATTCAATGAAGACCACACCTTTTTGGTTGATACGTCTCTTTGACCTCTTGAAATTAAATATAGCCCCCAGTCCCGGCCCCAACCCCTTTTAAAATCTTTAAATGACATCAGCAGTTTAAAGAGCCCAGGCTGGTTGTCTTTTAGGAAGTCCTACTTTGTGAATTTCCTCATGGTGGGGTTTGTTACCCAATTATTTTTTAATTAAAAAAAAATTCCATTTTCAGTCTGTGTTCACACTGCTTTATGAGTCCAGTTTGCTTAGATTTTTTGTGGGGGTACTTAGATGTAGCTGCTTTGGGAAGAGGGACACGTGGAAAATATAGAGGGAGATGGGGAATATTTAGTTCAGCATTTTATATGCTATAAATAATTATAGCTGTATAGCCAAATGAGCTTTTAGAGCTCTGGATTCCATTGGAATTTAAGGATTTTTCTCTTCCCCTCTTTTCTTGTAGAGATTAGTTTGTTGCCAACAACCCTGGAACTGGCGAACTGCTTAAGGCATAATGTTTTCATTAAGAAAGGATTTAACTAATTAGATTTGACTAGCAAGCTGACAGGTTAATCAATAAGGGAAGTGGGGCTCAGCACCCCTTAAGTTGGGAGTCTCCATTAAGTCATTATGGTGTCTGCTAAAACATTCTTCTTCACAATGATTCTTAAGAATTTTTACGTGAATCCCTCTAATAAATGTTAGAAAATCCTGTCCCTTTCAAATTCCGTAAAGATCTGTATTGTGTTCATGTATTTCAGATTCAAACTGTTGAGTATTTTAGGGAGCCTCGCAGTGTCAGACAGGCCCTTAAATATTGTCTTATTTTTACTTTTGAAGACCCAGTGGGCCTGTTCATCCTTTGTCATGTTACTTCAGCTTTTACAAACTAACTTCACTGCAGTTTATTATTTAAATTTAATTTGTTCCCAGATAAACCTGAATGTTGATTAAAACCAGTAATTTGGTTAAGTGTCAGAATTAGAAGAAGGATGTGGAAAGTGACGAGTCGGGGATAGGAGTAGAGAACGTGAGCTTCTTGAGTCACCTGCAATGGGTGGTGTTTTATAATGCTCTCTTCCCTAATCATGTTAATCAGGAGATTTTCCTTTTGGAACTCCTGACTGAAAGCTTCTTAGTTTACACACATGTTCCTCCAGGATGAACGCTGAAAATAACTTTTTCGGTTTTGTTTGTTTGTTTGTTTTCCTCTATACAACCCCTTGCAATTGCTTTGGTTTAGAACACCTTTGGATTCTAAGTTTCATGGTTGTTCTGGGAGACACCACATTCACCCTCTCAACCCAAGACCTTGAAGATGGGAGGTTTTTCGGACCTCATCATAGACCTCCAAGGGCACTTGGAAGCTCAGAGAGGCCAAACTGCCCCAGGACCAGTGGGCTGGCAAATGGCACACCTGGATTTGGCAGAAAGCCCCTAGAGCCTGCACTCTTAGCCACTCTGTTAAAGGAGCTCTTCTTTTTGAGTCAGACAGACAGCAGGAAGCGCCCGCTGTACAGATTGTCAAGTGCATAGTGCTTGGAGGCATTTGAAGGAAGTAAAAGGCTCTATTTTTTTCCCCAGAGAAACTGTTTTAATTTACCTTTCTGAGTTGTAGAGAAAAATACTCGCGTAGCTCTGCTCTTATTTATGTATTTTCAATAAAACAAACTTGTGTATTTGGGTTTTAGTTTAACAGGTCATTGGCCCACATGTAAAGCTGATTTGTTAGGAGTCATTACCTAGAAAATAAAATTCTGAAATAAAGATCAAGTATTCCTGAAACTAACGTTTTGTTTATAGACCTTTGCAAGTATACATGTAGACTTTTTGAGAATTTGAGAAGGGTTTTTGAGACAGAGTCTGGGTCTGTCACCCAGGCTGGAGTGCAGTGGTGCGATCACCACTCACTGCAAGCTCCACCTCCCGGTTCAAGCAGTTCTCCTGCCTCAGCCTCCCGAGTAGCTGGGATTATGGGCACCTGCCACCACACCTGGCTAATTTTTGTGTTTTTAGTAGAGATGGGGTTTTACCATGTTGGCAAGGCTGGTCTCAAACTCCTAGCCTCAGGTGATCCGCCTGCCTCGGCCTCTCAAAGTGTTGGGATTACAGGCGTGAGCCACCCCATTTGGCTGAGGACTTCTTTTATAAATGAAGATGTGGCTGTGATTTTGCAGGCACATATATACCTTTAGGTGTTTTCAGTTACTTTCATATGTGCTTATCAGCAATTTGATTCCATATTTGATTTATAACCCTGCAGGTGTACAAAACTAATATTATAACTAGATTCTCTGTTTTATAGTAAGCTTATCAAAAATCAAGGCATAGTGAGAATTAAAACATCAGTTTATTTTTGGAAGAATGATTTTATTTTCATCCTGACTTTTTTTTTTTTTTTTTTTTGAGACAGAGTCTCGCTTTGTCGCCCAGGCTGGAGTGCATTGGCGTGATCTTGGCTCACTGCAAGCTCCACCTCCTCGGTTCACACCATTCTCCTGCCTCAGCCTCCCGAGTAGCTGTGACTACAGGCGTCTACCACCACGCCCGGCTAATTTTTTTATTTTTTAGTACAGACAGGGTTTTACCGTGTTAGTCAGGATGGTCTCGATCTCCTGACCTCGTGGTCCGCTTGCCTCGGCCTCCCAAAGTGCTGGGATTACAGGCGTGAGCCACCGCGCCCGGCCTCATCCTGACATTCTTTATGTGTAAGGTGCTAAGGTGGTAGCATACTGCTAAAACTAGATTAGTAGTACTTAATCTAGAGGGATCTTTTCAATAATTCCATACATTAAACAATTTACTGTCTCCATTACAAGGTGTACCATTGACTTAATACTGGTTTTTTGGGGAGGGAGTGAGTTTGAGAAACACTAGGACGTTAAAAACTGCTATGTTGATTGTAGGATATCTGGATTTCAGAAACGTTAGCACATGCTTGTGCAGGGGTGGGAGAGGGAGAACCTGTGTCTTAGAAATGAAGAACTATGGTACATTTATGTAGGATATGATATCACATTTTATAATTTGTCTGCTTAAACAATGATTTACAGATCTTTTGAGAAAGAGAGCAAGGAGGTTGGGCCTTTTAGTAAGACAGAAAAATGACCTTCCGTTTAAGACTTAGACAAATTAAATTGGACTTTGAAAGTGGTTTACCCTTTTCCTCTCGGGTAAATGTCGGAAGTGAGTGCCCTGGCTGAACATAAGGGAAGGTCCATTGTCAGCACCCTGAAAGCCTGTTTGAAATGTCATCAACTTGGAGCATTCATTGGCAGCGACTATCAACAGCCCATTTTAAAAGGATGCCTTGGGTAGAATGGAAATTACAGTGGCCAGCCGTTAATCCTTTTTAATAAGGGCAACTGTTGAGGAGAATTATGTTGTAAGAATGAATGAAATTTGGGAGCAACTCTAGTCCCCATGTTCTGTCGTGACTGTCAACACCAAATGTACTTTCATTTTTGCAACTGCCTAAGGATTTTCCATTTAACAAACTTACATGACAAATGGGAAAGCAGTGGCATTCCCTGAGAGTCCAAAATCTGGTTTGGCTCTGCCGTTAGCACATTTGCCTGCAGGGATTGATGTATCTGATTGAAGAATGTTGAGTTCAGCCAAGAGTTAAGGTTAAGGTCCTTCTATTTGTTTTGGGTCAGTTCCTACAGGTAGAGAATTTGAAAGCCCTGAAGTGGTTTCATTGCCCCTAGTAGAGATAAATGGCCAAATGTAATAAAAATAGACAGTGCTGTCCTTAATTGTCCTCCCCTTTATATAAAGGACCTGGGAGGTGGATCACCTGAGGTCAGGAGTTTGAGACCAGCGTGGGTGGTGGGCGCCTGTAGTCCCAGCTACTCGGGAGGCTGAGGCAGGGGAATTGCTTGAACCTGGGACATTGAGGTTGCAGTGAGCAGAGATCGTGCCACTGCACTCCAGCCTGGGGGACAGAGTGAGACTCCATTTCAAAAAAAAAAAAAAAGGACCTGGGAGAAGGGAAGGCTAGAGGGCTAGAGCCAGTTTGTATTTTATTAGGGGTCAGGATTTACTATGTTAAGTTTTAGGATGTGAATCTGGAATTTTCTTTTTTTTCATGTTTTAAGAAGAGAATAGAAAGATGATAGAAGATATTTGACACCTGAAATGCTACCTCTCAACACATTAGAAGTTTTTATATAGAGACAATGGATGTGTTTATTAGAAATCTTTATTTACTCATAAAGGAAATCTCCCAAGGAATATTTTGCTGTCATACCATACATATATTTGAATGAGAAATGGCATTTCTTAAAAAAAAAAAATTACCTCATTGACTCATTTCCACCACATATTTGAACTAATGAATTGCTGTATGGAAATATACTAAACAACTTACAGACATCCTATTGTCGTATATGTGATATAAATGTCAACATTTCCTATCAAAATGGCATCTGATGTTGGCCCTCTTAAAGTTCTGTGGCTTAAAATACTAACAGTAGGAGGAAAATAAACAGAGACCAAAATGCAAACTCAACAATGAGTAAAAATACCACAGTACAAGTGGAACCTTCTATAATTCTGTATCCCAGAATTTTTGAGAAGAGAAGATAACATCTTAAGCATTAAGAAATCCCAAGACCCTGTCCAGCTTATTGCTGTTGGAGAGCCCCAAGACCCTTTAATGCTCCAGTTTAGAGGATCATATTGTCAAGTCAGAGAGGCTTAAACACAATAGCATCTTCTGGAACCCTAGTGACCTGTATTGAGAGTGGATCTGGCGCTTTTGTTCTTTTGAGAGGCAGGTGTAAAGGATAACACACGGGATTATCTTATTTTAAAGCATCTAAAAGCCAATCCCATCCCCCTTCCTCATTCTCTTTCCTCTCAGCTTTTAGAGTCTTTGATCAGGTAAATTCTAAAGGCAGACGCTAGTGAAGAGTAGGTAGGTAGGCTTGTGTTTTCACTTCTCCGTGCCAGCTTTCTGTCCTCACCCTCCTCGTCAGTTAGCACTGATGAATGTGTAGAATTAGTGAAGGCTGGGTATTAACATCGGTAATGTAACTTTCAGAACCTCTGCAGTGTCTAAGGGGAGGAAGGTTATTTCCACCCCACCTCGTGGGAATTCAAAGGTAGCTTTCCGATTGTGATCAGGTTAAACAATTCCCTCCAGGCCAGCGTGTGGGAACCTGCACATTCCTACCAAAGCAACGGTAATTGTACACAAGTGTGTTTTCAGATTTCTGTCATAGCAAGCAAAAGGGACCACAGCCGTGTTTGTTAGAGCCCCAAATGCCTGTTTGCCACAGGGCTGGGTTTTTTTTGTTTGTTTTGAGATGGAGTTTCGCTCTTGTTGCCCAGGCTGGAGTGCAATGGTGCAGTCTTGGTTCACTGCAACCTCTACCTCCTGGGTTCAAGTGATTCTCCTGCCACAGCCTCTCAAGTAGCTGGGATTACAGGCATGCATCACCACACCCGGCTAATTTTTGTACTTAGTAGAGATGGGGTTTCAACATGTTGGCCAGGCTGGTCTCGAACTCCTGATCTCAGGCGATCTGCCTGCCTCAGCCTCCCAAAGTGCTGGGATTACAGGCATGAACCACTGTGCCAGGCCAGGCTGTTTTTAAAACTTACGTTTCAGAGGTTAAAAATTTGTCTTAAGATAAAAAGACTTTCTTAATCATCTAATGTATCCCAGGATCTATGTCTTGGTTTTATAAGACAGGCTGGCAGTAAATTTCAGACCTGACCTAACAAGTTAAAATCCTACTCCTGGGCAGAAGTCTTCTGTGTTAGTGACAATGTGGAAATGAAGGAAGGCTTCCATTTGTGGATAAGTGTGATTGGACAAAGGCCAGGATCTGCAGGTAATACAGTGGAGGAAACTTAGCAGGACCTGATTGTTCAGATTCTTCTATGTTCCCCTCCTCTGGGAATAGGGAGGGCACCTCTCAAATGATGGTTTTATGGTGTATTTCAGGGGAAGGTTAGAAAATCCTTTCTAAATTTTATGACCTGCTTTGGGGAAAGAAGGGTGGGAAGGTGAGAGTGACCTGCTGCTACTGCTGTTTTCTCAGATCCCAACAGGCCGTGTTTTAGGGTAGTATGTCCTGAAGCACATCGCTTATAGAAACAAATAAAAAAATTGTTTGCTTTGTGATGCTGTCCTGATCTGTGGATCTTAATTGCTATTACTCTGAGATTTTCTTAAAGCATATAATTCTTTTTAAATGCTTTATGCCAGCCAAAGTTAGAAGAGAATCCTAAACTTATCCTTAAAGTGCAGGATTATCATGGTTTTTGTAGTGCAGCATTATCTGGTTGGAAAACTAGGTCAGAAAGACCCTTACCAGGTTGAGTTCCTCCAAGCAATTTCAAAGTCCATCTGGAGGCCGGGCATGGTGGTGGCTCATGCCTGTAATCTCAGCATTTTGGGAGGCCGACACGGGTGGGTCACCTGAGATCAGGAGTTCGAGACCAACCTGGCCAACATGACGAAACCCTGTCTCTACTAAAATATAAAAATCAGCTGGGCATGGTGGCGGGCGCCTGTAGTCCCAGCTACTTGGGAGGCTAAGGCGGGAAAATCACTTGAACCTGGGAGGCGGAGGTTGCAGTGAGCCATGATTGTGCCACTGCACTCCAGCCTGGGAGACAGAGCGAGACTCTGTCTCAAAAAAAAAAAAAAAAAAAAAAAGTTCATCTGGAGGCAGCACCGTGCAAGTTGTGCCTTTGACCATTTTCCCAATTGGTGATTCTACCAGTGAGAGAGAAATTCACATCTTGTATTTTTGTGTGTGTGGCCTGAGTAAGAGTGCCAAGGCAGCCTGCATTCTTAACTGATCCATTAACTTTCTTCCTCCACAGATCGTTTCCTTAACAATGCTCCCTGATTAGAAGAAATGTCTCCTCTCCTCCCAGTTACTCAGTGAACAGCGCTCTCTCCCAAGGGGCCACATGAAAGGGAAACCCAGGCACCACCTCCGGGCAGGATTAGCAGCCTGGGAGGAGCCACTTTCTGTTCTTTGTGAAAGCTAGAGCTGCTCTGCTCTTGAGAACAGCCATTTACAAAATGGGGCGAAAACGACGGCCACACCCTCCATCACTCTTTTTCTCCTGGTGCTTTCCAGAGCCTTTGGAGACCTGTGCCGGGGGTGGGGCTTGGAGCTCCCGTGCCGATGGTTAAAGGTACCATGGCTGGGCCAGTGCGGACCCCAGTGCTGTTCCCCACTACTCCTCTGCCTCTCTCCACTTCCCAGTTCCTTCCTGGTCAGGAGCCCGGCAGCCCCAAAGACTGGTAATAGCCTGGCCTGTACCAGATGCCCTGTTACTTCCCCAGGGGTCTCCTCCTTCCCACACTTCATGATGCCCAGTTTCTGTTCTGTTTTCTTTCCAGGAACGTGTCCCTACCTGGAATCCCCAGGGGGGCTTCCATGTTCCATTAGAGAACTTCACATTCAACCCTCGTTTTCTGTTTTAACCAATCTTGCCAGTAAGTGGTGAGATCCTTCAGGGTAGGACCCAGGTCTTACTCTTCAGTAAACTCCTAGTTTCAGGTGTTGAAATTTGGCAGTCAGTCAGGCGTTGTTGAAATGACCAGTAATTGTTTCTGTACTGTAGGTAATAAAGCTGCGGAAATTATTCTCTTCCTGAAACCTGAAGACTTCAGAAATGTGAGGAAGCCAGGCCTCAAGTGCCCTCCTCTTTCAGATGTTAGGATAAGAGGTTGAGAAGTTGTTGTAATTGAATGAACTGTATAAGCACAATGTCATGAACTTCTAATTTCCTCTTGCTGAAGATCATGACACTGTTTGCCCATTGTATGTATGTATGTATGTATGTATGTATGTATGTATGTATGTATTTAGAGACGGACTCTGGCCCCATCACCCAGGCTGGAGTGCAATGGCGCAATCTCGGCTCACTGCAACCTCCGCCTCCCGGGTTGAAGTGATTCTCTTGCCTCAGCCTACTGCGTAGCTGGGATTACAGGCACACGCCACCACGCCCGGCTAATTTTTTGTATATTTAGTAGAGATGGAGTTTCACTCTGTTGGCTAGGCTGGTCTCAAACTCCTGACCTCATGATCCGCCTACCTCGGCCTCCCAAAGTGCTGGGATTACAGGTGTGAGCCACTGCACCCAGCCTGTTTGCCCATTATTAAGCAGTAAAAGGACAACCAGTTTTTTTTTTTGTTTTTTGTTTGTTTGTTTGTTGGTTTTTTAGTTAGACTTCACAGACCATGAAATTCACTCTTTTAAGGGGTACATTTCATTGACTTTTAGTATGTTCCAAGAGTTATGCAGCTATCACTACAATTAATTTTAGGACATTTTCATTCCCCCAAAGGAAACTCTGTACCCTTAGCTTCTGTACCCCTCATCCTCCCAATCCCTCAGCCCAGGCAGCCACTAATCTGCTTTCTGTCTCTGGCTTTGCCCGTTCCTGGGCACTTCATATACATGGTGTCATACAACATGTGATCTTTCGTGTCTGGCTTCTTTCACTTAGCATAATGTTTTCAAAGTTCATGTTGTGGAATATATCAGCATTTCATTTTTAATTGCCAAATAATATTCCATTGTATGGATATGCCACGTTTTGTTTATTGATTCATCAGTTGACGGACATTCAAGTTGCTTCTATTTTTTTGGCTACTTTGAATAATGCTGCCGTGAACATTCATGCACAGGTTTTTGTGTGGATGTAAGTTTTCATTTCAGGTATGTACCTAAGAGTGGAAGTGCTGGGTCATGTATTAGCTCTATGGTTAGCCTTTTGAGGAACTGCCAGACGGTTCTCCAAAGTGACTGCTCAGTTTTTCATTCCCACCAACAGTGTATGAGGGTTCCAGTTTCTCCATATACTTGTCAGCACTTGCTATTGTCTGTGTTTCTGTTTATAGTCGGTGTGAAGTAATATTTGATTGTGGGTTGGATTTGCAATTCCCTGAATGACTAATGATGTTGAGCATCTTTTCATGTGCTTATGGCCATTTGTATATCTTCTTTGGAGAAATGTCTACCCCACCCATTTGCCCACTGTTAAGTGGGCTATTTGTTTTTTTATTGTTGAGTTGTAATAGTTCTTTATACATTCTGGATCCTCGACCTTTACTCTTAAAATGATGTGCAAATATTTTCTCCCATTTTGTGAGTTTTCTTTTCACTTTCTTGATAGTGTCTTTTGAAGGACTTCTTTTTAAAATAAAACTAAAGACTGATCACTCATTTTATTTCACCTTTTAGTGAGTATTCATTCCAAATGACGGTCAAGAAGATACTATTTTTTTTTTTTTACTTTTTATTTGGGAATAATTTTAAACTTATAGGAAGGTTGCAAGAATAAGAATAGCACAAAGCTCATATATCCCCTTTACCCAGATCTTTTTTTTTTTTTTTTTTTTTTTTTTTGAGACAGAGTCTCGCTCTGTTGCCCAGGCTGGAGTGCAGTGGTGCAATCTCGGCTCACTGCAAGCTCTGCCTCCCGGGTTCATGCCATTCTCCTGCCTCAGCCTCCTGAGTAGCTGGTACTACAGGTGCCCGCCACCATGCCCGGCTAATTTTTTATATTTTTAGTAGAGACGGGGTTTCACCATGTTAGCCAGGATGGTCTCGATCTCCTGACCTTGTGATCCACCCACCTCGGCCTCCCAGAGTGCTGGGATTACAGGCATGAGCCACCGCGCCCAGTCTCCTTTACCCAGATCTAACTCTTAATTTGTTGCTCCATTTGGTTTCTATTTCCGTTTCTTCCTCCCCTTCCCCTCCGCCATCCCCCCCGCACAAATAGACAATTTTTTTCTGAACCACTTGAAGGTAAGATATATATCATAACCTTTTATGTCTAAGTAATTCACTGAGTATTTCCGAGGAATAAGGGTAATGTCTTTCATAACCACAGTACAGCTACCAATTGCAATAAATTTTTCACTGATGTGATGCCTTTATCTAATCAGCTCTTCAGATTCCAGGTGACAAAATGTCCTTTACGGCATTACTTTTCCCCTCCAGTATAGGATCTTGTCTAGTGTCGGGTGTTGCATCTGAGTGAAAAAATTAATGTCTATAAGGGTATTTCCTAAACATGTGATTAATAATCATACTAAAGTGTATTATGCATTACAGCTTTCAAAGTGTTTTCTTGTTTCTTTATTATTAAATATATTTATTTTTCCTCATAGCAAATACTTAGAATAGTGCTTAGGTTAGCATAGTAACTAATACTTAGATTGGTTCGTGCATCAGAATTTCTAGCAGGTCTCATCTGACCCATCTGCCCTTTAGGATTCCTCACATGGAGAAGAGGCTTCCATGTCCTGAGCACTTCCCTAGAGAAGAGGGGGTGAAGGAGATAGGGATGGACCAGTCTACCTGTTGAGAAAGAGACAGAGAAGTGGGTCTCAGTATCCGAGGTTCCTGGGTTGACCTGCAGACATCACAGGGCCAGGTCCTTTCCTTCCTAGCAGTGCTATTTGTCAAGACCCCTGTCTGTCTCCCCTGACAGAAACATTGCGGTGGTGGGGGTTGTGGGGGTGCATCCAGCATGAATTCTCCTTATCGTTTTGACTCTTCCTGTTCCCGCCTGGCTCTCATTGAACCCACTTAATCTTCTTCCTGATGAGTTGGCCCAGGCAGGCCCAGCTTTCCCTTTAACAATTTGTCATCTTATACATCACCAGATTCCAAACTCTCTCAATTCTAGCAATTCTGCTTTAGGATAAGAAAAAAGCGTGTATTACTTTTGCAAACAGGTGCAAAGTAAATTGGTAATCGTACTGAAGTACATTATGCATTGCAGTTTTTTAAAGCATTTTCTTGTTTATTGTAGTTATCTGGCCTCATAACACACACTTGAGGTAGATGTGGCACATGTGATCTCCATTTTGTCCACAGAGGAACTGTGGTTTAGGAGGTGGCCCCTCACCAAAGCTCACACCTGTCTTCTCTGATTTTGCATCTTATGCTATTTCCACAGGGCTGTGCTTCCTAATCAGTTTGTTAATAAAACTCAGTATTGTGCATTTGGTAGGAATTGGTTTATACACCATTCAAGAATAGTAAACATTTACACCCTAGATTTTTAATGATCTGAGACAGCACCGAAGTATATAAAAAAGTTAGGCTCCTGAGCACTTAATTCTTCAAGGAAGGGGATGGAGGAAAATCTCTATCTGCAGAGATAATAGCAGCTTAAGGGTATCTTAAATGGGATGCTTCTCAGGACTCTTGGAGACTTAGAGCTAGTGGTGTTTAATAACCACAGTTTACATCACTCAGAGTCATGGAATAGTTCTATTGCATAAACAGAGCATTTTATGGAAACTTAGAAACCCTCACTGCTGCAGGACAAATGCTGTACAAAATCGAAGATGCCAATTGTCTAGATTATTTTCCCCTAACAATTTTGTATGAAAAATTTCAAACATACAGAAAAGTGAAGATCATTGTACAGTGAACAGCTTTATTCCCACCTCTTCCACTCCCACCTGTACTCTCACCACCCCCCTACCCCCACATCTAGATTATGCAGTTGTAACATTTTTCTACGTTAGTTTTTTGGGTTTTTTTGAGACGGAGTCTCACTCTGTCACCCAGGCTAGAGTACAGTGGGGTGGTCTCGGCACACTGCAACCTCCGCCTCCAGGGTTCAAGTGATTCTCCTGCTTCAGCCTCCCAAGTAGCTGGAACTACAGGCGCCCGCCACCACACCCTGATAATTTTTGCATTTTTAGTAGAGACAGGGTTTCACCATGTTGACCAGGCTGGTCTCAAACTCCTGACCTCAAGTAATCCTCCTGCTTCGGCCTCCAAAAGTGCTGGGATTACAGGCGTGAGCCACCACGCCTGGCCTCTACATTAGTTTTATCACATAAATCCAGGCTATTTTTGATATACTTTGTTAATAAAATCATTAAGCATCTTTGATGTTTTGGATGGAAGGCACCCTACAGTCTCTTGGTGGCTGAGTTTCCTTTTATTTTTCAGAATCCCTTTGAACCCCGGCAACATGGGACAGAGCTGAGAGCAAGGGCCTTGATTCTCATACTCAAGCCTCCCGACAGCCCGCTGCATGCGCCAGGCTTCACGTTGTACTCGTTTGTCCAGATACCATGAAAACCCTGGTCGGGTGTGGTGGCTCACGCCTGTAATCCCAGCACTTTGGGAGGCCGAGGCGGGCGGATCACGAGGTCAGGAGATCAAGACCATCCTGGCTAACACAGTGAAACCCCGTCTCTAGTAAAAATACAAAAAAATTAGCTGGGCATGGTGGCCGGTGCCTGTAGTCCCAGCTACTCGGGGGGCTGAGGCAGGAGAATGGCATGAACCTGGGAAGTGGAGCTTGCAGTGAGCCAAGATCGCGCCACTGCACTCCAGCCTGGGAGACAGAGTGAGAGTCTATCTCAAAAAAAAAAGAAAAAAGAAGAAAACCTTGATAAATATTAGTATGGGGATACATTGTCCCCTCCCCCCTTTTTCTCTCAGTTAAAAATCTGTCCCAGAATGAGGTTTGGCGGGACATATGGTTTGGCGTGCTTGTGGGGGCTGGCAGGGTGAGGTATGTATGGTAGTGTAGTTATCTGGCATCTTATCTGCTCACTGGAAATGTTGGGCACTGAATAGATTAGTCAGAGTTTCCAGAAATAGAAAATAAAGCCATATAATAAATGCAGAAGTCCCCTAGTTAATGTCAGCTGTTGTGTGATATCTGCCCTAAGTCATTTTATTGCCTTTGTAAGATTCTTAAACTGTTTATCATTATCCCTGCCTTTTTTAAAAATGGAAGCAACATCTTCCTAAAGAGGTTGTTATGAGACATTAGAAGGCCTGCTTTCATGCCTAATAGTTATCAAAACTGAAATTCAGTATAGCAGTGTTGAAGGTGAAAGAAGGTTTGGGTACTTTTAGGTAGCAAGAGAGATAATTATAAGCTTTCAACCCAAGGTCAAGATAAATATAAATCTGGAGGAGGAAAAAAAAAAAAGAAGTCTAGCTTCTCATTAGTAGGACAGCGTTCTCATTTTATAAGACCTTAATACCCAATAGGAAATGGCCGTCAATTCTGTTCATTTCATATTCTCACAGCCTGTCTCTCAGGTGGGAGAACACAGCTAATTCTTAGGGTAAGTGTCCTCTTTTAGAATAAAACCTTACCAAAGGAGAGCTGAAATGGGTTGTCCCCCAAGGCTGGGAGATGTGTTTGGTTCCCTTTGCCTCACTTCGACCTTTCTGAAATCAAGAAACAAACAAAATGAAATCGACTTGTGAAAGGATGTCAAAACGACATGGCAAATTCAGTTGGTTTGTTCAGAATTTTCTTCCTGTATTTCCTTTTTGAAGTTACAACAGTCATTCAGGAGCACGTCCAGAGGAGAAGAGCTGGGAGGGAGGACGGGTGGCTTCTAGAGTCAAGGCTGGGTTTGCCTAACCCTGACCCTCACGGGGGTGATGCGGATGTTCCGAAGAATGCATTAGCCTTTGACTTTAAGGACCGCGAGGAGAGTTTTCTTCCGAATCAAGTGAATGCGGGTGCATCACCCTGTCTTCCTCATTCCCTGTGTCAGGGAATGCATCGGTAGCCTAAATGACTTTCCCTGGAACTGAAGCATGTGTTGGCTCTACTGTGGTGCTTTAATGTTTCCTGAAATCCTCCATTTGGAGGATAGAGTGCCCAGGAGTGAGAGAATACTGTGTTATTAGAATGCTTGTTAAGAGGGAAAAAGAAAATAGAGCATTAACAGACAGGCAATGTTCCATTCCCCCGAGGAAGATTTATGTGACCTAGATGAACGGAACTACAAATCTTGGAGGGACAAGAGACTTCAGAAATGGCAAGTTCTTAGTTTGGGAGGCTAGGTATTGAAGTTTATCCAAATTAATTTGGAAGTTTAGATCAGTTGCAATCAAAATCCTTATTTGATTGACAGTGGGGATGGATAAAATGGAGTTTGGATTTGAAAATCTACATAGGAGGAGGAAGTAATAGTATATCTATTTTATTATACGTGTGTGTGTGTATAACTATAACAATTAGAATATCATAACACTGTTAATAGACCATAAAGTGACAAACTACCCCAAAACAAATCCCATTTTCACATAAAAATTTAATATATGATAAAAAAGCCTTCACAAATCAAAGGGGAATGAAAGGCAAGATTATTCATCAGATAGTTAGGTCTTCATCTTACACCGGAATAAATTCAATTGAACTGAAGAGTTAAATATGTATTACAAAAAAAAAAGCCAGCAGAAAAATCAATAGATCATATCAATCACTCCTCTAGAAATGGACATTATGAAAAGTAGATGTCAGTATGGAAAAATACTTTTACTACCAAGTGATATAAAATGTGGATTGAAGAAAAAAGGTGAAATGACTGGCATGCTTTATTGCCAGTTGGTTTAGGGGGTCAGGTGTAGATATTTTTGTTACTTGTTTTCCAAGATCTGTGATGTGGTTGGAGTAATTCAAGAGAAATGTATTTATAATATGCATGCTTTAAGGTACGTCTATTCCTACTTTTAAAAGTGGCAGATTTGTGTTTTTTAATGCATAAATTAGTTGAATGTTCATCCATCCAAAGAGGGATTTCTTCTGATAGATTGGGGTGATTAGCTGAAAGACTCAGTTCCTGGAGAAGAGAACACTAGTGGAAAATGCCCAACTGTTAGGGGAATGAGGAACAACAGTGCTGTTCACTGCATTCCTAACGCCGGCTTATCAGAGTTTTGTTTTCTGTTTCATACACTTAGGAAAGTATTGTTGCCACAAAGTGCATCTCTGCCTGTTAGAAGGATCCAGACATAGCGTAGACGGATTGTGCAATGGAGTCAGAAATAGGCTGTCCTGCTCCCAGTGAGTGACTTCCCCACCCCTTCATCCTCCTTGTAAATCACCGGCATTCCTGATCACTTTCCGTGGTTCCAGCTAGGTTAACAACAGAAGGGATCATTTCCCTCATAACAGTCTCCCCATTAGTCAAAAGTTTTACTCTCAAGTGACTAAAACGTTACTCATAACTGCTTACAAGGAGAAAAGATTTATTTTCCTTTTACTTCTTTAATGCACATCTGGTGGAGACCCTGATAAGCAGTAAGAAATGGAAAAAGCAGGGACCTAGAAAGTGAAAGTAGACAGATTTGGGTAGTGCATGCAGGCTAATTAATGATCCCAGGTGGGCTGGAGTGTTCTGGTTACATTTTCCATGGGTCCAGCCCTAGAGCAGAGACCATGGGCATCAGCCTGCCCCTTCCCATTATGTGGCTCAAGCACCACCGTGTGCCAAAGGGCGGGAACATTAGATTTCCCCACCGCTGTAACATCTGTAAATTCCACAGTCCATAGAATCAAAATGGAAGAGAACCTCACGTTTCTGATTGCCAGTCAGAAGGAATTTATTTTTGAAACCCAGTTTGCTCTGTTATTTGTAGTGCAAGATAGAAATATCTTAACCGATTTTATCCAGTTCTTATTTAATGTCTGTGATTTTAGGAGGAAGAGACTATTGTGTCATAGGTATTTGAAATTCACAAGCCCCTCTCCAACCTAATTTTACCGAAATGTGTTGGTTTCCCCTTTCCTTAAACTCACGGACCACAGTTACTAAATAGTTTCCAGAGTGGACTGACATGCATTTTTCTTTACAGCTCTGTCATTACTTTCTTTATTATCAGAGAGTACACAGGATATTGAAATAACCTAAAATCCAGAGAGGAGGAGGAGCCAGGGGGGTGAAGAGAAGTCCTGACCTATTTTAGAGCCCTTGGGCTTCATAGGTAACCTTGAAAATGGAAACACATCATTGCCCATTTTATTGAGGTTGTGATTAGCAGTAAAATATAATGCAGACTAATTATTATGTTGCAGCCAATTAGCAATAAAGAGAAGCATTTTAATATACAAATAATTAGATTTTAAAATTTTGGCTTTGGGAATTTACAAAGCCCTCTATTTGAAGGCTTGTACGGAAGACATTCTGAAACCAACTTTTTGTCAGATAAAGTCCATAAAGCTGAAAACTGACATGAGGAGGTATGGCCGGGTTTTCCTGCGTCTCACAGTGCAGTTAGGAGGCTTTGATACTTCATGGGCCCTTCTGCAAACTTTCCTTAGTATTAGGAAATGAAGTCTTCCAAGTCAGTCAAGTTGTAAACATGCAAAAATGCTGGGAGTGGCAGTCTCTCCAAACAAATGACCCGTTCTCACTGCGGTTTTCTCCTGGTGCTAGAACCTGTAACTCCTGAGTTGATTCTCTCCAATTGGCCAGAGAAATGGGCGTTGCTGCTGGAGCAGATGAAAAGGCTATTAAGGCTTCCTGAAGCACTTAGATTAACTAGCTTTTTTTTTTCTCTTGGAGCAAAAAGTTGGAACAAGTTTTTTGTTTTTTTTTTTTTTACTTTTTGGACATATGACAAATGTGTATAAAGTTGTGTGTTGTGCCTGAGGAGCTGGTGAATGGAGTTGCTCTTTTGAGAGTTGCTTTTATATCATTGCTAGCTGTGAGGTACGTGGTGGGCATGAAGAGAACCAGTGTCAGTCCCTCTGCAGAAGCAGAGGCTGTGAGCTCCACTGTGAGCTGCCAAGGCCCATACTGCTGGGGGATCTTTAATGCATGGCGCAAGGCTCCTGTGCCCCAATCCCGGAGGAGCGGTGACAGTCCAGGGAAGAGAGGGGACCACGTGAGTGTTACATGTTCTTGATCACATTTTTCTCTATTGGAAAGGAGGATGTTGAAAGTTAATCATGTGGTTTTTCTAGTCACTTAAGTCCTTAACACACTGGATATACATAGTTCAAATACAAGGAAATTAACCTGGTTTCAAATGTCTTTTCCTCATTTTATGGCACATGGAGTATAGAGCATATTCAAAACCCTCCCATCCCCCACTTTGTAGACAACACATCTACTCAGAAGGTTTTAACTTAACTTTCTGTATTCTGGTGATGTCCACGAGGTTTTGAGGCCTTTTTTTTTTTTTTTTTTTTTTTTTTTTTTTTTTGAGAGAGAGACAGGGTCTTGCTCTGTTGCCCAGGCTGGAGCACGGTGTTGCTGTCATAGCTCACTTGCAGCCTCTACCTCTAGGGTTCAAACAATCCTCCTGCTTCAGCCTCCTGGTTAGGTGGGACCATAGGTGTGCACCACTATGCCTGGCTAATGTTTTTTATGTTTTGAAGAGACAGGGTCTCACCATGTTGCCCAGGCTGGTCTTGAACTCCTGGGCTCAAGCAATCCTCCTGCCTCGGTCTCCCGAGTAGCTTGGACTACAGTGCTCAATACCACACCCCACTAATGTTGCCTTTTTTTCCTTTTTTTTTTTTTTTTGTAGAGATGAGATCATATTATGTTGCCCAGGCCCCTCTCAAACTCCTGGCCTCAAGCGATCTTCCCACCTTGGCCTCCCAAAATGCTGATATTACAGGCATGAGCCACTGTGCCCAGTCACATTTTTTATCTGTTAAAAAAAAACAAAAACCAAGTTTGGATGTTATGATGTTAGTAGTGTGTCTGGTTCTGAAGTTACAGGATAGGAGATAGAGAAAAATTGTGACCTGCCCAAAGTCTCAAAGCTAATTCTAAATAACTAAAGTTGTAGAATCTTTTGTTTGGAGGACCATCTTAAAGGTGTGATCTGTACTCAGCCATTTGTCTGATGTGTAAATCCTCAGTCTGTAGCTTCCCGGCCACGTGGTCACCAAGGCTGTGCTTGAACATCCCTGAGACGCCTTTCAAGGAGCACCGTTCTGTCTTTGGGCAGCTCTAATTGTTAAAAAAAAAAAAAAAAAAAAAAGTCTTCCTTACGTTAGGCTGAAGTCTGTTCCCCATGTAGTTGTTCCCCTTGGGGCCATGTAATACAAGTCTACTTCCTCTTACAAAAGACAGCCCTTCAAATGTTGGACAACAGCAGTATTCCCGGCCCTCCTGGCTCCCCTCCCCTCATCCACTACCAAGGAAGCATGGCTGTGAGTTTGTTCATCATCCTTTGAATGTGCTCCAACTCATGCACAGCCCCTTTAAAAGGAGGTGTGCAGAACCTGATTCTCCCAGTGGAGCTTAATCAGTACCTGTCATCCCCATTTTCCCAGTGACAGATTTTTATTGAGACAGCCAACACTTGGATTGGTGTTGCCTTTGACGAATTTCAGGTTACTGCAAAGTGAATCCAAATACCAACTATTTTCAAATAAAAGAAAGGAGAGGCAAGACTTAGCAGCAGCAGGCTTTTTACAGTCCTTCAGGTTTCAATTGTGGGACCTTACACGTGGTGCTATTGCAGCTCCAATTTTGTTTTTTTCTTTTAACCCATCATTTCAGCTTGTTAAACTTTGGAGATTCATATTCTGTCATTGAGAGTTGTCCTTCCTTCCTTTGCTGCTTCAGAGGACTTAGTGATGCCTTTATTAGAGCTTTTACTACATTGCATTATGGCTCTTTATGTCTTTCCTCCTGAGTTCTGCTAGGATCATAATCATGTCTCATCATATTCCTCTTCTCTCTTCAACACTGACAGCTCATAGTAAGTGCTTAATACATTTTCATTGAATGAATGAGTCAAAAGTATTTGCTCTTCCAAATTCTGCTTATTGATAGTTTATTAATAATTATATATTATTCATGCTGTTTCAATATTTATCGTACTTATTTGAATATATACATTTATATTTATATAAAGTAATAAATGTGGGTATTTTATTAATAAATAAGTTACTTATTAAGTACATTGAAGAGGACAATGGCTAGATGCTGTTTTGCAGCCCACTAGAAACTTTCCCCTGGGCCAGGCGCAGTGGCTCATGCCTATAATCCCAGCACTTAGGGAGGCCAAGGCAGACGGATCACTTGCGGTCAGGAGTTTGAGACCCGCCTGGGCAACATGGTAAAACCCCATCTCTACTAAAAATACAAAAATTAGCCGGGCATGGTGGCATGTACCAGTAATTCCAGCTACTTGGGAGGGTGAGGCAAGAGAATTGCTTGAACCTAGGAGGTGGAAGTTGCAGTGAGCTGAGATCGCACCACCACACTCCAGCCTGGGTGACAGAGCGAGACCCTGTCTCAAAAATTAAAAAAAATAAAAAAAAAAAAGAAACTTTTCCCTGGGATGACTGTTGATCTGTTCTTTGACATTCTTTTTAAGATAAGGTTTATTTTATCAGGAATTTCCCTAATTTTATAGTCAGTTCTGTTACAACGCTACATACAGTTTCCTTAAAATCACCATGCTGTTCACAGTGGTACAAATGAAGCCATAAGACTTATGGGAGAAATGGGATTAGGGACCAAAAATTTATCACTGACAGAAAAAAAAAAAACAGGAACCCAGTAAAAACAGTAACTTAGTTTTACACATGCTAAATGGTTAAGAAATAAATAGGCCGGGCGCGGTGGCTTACGCCTGTAATTCCAGCACTTTGGGAGGCTGAGGCAGGCGGATCATCTGAGGTCAGGAGTTTGAGACCAGCTTGACCAACATGGAGAAACCCCATCTCTACTAAAAATACAAAATTATCCGGGCGTGGTGGCACATGCCTGTAATCCCAGCTACTTAGGAGACTGAGGCAGGAGAATTGCTTGAACCCGGGAGGCGGAGGTTGAGGTGAGCCAAGATCGTGTCATTGCACTCCAGCCTGAGCAACAAGAGTGAAACTCTATCTCAAAAAAAAAAAAGAAAGAAAAAAAAAAGAAATGCTACAATAAATATGGCATCTACCTTGTAAAAAGCCTGAAGTTTGCTCATGGGAGCTGACATGAGGAGGGTTGGAGCCGGTGGTTATAGTGGCGTGGTGGAAGGAGGATTATCTGAACTTGGAAAGAAGGTTGTAACAGCAGATCTGAATGTGCTACACTCGTAGCACACACAGTCAGCTGAGGAAGGCAAGGGATGCTTGAGGCTGTATGGTTAATGTATTCCTGTGGGCTCCAGAATGCGGCTCAGTTTTCTCCATTCACCTTGTACTTTTTGCAGACAAAATTGCACCTAAGCAAACGTTACATTCACATTAGAATAAACTCACATTTCAAAGCAAGTGTCGCAGCAGCTCCTGTTTCTTTGTTGTGTTATTTGCTTGATCAGTAAAGCATCTTTTTTGTTCTTATAGTAATTCCAGGCACTGGTATATAAGGATACATAAATTATACTACCCACTCACTCTCTAAAACTCTTGTTCTTAAAGATTGGCTTATTTTTGCTAGGAGGAATGAAAGTACATGTTAAAGAGACATACTTGGCTGATCTAGCCATTTTCCAAAGTCTCCCCCCGCCAGAGGAATATCTCATAAGTCTGGTTCCTAATTACATTTAGCAGATTTCTCTAAAATCTAAAAGCTGGAGTTTGAATGGTTCTTACTTTTCAGCTAGTATCTAAAAGGTGATTCACTTAGGAGCAGCATAGAGGAGAAACTTGTATTTCACCTATCAAGTTTCTGATTTAAAAGTGAAATTTCAGCCAGGCACGGTGGCACACACCTGTAATCTCAGCACTTTGGGAGGCGAAGGTGAGTGGATCACCTGAGGTCAGGAGTTCAAGACCAGCCTGACCAACATGGAGAAACCCCATCTCTACTAAAAATACAAAATTAGCCTGGCGTGGTGGCGCGTGCCTGTAATCCCAGCTACTCAGGAGGGTGAGGCAGGAGAATAGCTTGAACCCGGGAGGCAGAGGTTGCAGTGAGCCGAGATCGCGCCCTTGCACTCCAGCCTGGGCAACAGGAGCGAAACTCCATCTCAAAAAGTGGAATTTCACCTCATATCATTTACATGTGTGTGATTTGATGATGGCTTTAACTGAAAATAGACTAATGCCAATAGAATCGGAGACTCTTAGAACTGGAAAGGACCACAGATATCAGGAAGCCCAAACTTCTCTCTTTTTCAGATGAAGAAACCAAGGCTCTGCGAAGTGGAGTGTTACATGCACAGTCACTTAGCTAGTGGTAAAGCCAGAACTTGAATCCAGTTAATTTTGAAACTATAATATGTTGCCTTGCAAAATTGTATCATAGAAGGACATAAAATCTGTGCATTTAGGAGGAAATCTAAACTCATATTATTTCAGCTTTTTAGTCTGTTTAGTAAGGGAGTTTCACCAATTCAGTTACTACTGATAATAAGCTTCCCCTTGTTTTATTTTTGTTTCTTTAAGAAATCTGGGCCGGACACTGTGGCACACACCTGTAATCCCAGCACTTTGGGAGGCTGAGGTGGGCGGATCACATGAGGCCAGGAGTTCAAGACCAACATGGCCAACACGATGAAACCCCATCTCTACCAAGAAATACAAAAATTAGCCGGGCGTGGTGACACGCACCTGTAGTCCAAACTACTTGGGAGGCTGAGGCAGGAGAACCACTTGAACTTGGGAGGCAGAGGTTGCAGTGAGCCGAGATTGCGCCACTGTACTCCAGCCTGGCTGACAGAGGGAGACTCTGTCTCAAAAAAAAAAAAAAAAAAAAAAAAACTAGTATGACACAAACTCACCAAAGTGGCTATTCCTCAGACTCTGTGCTTTATAAATTCACGTTTGTTAGGGCAGACAGAAAATTCTGTTTCTTTGTACCCAAAAAGATTTAAGCATTTGTCGTGCATTGATCTGGGGTTTTGAGGGGGAAACATCCTTGGTTATGTCTGTGGGATTTGTGGTGCCTTCTGGAGGATTAAGATGTCATTGCCTCTAGTCAGGGCATGCTCTCTTTTCCAGTTGGTGGGTCTTATTTTGTTTACATCTGCTTCCTCCCAGCACTGACAGATTTGAAATGTGTGCCTGAAGTGCACCTTTGTGCCAGGCCCATAGTTTTGACTGGGGCCCTCATGACCCATTGGCCATGGTCACTTTGCCTGGGAGCAATCATCATTTCTAGGGTATAGGAACTTGAAGCAAAGAATTTGCTGCATTTTCAAAAAGCAGGAAGGGGTGGTTAAAGTGTGGATGGAGGGGTAATCTCCCCCCACCCCCGCCCCAGCCCCTGTTTTGTAAGAGAGGCTATCCAACTCATGTATTTCCAGCCCCGAGTGTTGGCAAAAACATTTTCATATTGTTCTCACTTTTCTGACTGAGTCCAAAAAGTTCCTGGGAAACAGGTTTTGTTTTTCCTCGGGGGATGTTTGGATTTGAAAACACCAAATTTCAACTGCAATCGTTTGTCCAAGTGTGGTGTTGAAAGTACTGTCTAGATCTGAGTAAATCAGAATCTGAAGAAATATAGCCAACGTCACTCATTAACAATGGGTTTTCCAAGGGTGAGTGACATGAGGCCATTTGTCTGCGGTGAGGTAGATGCGCTCCTCTTTTCAGTGGCCCCCTGAGGCCACCAATGTCACGGGCAAGCACATCCTCGGTTTGGGGCCATTAGCTGAATGCCCTCTGTTTCATCTTGCCTTTTCTAGGCCGCCCTCTCCTGTCTTTAAGGTCAGGGTTTCAGAATGTCCTTCAGTTCTGCTTTAGTCAGGACTAAAAGCCTTCCACAGTGCCTTGACGAGGAGGACATATAAGGAAGAGGCACAATTCAAGTAAAGTCAGTCTGTATTGATTTTGTGAACCCGGGGAACAGTAAGCCAGCCTTCAGTGCCGCCTGGCTGCCGGGCGCATGCCGTTGTCAGACCGATGAGCGAGGCTCCATGCAGACAGGTGACATATTCGAGGTGGCAAGAGCAGCAAGAGCTTCTAGATCCTGTCATTTTGCTTCTGACAGTGTCTTTGTGTCTTTGTACAGTTGGAGGACCTGACTGACACGTGAGCCCCCCTTGGCAGCCATCATCTTCAGAATACTGCTTTCCTCCCACGGGAGGAGCTTGTACCTCTCTCATGTGTACAGGGTGCTTATGTGCTCATGAGCAGGCAAAGGAGCAGGGGACGGTTTCTTCCAGATCACCCTTCCAGGTGCTCTGGAGTTGATGTGGCCTGGCCACCTTTTCATCATCGCCCCTCCAGTTCCATTGCAGTGATGCATTGCAGGCTCTCCTCAGGAAAATGGTGATTTCAGTATTATATTAATAATTAGCAATTTTTTTTTTTGCAGTTTTAAAAAATTGACTCTTACCCTCTGCATTTGAGAAAAGTCCTTATTATACGTTTCTGTATTGTATCATCTCCCAGTTTGATGTGTATGTATCCCGATTGTATTTCACTATCATTACGGAGATTTTTATTGTGTCAAGACAAAACCCTGTTTCTGTCTCCCCAGCCCCATGTACTTTGAGCTTAGTCATTCGGGCATCATTTCTTCCAGCATTCACTGCTCCTCAGTGTTTCATTTCCATTTAATTTTTCTATTTAGTTTTTAGCAGTTCTCGTTGGCTAATTTTAAAAAGATTTGTACTTTGATTTGCTTATAATGAGTGTTTTAAGTTACCTGCTGACTGCGCAGTTGTTTGACTTTGTATCAGGTTTCCGGATTTAAAGCCAGTGTTCTGTTGAAAATTTAAATACTATAGAAGGCTGAAAATATGAATCCTCTGACAGCTCCTCATAACAATTCCCAGGGTAGCAGCTGTTTATATTTTCTTATTTTTTTCTTTCTATGCACATAAAAGTGTGTTTGTCCTCATAAAGAGTGTTGACTGCTATAGACGGAGCGTGCAGACCACAGGCGTATACCTGGAGGCTTCTCCCACCTTTGATTATTAACACTGCTCGCCTTTAACATTATTTGCTTTTGATTGCTCTTTTTGTTATACAAAAATAACCAAGCTATTAGAATCTTTTATGATTTAAAATAGAACATTAGTTTTATTGTATATTGAAAATAGTTCCTTAAACTTCATAATGGCTTCCAATTATTTCACACTTGCTTGCGTTATATACTATTATTTTATTGCAGTATGATGTCCAATTATGGAAACAACTCCAGAGAGACATGATTTTTCTGGCTTAACATGTAATTGTTTATTGAGTATTTTTCTCATTATGATTTTTTTCCTTTTGAATTGCAGTTATAAAGGAACTTGCTTAGATTTTGTAAATTATTATGTGGTTAAAGAAATCAACGATTTATCAAGTGCTCACTCTGTGGAAGGCATCGTGTGCAGAATCGAAGTAAAGGCAAAGATTGAAAGAAATCATTCCTCAAAAAAGTTGTGTGTATTAAAATATGAAGAGCAGTAAGGTTTTTTGTTGTTGTTGTTGTTATTTTGAGACAGAGTCTCACTCTGTCACTCAGGCTGGAGTGCGGTGGCACAATCTCAGCTCGCTGCCACTTCCGCCTCCCGGTTCAAGCGATTCTCCTGCCTCAGCCTCCTGAGTAGCTGGGATTACAGGTGGCTGCCACCAGGCTGGGCTGATTTTTGTATTTTCAGTAGAGACGGGGTTTCACCATGTTGGTCAGACTGATCTCGAACTCCGGACCTCAGGTGATCCGCCCACCTCGGCCTCCCAAAGTGCTGGGATTACAGGAGTGAGCCACCACACCTGGCGTAGGATTAAGTTTTATTGTCATTCAAATATGAACATATTTAATCTTGTATAATAAAATATAATTTATTCTATAAGAAACATAATGTGTTGCTTGCTAATACCAAGGACATTAAGTGTAGACTAGAAGTTCATCAGAGCAGATGGCTAGCAGGGGCTGTGAGACTGGATAGGGGTTAACCGTGAGGCTGAAAGATGGGATTCGAAAGTGCACCTGTGTGGGAAAGGGGAGAGCGCAGGATCTTGGCGCACTGGACGGTGGCTGAAGGAGAGGGAGAGGGGGGCAGGCCTTGATGAGGAGTTGGGAGGGATTCTGTCTGTGATGAGAAGCCACTGGAGAGCTTTAAACCAGCTTTTGTGAACACGGGGAGTAGCAGTGTTGTTATAAGTAGTGATTATTGTCAGCATGATCGATTTACATTTTAAGAGCTCACTCAGGGTGCTGGCGGACAGTGGATTCTGTAACCATTATTTTGTTTTAAATAGCGTCACATAAGCAATAATTTACCCATGAACCACCAGTTAATATTGGGGGAATGAAAACAATGGATGCTGTGATTCTGAGCTTAGATGATGGGGACAGGACAGAGTGGGAGTGGAAGGGGGTGGGTGTGATTTTCGTCCTGTTGAGCTGGAGGTAATGGTAGGACAGCCAGGTAGACAAGGCCCTCAGGCAACAAGGCCATTTAGGTTAATTTGTGTAGCTGCTTCTTGAAGAAGAAACAAATGAAGGCCGTATTACCTTCTGCCTTCTTTTTTGAAAGCATCTCTGAAGATAAAGTTCAGGTGATTGCAGGAAAGTAGAAGTCATTCTGACATGCATTTCCGAAGCATCAACTTGGTTGTCTGAGAGCATTTCCCTTCCAGGATTATAATTGTGAGTGGTAAGCAGCACTAGTGTATTGGTGACTTACTCCAGCTGTATCCAAGGACAGGTAAAACTTCCCACTGTCTCTTTCTAGAGGCTACTTTGTAGCATTTCAGATGTGAAAGGTGACTCCAGCAGAGAGCTCATCTATTTATTATTTATTTTTGAGACGGAGTCTCACTCTGTCGCCCAGGCTAGAATGCAATGGCGCAATCTCAGCTCACTGCGGCCTCCACCTCCCAGGTACAAGTGATTTTGCTGCCTCAGCCTCCTCAGTAGCTGGGATTACAGGAGCCCACCACCACACCTGGCTATGTTTTGTTTTGTTTTTGTTTTTGTTTTTGTTTTTGTTTTGTAGTAGAGATGGGGTTTCGCTGTATTGGCCAGCTGGTCTTGAACTCTTGACCTCAGGTGATCCGCCCGCCTCAGCCTCCCCAAGTGCTGGGATTACAGGCGTGAGCCACTGCGCCCAGCCCAGCGAGCTCATTTCTTTATTTTATTTTATTTTATTTTATTTATTTTTGTTTTTGAGACAGAGTCTCGCTCTGTCGCCCAGGCTGGAGTGCAGTGGCGCGATCTCGGCTCACTGCAAGCTCCGCCTTCTGGGTTCACGCCATTGTCCTGCCTCAGCGTCCCCAGTAGCTGGGACTATAGGCACCTGCCACCACGCCCAGCCAATTTTTTTTTTTTTTTTTTTTTAGTAGAGATGGGGTTTCACCATGTTAGCAAGGATGGTCTCAATCTCCTGACCTCGTGATCCGCCCGTCTCAGCCTCCCAAAGTGCTAGGATTACAGGCATGAGCCACCGCGCCTGGCCCAGAGAGCTCATTTCTAACAAGCTATTATCACCATCCTCACTGCTTTCTAAACCTTATAGGTATGTAGCTTCAAAGTTTATATTTGAACGTTTTTCCTTTATTGATGACAAATTAAGGATAATGAAATGAAGTAATGGCAAGCGATGAAATAATGGCAAAAGATTTTATTTTCCTACAAAGTATTTATTACATGGATGTTTTATAGAAAATCAATGTAAAGGTTGATAGACTTGTCCTTTAAAAAAGATACATTTCTTCAAATATAGGGAACAGCAGAATGCTCCCTGTCACCCCCTTTGTAAAAACCTCTTTCAGCTTTGCAGCCATCATGGCTGGGGATAAGTAGATTTATTTCTTCTGTTCCTAAAGATTATTATAGATGAAAATCATTTGGTGTGGAGATTCTTCATTTACAGCTACGTAGGATGTAGCACTTATCAAAATTTCTGCAAATCAAGGAGAATAGTGTTCATGAACCTACCAGTGAGATATTTTAAAAGACCGCGTTCTGGAAAAGTGAAGGAGGATAAAGAAGCAGTGTTCTTCTGAGGGTGCTACCAACATTTGGGACTCTCAGAGGCCCTGTAGCCCAGTCCCCATTCCACTCCATGGGTAACACCTCATGGTTCTTTCATGGGTGTTCAGCATTCTCTTGAATGCTTCCCCTAAAGGCAGTTTGTTCTCCTGTGAGGCAGCCTAGTCCATTTCACTTGAAAATTTTCTTCTGCAATATGCATTGTTTGGTCCTGGTTCTGTCCATGATGCCATTTCCAATCAATCTGCTTCCTCTTCAGTGTGAGAAGCATCAGGTCCTTGAAGGTGCTCACAGTTGTACTTGGGGCAAGGCTCTGGAACTCCCTTTTCTGCATGGTCCAGTGAATCTGCATAGAGCCGGACTGGGAACAGTGCCTCAAACAGGAGCTCCCTGTTGCTGGCTTTCGTGAATATGTTGTTTTTGGGGGTAGCTCCTAATCTGGTGAACATCACCACTGCCTCCCACCACCGCATCCTGTCCAACCTACATGTCGGTAGAGGACCCACCCTAGGAAGGAATGAAGGAAAGAATTTCTAAGGTTGGGTCTTGGGAAGCAGAGACAGAGAAGGATCCGCAGCCTTATGGACAGCCTCCCTCAGCAGTGGGGCTTGCTGAGGCTCTTTAACCCTCCCAGCAGTGCTGTAGAACAGCTCTGTGCAAACTTGAATGTGCATGGGGCAGGGCTGGGCGGCACGGGGAGGGGGGTCCGCGAATGTACCGTCCTAACAAGCTCCTGGATGATGCTAGGGTTGCTGGGCCGTGGACCACACTGGGAATAGTGAGGCTGTAGCATACATCGAAGTCATAGTGTGAGCTGGTAGATTGTTTGGGACCAGAAAGATCAAAACTTACTTAGAAAAAAATGTCAAAGTCCTCTTTTCCCTGCTCCTCCTCCTCTAACTTAAAGAATTAAGGGCTGTGTGATAGCCAGAAAGCTACTTTCATGGATTCATTTTAGCAGCATCTCTGGTGCTCACGCATAAGCTAGTCAGGGAGATTGCAGGGGGTTGGCAGCACCCAGGTCCCCTGGGCCATAGCAGGTTGTGTGAACAGACTTGAGGAGAAGTTTTGTCTTCTGTCCTCAGGAGTACAAACAGGCATGTCTGAATGCTGACAGAGAAGTCATCGCCAAAGGATAGTAGATATTACCCAAGGCAAAGCCTGCTTCTCAGTGAACTGTTGCCTATGGGACAAGAATGATACTGGGAAAACAGTGATTGCTTTTAGGATATTTGATAAAGCTCTAAAGGAATAGAAGAGCTTCCACCTACACTACACTCCAAGTGACAGCTGTGTGAACTTGGTGGAAAACTTGACTGAGGTCGCTGAGACTGCTGGTGGAAATTAATCACCCTCCTGCTCTGCAGTGATATTGGCAAAAGATGAGCTTAGGGCCAGAGTGGTCCACATGCCTGGGTGTCTGTGGTCCCTCCCCTGCAGAACAGAATGAAACAGTCACTGCCATAAGATATCACAGACACTTCTTTCTACTAGGGTAACTTGGAGCCTTTCTTTGGCTACCTGGACCCTGATGAGAGGGTAATCTGGAGGAATAGGAAGTGGGCACAGGGATAGTGCATGGTACAGGTGACTCGGGTGCGGAGAGTATGTGTGTGTAGGGCCAGAGCTAAGAAAAAGCCTAGGATAAACTCGACAGATGGAAAGTCTTTTTTTTTTTTAAACAGGGTCTCACTCTGTTTTCCATGCTGGAGTGCAGTGGCATTGATTACAGCTCACTGCAGCCTCTACCTCCCAGGCTCAGGTGTTCCTCCCACCTCAGCCTCCACCTCCCAGGCTCAGGTGTTCCTCCCACCTCACCCTCCACCTCCCAGGCTCAGGTGTTCCTCCCACCTCAGCCTCCTGAGTAGCTGGGACTACAGGCACACGCCACCATGCCCGGATAACTTTTGTATTTTTTTGTAGAGACAGGGTTTTGCCATGTTGCCTAGGCTGGTCTCAAACTCCTGGGCTCAAGTGATCCGCCCACTTTGGCCTCCCAAAGTGCTGGGATTACAGGCGTGAGCCACCACACCCGTCCAACAGATGGAAATTCCTACTTTGCCTCTTGGCATGCATACCCAGCCTCTTTTCTAAATGGGTCTCAGTGATTGTCCAATGTGTGCCCCAAATCAGATGAAATACAATCATCAGATGCAAAGCAGGAAGGTGGTAGATGACGGACAGTATGTAAGTCGGTCTTTGCTGCTAGTGGCTTTACTTCATCCTTGAGAAAATCATCTTTGGTAAAGTCATAAGTGTTGAAACTCGAAACTAGGGTTTACCCTAGACCCACCCATTGGCCAACCTTAATGGGCACACTGACTTTTTAAGAGTGTGAAAGTTATTAGCTAAATGACTTGTTCCATGGCCCCATTATATCACAGACATGTTGATGTCTCTGTTATCAAAAGACGTGCAAAACACCCCAAAATCGTTGATGACATTAACAGGTAAAATGACAGGGGCGCGTTGCAACACAGAATGTGTGCTTCAGATGGTGACCAGGGCTGGATTAGCCTCATGGTTATGGCCCATTTGGGGTGTGGACATCAGCTTCTCGGATGAAGGTGTTAGGGTTAGCAGAGGGCAGCGGTAGGAAGGAAGGTGTCAGATCTATAATGCACCCCATCTGTGAGCCTCGCGGCTTTGCCTTCCACACAATATTTAGTAATGTAAATACTGGAAGCAGGGCTGCCTGTATCTTTATTTTATTCAACTTAATGTGAAAAGCAGGATGGTTAGATACTGGGAAGACTATCTTTTTAATTTTTTTACACCAAACATCTAAAATTATTCCTATTCAGTGCCTTGGTCTCACCCTTGGGAAAATTTCCAAAATAAGCTAACATTTTCCCCATTGTCTTCCCGCCTAAGGAATGTGTGCTGTGGCTTTTAGGTCAATGATAGCCTTGTCCTTCAATTTCATCTTTACTCAGAGTAGGCGTGCTGTGTGGTGCAAATCCATACATGTTTGTTTGAAAATCCTTTTAGAACCTTGCCTTGTTAGGACCTCCTACACCTGTGTCACAGACACAGAAGTACCGTGTTTAAGTATTGAGCATACACTAGTTTTTTGTGACAGAATCTCACTCTGTTGCCAAGGCTGGAGTGCAGTGGGACGATCTCGGCTCACTGCAACCTCCGCCTCCTGGGGTCAAGTGATTCTCCTGCCTCAGCCTCCTGAGTAGCTGGGATTGCAGGCGCGTGACACCACACCACCTAATTTTTGTTTTTTTTTTTTAGTAGAGACAGAGTTTCACCATGTTGGCCAGGGTGGTCTTGAACTCTGGACCTCAAGTGATCCACTGGCCTTGGCCTCCCAAAGTTCTGGGATTACAGGTATAAGCTGCCACGCCTGGCCTGCATACACTGGTTTTAAGGGTGGCTGTGCTTGGGCTGTGTATGTGCGTAGTACACAGTGTCATGTGAGCACTTAGTTAACAGCCAGGCAGGGGTGGACAGGCCAGGACAGCTAAGAATCGCGGAAGGAGTCTGGGGGTAGCAGGAAGGCTGCACTGGGAATGGAAAGCAAGCAGGAGATGATCTTATCCAGAGGAAGCAGCTAATAAATATTGAGGCTGGCAGGAGGATACAAGCAAACAAACAAAAAGTGGGGCCGTGTCTTTAAAAGCTTTCTCCGAAACCAATATTTGGAGTTTTCCTGTGTTCTTGGAAGTGACTGGAGATTGCATCCTTCATACCTTATTTCTCCTGTCAGGTCTCTACATATCACATCACAGGATTCAGCTGATATTGGCCTAAGACCCTTGGGGTCGGTGCAGTGGGAACGTGTTATAGATATAAATGCCTTACCGTTGATAACTCAGAATAAGATATAGGATATCATCATTAAGTCTGATTATCTAAGCTTATCTGTGAGCCTTACAGAAAACAAAAACGAAAGATCAGGACCACAGGTTCTTTGACTACCATTTCCCTATTTTTTTCATTTGTCCTGAACAGGGCCTAACACAAAGATAGGCACATGAGGCAGGGTAGTACAAATGAGTTTTTCCCCCGTATGAAGTGACAATCACATGGATTATATGTGACCTTGACATTGTTGAGTTTCTAAAGACTTTTTAAGGATGCCATACCCACCCCCAATAGATCACAACCTATTTCTCTCATTCTAATGTTGGTCATTTGATTACATAGTCCTTTGTGGCTCTGTTTGCTTGAGACTGCAAAATAAACAAAATGTTTGCAAGTCCAGGTTGACCCTAAAAGCTCTTCATTCTGTAGGCCAAAGCCATGATTCAGAGAACCTGTGGTCTCCACAGTCAAGATTGTGGTTGATACACCCCCCTTGAAGGCAGATGTTTTGGTTTTAAGGCATCAGGAATGTGGGCATGTGCATCAGGATTGATGTGTTTTGGTGTGGGGTTTAGGAGCAATAAACTTGAAACAAGTTTAAGTACACTCAACTGCGGTGTGTTGCTTTTCCTTTAATCCCTAGCAGATTAACCCCTATCAGGGTTAATCTGCTCAACTAGATGATAGCCAAACTAGCTTCTCTGATAACAGCAGCCTCTAATCCACTGGACTCCACACAGCTCTCCCAGTGGGCTGCTGGTGTTTTGGCAGATGCAATGGCTATTTTTTCCTATTTAGGATTTTGCTTTTAATAGGAACCCTGAAGGCCCTCAGAGGTTTGTGATACAGACTTCAGCCCACAGCTCAGCCTCCCAGATGGTAATTAATGTTTACACAACATGACAAGCACAAAATAGAATCTCTTCGAGCCCTGCCAAGCACCCATCATTCCCCCTGATCTTCCACTCTTGCAGTGTTTGAAAATTAATTTGCCTTGAACAAACAGTGGGTTTTCCTCAATTTATTTGTACAGTTTCAGTGACCAAGAAGAAGAGCTGCAAGACTGAATGTCATCCTTCCATTCGTTCAAGTAATTGAATCTTCTAATGGAACAAACTGGTCTCTGCTTAATGATTTGAAGAAAAGAGGGAGAGGAGGAAAATAAAGTGAAGTGTATGTTAGAGAAAGTGGACATTTTTCTGCAAAACATCACTGAATGTAGAATTTTGGAGATACAATCAAAACTTAGCAGGGGGAATTTAAAGTATTGCTAAATTAACTCAGTAGGGCGGTTGGGGTTTTAATACGTATATACAATGTGCAGTCTTTGCTTAAAAAGAGATTTTGTTTGAGGCAACAGAATAGACAGGTGAAGGTAATTAAATAATGAACATTGGCCGGGCGTGGTGGCTCACGCCTGTAATCCCCGCACTTTGGGAGGCCGAGGCGGGTGGATCACGAGGTCAGGAGATCGAGACCATCCTGGCTAACACGGTGAAACCCCGTCTCTATTAAAAATACAAAAAAAAAAATCAGCCAGGCGTGGTGGCGGGTGCCTGTAGTCCCAGCTACTGGGGAGGCTGAGGCAAGAGAATGGCGTGAACCCAGGAAGCGGAGCTTACAGTGAGCCGAGATCGCGCCGCTGCACTCCAGCCTGGGCGACAGAGCGAGACTCTGTCTCAAAATAGAATAAAATAAAATAAAATAAAATAAAATAATAATGAACATTGATTGGGCAGGGTGGCTCACACCTATAATCCCAGCACTTTGAGAGGCCTAGGCGGGAGGATTGCTTGAGCCTACACGTTAAAGACCAGCCTGTGCAACATGGTGAGACCTCATTTCTACAAAATATAAACAATTAACCAGCATGGTGGCACATGCCTCAGCCTCCCAGCTACTTGGAGACTAAGGTGGGAGGATCATTTGAGTCCGGGGAGTCAAGGCTGCAGTCTGCTGTGATTGCACCACTGCATCCCAGCCTGGGCAACAGAGTGAGACTGTGTCCAAAAAAATAAAATAAAATAGACATTGCTACCAGCTTGAGGTAATTGCATGTTGATTCACAGAAATTTGATATTTCCATATGTCTCTGGGATTGCCAGTGTTTAAACATTTCAGTCCCTTATTAATGTTCGCACTTTAAAGTCTGGGTTAATTTTCTTATTTGACTGTGATCTGTAGTCTTTCTGTGTGGTGTGCTCTTTGTGGCTTTGTCATTTGGACAGTAACGAGAGAAGCTAACTGGAAGATGGAATAATAAAAATAGGACATGTCTCTTTCTAAGTCATAAGGATTAGATATTCAAAAAGATACGGATGAATGGATGATGCATGGATGGATGGATGTTCTAGGAGCTAGTGCCCCCCACATAGTTTTCTTGATGCCTTTGGAAGCTTCTTCAGGTTTGCTGCGGTAATGACCTTGTAGTTAGTAAGTCCTGTTAGGAGACTTCGTAACAGAATATGAAGATGTGAAGACCAGAAGTGCAGAAGCTGTACTTTGGGAGAGTTGGTTTTTTGTGTATTTTTGTTTTTGTTTTGTATTCCTCCTCCTCCTTCATCAATATTCACCCTTTCCTTTCTGTCCAAATAATACCCAGTTAGAACCAGTTAGAAATTCTGAAGAACAGGTGGAAGGTTTAATATGCACCATGTTCTGATGTGTGCCTGTAGTCCCATCTCCTCAGGAGACTGAGTGGGGAGGATCACTTCACCATGTGAGTTTGAGGCTGCAATGGGCTATGATCACTCCAGCGTGGGCGACAGAGCAAGACCCTTTTAACTTTTTTTTTTTTTAAACACATGCACCATATTTTTAAAAATTAAAACTATGCACCATACACAGAGTCAAATATTTATCTGTCCTCTTGGTGAAGAGATTTTTAAAAAATCTATTCAATAGTCCAGGCATGGTGGCTCACGCCTGTAATCCCAGCACTTTGGGAGGCCGAGGCGGGGGTGGATCACTTGAGGTCAGGAGTTCGAGACCAGCCTGGCCAACATGGTGAAACCCCATCTCTACTAAAAACACAAAAATTAGCTGGGCATGATGGCAGGCCCCTGTAATCCCAGCTACTCGGAAGGTTGTCAGAAGAATCAGTTGAACCTGGGAGGTGAGGCAGAGGCTGCAGTGAGCCAAGATTATGCCACTGCACTCCACCCTGGGCGACAGAGTGAGACTCCATCTCAAAAAAAAAATTCAGTAGGTAAGGCAATTTAAAAAGACTTGAACGATCACTTTCTCAGTTGGCTTATTTTAATGGTAGAGGTGTATTGTCCGCGAAAAGAGTTAATTTTAAAATATAGCATCTCTTTTTTTACTTTAACAATAATAATACTCTTATTTACTTTAATAAAAATTTAATAAGTATACTTTACTAATTACAGTAAATAATACTATTATTTAATAACTATATATAATTATTTGCTGTGTTTAATAACAAAGTGAACATTGACTTTAATTTTTATATTGTGCTTAACTTTCCAAATTTTCTATAATATTCATTTGTTTTGCACTTTTCCTCCTCCTCCTCCTCAATTTTGAAAGTTAAAAGCACAATATGAGAATTAAAGTCAATGTTTATTTCTGGATGATGGGACTGCAATTAATGTTTATCTTTCCAGTCTCTTTTCTGTGCATACTTGTATACATTTACACACGTAGTTTTCACTATTGAGATCACACTGATAATAGTGCACTTTATTTAATGGCAATTTTGTCATGAGATATTTTCTGTGACATTAAATACTTCTTCACAATAGTTTTGGGAATATTGATTGATTACTTACTTATTATGTGTTGTGCATTGTGGAAAGCACTTTACATGGCCTAATTTATTTCCACAACCACCCTAGGAGGTTGTTACTGCATTTGTGCAGTAAGTCATTGGACTTTTAGAAGTGTAGGAGTTCATCAGAGTATACCGAATCTCAACCCTACCAGACCCAGCATAATAATAAGAAATATTTTATAGCGCATTCATTTTTTACTTTCTGGAATGAAATAGATACTTAATGTACCCATCTACATACATAATTTAAAAGTATATATAAAGCCCTAATAAAATATAAAGGAGAAATAAGTGGAAACCAAGTCATTTATAATAACATACCTTTAAGTATGTAAGTGCTTGTTTATATTAGAAGACAATGTTTGACTTTATATCTAGAATGGTATCTAAATACTTCTACTACAAATGCAGACTCACACAAATACATGGTCATGGAGATTCAGATACCTGGAGCAGCCTTACCATTGTGTCATGATTTTCCCAAATAGCCATCAACCCTTGCATATGACCCAGATATAACAAAGTACAGTCCCTGCATTCCTGGAAAAATCAGCGTATATTAAAACCCATGCAAAGAATTACTTTGTGTTTATATACAAAAACAGAGGTGGTGGGTTCTAGGGTTTTCAGCTGCACAAATGTCGGGTGGAATTTAGGAAGTGCATTGAGATGTTGTCGTGTGGGGTTGCTGCGCACGTTGCAGCAAATCAGACATCCCTAAGAGCCACCAGTGACCTGCAGTCATAGTGATAGCCACACACTCCCACAAATTTCCATCTCTTCCCATAGGGAGTAGTATCCTCCAATGGGAACTATCTATTACGTGACTGACTTAGTTCGCGCTTTTTTGCACTGAAAAACACTTTGAAAAAAGCAATTTTGTGGGGGAAGCCATTTCTGAAGGTTTACAAGCCCTGTAATTTTCTTGTTAGGTTCATTCCCAGGTGTTATGGTTTTTGTTATTATGAAGTGGATCCTTTCTAAACTTCATTTTCTGACTGTTGCTGGTGTATAGAAAAGCTGAGGTTGGTTGTGGTTTTTCTTTATTTGGATATCTCATTGCACTCTCTTATTAGTTCTAATATTTTCTCAGCTGGTTGCCTCTGTTTTCCAGCTAGGTAATTATATTTTTTGTAAACAGTTTTTCCTCTTTCTTTTGTTGTATAATATTTGCTGTTGGTTTTCAATTTAGTTGACAGGAATAATTTGTTTCTTAAAGGTTTGGCCAACATTGTCTGTGAAACAGATACCTTTTGGGAGGGGAGGTGAAGGTTTGGATTATTGAGTACTTTTTCCTTTTATTTTGATGATCCTGTTGGGTTTTTAAGTCAATTTTAGCAATTTATATTTTTTCATAAAATCCATTTTATTTTCAAATTTATTACACATTCACAGATTACATTTTCTTATTTTTTTATGCATATATACACACACACACACCCCAGTTCCCTGTCTATCCAGTTCTCACTCCTCCCAAGCCCCTAAACAGGTAGTCACTGCTGTTACTGTTTTCTTGAGTATTCTTCCATGGCTTCTTTTTTTTTTTTTTTTTTTTTTTTTGGAAACAGGGTCTTGCTCTGTCACTCAGGCTTGAGCGTAAGTAGTGCAGTCTCAGCTCACTGCACCCTCCGCCCAAGTAGCTGGGATCACAGGCAGACACCACCACACCTGGCTAATTTTTGTATTTTTAGCAGAGATGGAGTTTCACCATGTTGGCCAGGCTGGTGTTGAACTTCTGACCTGAAGTGATCCACCTGCCTCGGCCTCCCAAAGTGCTAGGATTACAGGCGTGAGCCGCTGCGCCCAGCCACACGGCTTCTTTGTACGTAAAATAAGATGAATATATATATTATTTCCCTCCATTTTCCACAAAAGATAGTAAATGCTCTACGTTGTACATTCGGCATTCTTTTTTACAGCTGCAAGGTGTTCCATTGTGTGGATCTGCAAACATACGTAACCAGTCTCCTAATGGTTACATTTAGGTGGCTTCCAAACTTGGTATTCAAACCATGGTACTATTTCATTGTGTCTGTAGACTAAATCCTTAACACACCACACCAAGGGAACTCCATTTGTTATTTTGCTAAACCTCCACAGAGGTTGTAGAGTTTGCATTCTACTAGTAAAGTACAAAAAAAGGGCCCATTTTCCCCAGGCAACTTGTATCAAACCTATATCAAAATGAAACCAATTTTTCCTAATCTCTTAAAGTTTGTTTATTGAGGTACAATTTACATGCAATAAACTCACCCTTTTTACCGTAAAGTACGCAATGTAATTTGAATTTGCATGTATTTTAGTATAAGCATGATGAACTATTTTTATAATCACAAGAAGAGAGAGTTTTAAACCCCAAAATGTAATGAATACAACATTTAAATAAGACTACTCAATTTGTACATTCTTATGTCTTTCAAATTCAGCAACTTTCATTCTTTCCTTTATCCTTTGGCAAATTCAGAGTATGCAGTGCAATACCAAGCGATTTCTTAAAATGTGTTGCTGCCAATTTTGGAGAAGTACAGTAAGACAAATTGACTGTCAAGATGGAAAAGCTTAACTGGGAAGATACATTTATTGAATAATTGAAAGGAAGAGGAAATGCATTACCGATTAGCCACAAAAATGCCTGACGCCTGTGCCTCAAGAGACTCTTGTAAATGGGGAGTCATAAAACTGTTTCAGCCCCCGAAGTTCTTACCAGCTCAAACTCATCACTGCTTTGTTTATAGGTTGCAGTACCAGAGCAACGATGGACTGATTGCTTTCAGGGCTGGCTGAAGTGCAGTGTTACAGCCACTCTTTGTAGCTTTACTAACCCTCTACACTTTAAGTCTGATGTACTTAAATATTTTAACTGAATCCTGGATTTATCATTACCTGCTTTGCTTTGAGACTTCTGCTTTTTAGGAGGCAGCATAGTATAGATTGGAGAAAAGGCAGTTGGTGTTGGCAGAGTTGGGACTGGAACTCAAGCCTTCTGGTTTACAAAACAAGGACGTGACTTCCAGCAAGCAAGTTCCTTCACTTCTCTGGGCATATTCCCTATCTGGTCAGAGAGTGTTAGATTAGATCCTGCTACTCAAAATGTGATCCTCACATCAGCAGCCTCAGCCTTACCTAGAAGATCCTCAGAAAGGCAGAATCTAGAGCCGCATCCCAGAGCTGTGGAATCTGGATGGGGATTCTAATCAGATGTTCAGGTGATTTGAACATGCATTAAAGTTAAAGGAGTGCCGTACAGATTTGCAGGGTTCCCTGGAGAGGTTGGGGTCTTCCCTTCATCTCTGGTAGCTTGTTGGAGGTGGTGCTGACGGCCACAGCCTTGGCACCACTCCTCATGTTCTAGCTGTGGTTAGGTTGAGATTGAGACAGTGAGGCAACAGAGGAGACAAGAAAGTCAACTCCAGTGGCCTTTCCGGGGCCTTGGGAAGCGAGCCCACGCCTGCAGGATGCCATCTGCAAGCTTGGCTGTGTTATCCAAATTCTTGAGGCTCGTTCAAGAACAAGGAGGTAAACAGAGTCAAGCTAGATATCTGTAGTACTTCCTTATGTGTCTCTGATGTGCCTCCTTACCAGCATAAGTAAGTGTGAATGATATACTCCAAGTGGTGTCCTTTGGAAAAGGAAGCTGATTTTGGGAGGGAATTTGAATGTATACTTACCAAGATAGAAAGTATTTATTGATGTCTTCACCAGCCCAGTCTGGAGAAAACAGAGTAATACAAAAAGATTTTTTTTTTTTTTTGAGACGGAGTCTCACACTGTCGCCTAGGCTGGAGTGCAGTGGTGTGATCTCAGCTCACTGCAACCTCTGCCTCCCAGGTTCACGCCATTCTCCTGCCTCAGCCTCCCGAGTAGCTGGGACTACAGGCACCCGCCACCACGCCCGGCTAATTTTTTGTGTTTTTAGTAGAGGCAGGGTTTCACCGTGTTAGCCAGGATGGTCTCGATCTCCTGACCTCGTGATCCGCCCGCCTTGGCCTCCCAAAGTGCTGGGATTACAGGCGTGAGCCACCGCACCCGGCCTACAAAAAGATTTTTAAAAAGTGTTTCTGCCATTGTACCAAGCATAAAAATCCTGAATTAGCTGTCAGTGTGAGAAGAGTCCTGCTCATGTACCTAGAACTTCTCACTGGGTGAAACCCCTCCTCTGTTTTGTGCTGTTAGGATTTCTGGGCTGTTCTTACTTTCTGTCCCAGACCTGACTCAAAGGCCTGGATCATGCATATGAAGCACGTGATTTTTCAATGCCTTTGATAATAGCTTGCTGTGGGAAAATCCTGTGAAAGAAAAATATGGGAAATTTTGTGAAGACACATGGAGAGACACAGAGCTGGATCCCTAACTGTGACATCTCTGAATAAAGGGCCTTCCTTCCTCATTGGATCCAGGAGCTTTGCTAGCTGGATGGGGACCTATCCGCAGCAAGGGCTTGGGGTGCCCCTTTAGCCCTGAAGTTAGGAACAAAGGTTTTGAGAAGCCTTTCAATTTCAGCTTTATCCTAAGCAAAAATCTTCCCAGAAAGGTTGATAAGACAGCACTGGACAGAAATGTCGGAAGTCCAGAGTTACTTTTCATCAGCGCTTTGCCAAGTGCTCGGTCTTTTCATACCTCTGAAGCATGTGAAGAAGGCAGCTTTCTTCCCATCTCGCTGGTGTTATTGTTCCAGGCTGTTTGGAGAGACCTGAAGATAGCCAAGTTCTGTTAGCCAAAAATTTGCTTTGTTTATAAACCCAAGTTTTGTTTTTGCTTTTGTGCATGTTATCGGTTTGATCTGTGTTACCAAAAGAACATTGAAAATAATGAATTGCTTTGATGAGAATTCCAAGGAATAATGGCAAACAAGTGTGTATATACAACAGTACGTAAACAGAAATATGTAAGCCGGGCACAGTGCAGGCACCTCTAATCCTGGCTACCCAGGAGGCTGAGGCAGGAGGATCACTTGAGCCCAGGAGTTGGAGCTGTAGTGTGCTGTGATTACACCTGTGAATATCCAGTACAGTCCAGCCTAAACAACCTGGGGAGACCCCACCTCTAAAACAAAAAACAGAAAACCCCAGAAATACATAGAACCAACAAGAATACCACATACTTTTCCCGTTTGATACAATGAGGTAAGAGGAGAAAGTTAACGCCCAGGGCAGTTCATTTAAGAATGCCTGAAAAACACCTTCATTTCAAAGGATGTTGTCATCTATTCTTTTTCTCTTTTGAAATTGTGTAGTAATAAAAGGATGCATCTTTTCAGCACAAAAATATGGGAAGGATAATTTTCCCCCAGTTGTATACAAAAGTACTTACTCCCAAATGGGGCCATTCTTTTCTATTGAGTGCCCTACTGGTCTTTCGTTATTCTGTTTTGAGATTTTTATGGAGTTTGGCTTATGGGGTAATCAAGCCATTCTACTAAATGTGGCCCTTTTGACCTTTGGAGGGAGATCTTTTGACCTTTGGAGGGAGTACATCTTTTACATCCATACAGGAGCAGCTATTTTCTATATTTCTTTCACGATTGTAGAATTTCACTTAAATTTAATATCCAAGGTTAGTCTCAATGTCCAGCACCCCTTTAACTTGGTTGAGTGGGGAACCCCATGTGGTCCCAGGGGACTTTCTTAAAAGCTCTAGCAAGTGTAGTTGATGGGAAACTTTATTTCAGTTCCCGTTTGCACCTTTGATCTCAGAAGTTGCTGGGATCAGGTGACGGGCATTAAGAGACCTGCCTTTTCACTTGGAAGTTGAGCACTTGCTGAACAAAAAATTATCTGTAAATGTCAAGTGTGTCCCTTTGGTCAAAATGGAAAGTGGGGAGGAAGGGAAGGCCAAGAAAAAACATCCGTGTGATGTTAAATAATGTTTGACTCATTTCAATAGAAAACACTTCTCTTTTGTATGTTCAACAAATGTATTTGTTTTAAAAGGGAAAAATCAACTTGTCAACTATTGTTTCTTAATTGTGATGCCATAAAAGACTTTCTGGAGATTAAGGAAAACATTCATTTTCAGAATGTAGTCTAGGCTGCTGTTTTTTCTCATACAGAGACAGAGTCTCGCTACGTTGCCCAGGGTGCTCTTGAACTCCTGGGCTCAAGCGATCCTTCTACCTCAGCCTCCCGAGTAGCTTGGACTGTAGTACACACCACCACACCTGGCTAATTTTTTTTTTTGTAGAGTCAGGGTCTTGCTATGTTGCCCAGGCTGGTCTCGAACTCCTGGGCTCAAGCAATCCTTCCAACTCGGCCTCTCAAAGTGTTGAGATTACAGGTGTGAGCCCCTATGCCTGGCGCTAGGCTACTTTCTTGAATGCAGTCTCCTCTGGCCAGTTGGCCTTTCTCTCCCTTCCCACACCCCCAGGGTCATTGCTCCCCATGGTCAAAGGCTGTTCCTGCATCTTTCTCTGTCCACCATTGACCCCATTTGCTGTGGGCGCATACCCCCGCAGGTGGTGGAGACAAGGACCCAAGCCAGGAGGGTTGGTGCCAGGTCCTGTTGCTGGAGTTGTGTGATAGCCTTGGAGTTTCCTTTCCCTCCTTATGCCACACTCGCATGTCATTGCCTGTGGTTTTGTCTTTGCTCTCTCCCATGCAGATCCGGAGTTAGGTGTTGGCACGCTACCAGAACATGACAGCCAGGATGCAGGGCCGATTGTCCCCAAGATATCGGGTCTAGAGAGAAGCCAGGAGAAGAGCCAGGACTGTTGCAAAGAGCCAATCTTTGAGCCTGTGGTGCTTAAAGACCCCTGCCCTCAGGTCGCACAGCCAATACCCCAGCCGCAGACGGAGCCCCAACTCCGAGCTCCTTCTCCGGACCCTGACTTGGTGCAGCGCACAGAGGCCCCACCTCAACCCCCACCTCTGAGTACACAGCCACCACAGGGCCCTCCTGAGGCCCAGCTCCAGCCTGCCCCGCAGCCTCAGGTGCAGAGGCCACCCAGGCCACAGTCCCCCACCCAGCTGCTCCATCAGAACCTCCCACCTGTGCAGGCCCACCCCTCTGCTCAGAGCCTCTCCCAGCCATTGTCAGCCTACAACAGCAGTAGCTTAAGCCTCAACAGTTTAAGGTGAGTGGCCTGCTCTTCTTTGGCCTGACTTTTGCCCTCTCCCTGGGGATCAGGTGGGTGGGAGTCGGGGAGGGATCCCTAGGGAGACTGAGGTTTCCTTGTTGGAAACATCATCCTTTTCTCTGAGACTAGAGACAGGGAATGGGGCTGTTGGGTGAGACTCGGGTCTCTTGGGAAAGGACAGGTTGGGATGGGTGGGTGGTGAGGACATTGTAAAGAAGTAAAATATTTATGGGCACTCGAGAGTGGAGGCGGAAGGAGAGGAAGGCTTGGAAAGCCCTGGGCCAGGGAGACCCAGCAGCAGTGGGAGGCAGGGAGTCGAAGCCTGGGGCATATCAGAGGCCATGCAGTGTGAGCAGATCCTTTCAAGAGAGGCTCTCTGCCTCTGATGGAAGAAGTGTTAAAGAAAACTCGTCTCCCTGCAGCTCCAAAGGCAGGAAGATTGGGACCTGATGAGTATTCCAGCTTAAGGATTTTTTTTTTCATTCTGATTTACTTCCTCCTATGTGGGTCAGAGAAGTAGGGAAGAAACAAAACAAGCTGCATTTAGAGAAAGTGAGAAATTTCTTTATGGAAATCCAGGCTCTCTCCTCTGTCTTGTTTTTGCCAAGTTACAAAGAAGCGTCTAAAAAGCAGCACAGAGGAACACAGCAAAGAAAAGAGAGGCAGAAACCCAGTGTGCAGCGCCAAGTAGAGCCGAGCCCTGGTGCCCCGGGGGCTATAATTCTAACCCGGCACAGCTCCTGAGGCTGTGTGTCTTTGTTACTGTTTTTCTTTTGAAAACCTGGTGGCTTTGGTGGTTCCGGGCCTTGCTTTTTCCTAAGAGGGGAAAGCACAGTCTTTGGGGGGCAGGTTTCCTCCTTCCCCAAGGAGCCGGGCCCGGCTTCTGCCCCCTCGGCCGTTTCTGTGGCCTCCAGACCATAAAGTGATGTGAGAACCCAGGCACCTGGGTTTCACCTCTTCTTTGTGTGTCTTCATTTAAGAGGTAACAAGACAGATGGGGGGAACTCAGATCATCGCTTTTTTTATTCCTTTTTGTTAACCGTTGCTTTATAGGAGATGTAGCTAGTGGAGGATGGAAGGCTGGGGATTTTCTAGGGGCATTGATGAGAATCTGGCCACAGGAGCGAGAGAGGCCCTGAGGTTTAGGCAGAATGAGCTGTCTCGACACCAAGATGCCCCACAGCCCTGAAGCAGCAGTTTCGGTTTGCTCTGTCTGCAGTAGCGATGGGAAAGTTTGCAGGAGTTGTGATTTCAGAAAGTGTGCTCGTACAGGGAGGATCTGTAAAGAGGAAGGGGCAAGAGAGACTGTGGTGAGGGTTTAGGGGAAGGAGGTAGGATTCTTTTAAAGAGAATACATTGCTTACCTTTTTTTATTTTTTTCTTTTCTTTTTTTTCTTGTTCCGATAGCAGCAGCAGAAGCAGCACTCCAGCGAAGACTCAGCCCGCCCCACCTCACATCTCCCACCACCCCTCTGCCTCCCCGTTCCCCCTCTCCCTGCCCAACCACAGCCCCCTGCACAGCTTCACACCCACCCTCCAGCCCCCCGCACACTCACATCACCCCAATATGTTTGCCCCTCCCACTGCTCTGCCTCCTCCACCACCACTGACATCAGGAAGTCTGCAGGTGGCCGGACACCCGGCCGGGAGCACTTACTCAGGTAGGACGGAGGGGCCTGTGCTCGTGACCCCGACCCCCACCGCCCCTCGCTGTGACCTCACCCTACCTATGTTGTCCCGATTGCAAGGTTGCATTTGCCTACAATTTTTTCCTTCCTTACTGTGATCTTCCTCAAACGCTCTCTGGCCTGAGGTCCAGCAAAAATACCTGTCAGCACCCATACTAAGCTAGCTCAGCCCCTGTGAATCAGACACTGCCCGAAGAGAGTGGGTTTGTTTGGAGTTAGGAGGCATTTCCAGCTAAATTCAGCCACTGAGTGGTCAGACCCAGGTAGTGTGTCCCGTGTCGTCTGGGCTCCCCTGAGGGCGATGGAAGCGTCCCCAAGCCCATGTCTGTCTCGCTCCAGGATCTTAGATTGTGTCCTGGTTTAAGGGGTTTCTTTTCATTGGGCAGGGCAGGGCCTTCTCCTGTCTCCTTGGGAGGAGATGACACACTCTTTGTGACAATATATCCCAGAATTTTAAGGGCAGATCTCATGTTAGACACAGGGTCCTTGTCTCCTCACCTGTGTTAATCAGGTCAAGCGTCCCAGTTTTGGTCCAGTGTAGCCATGTTATGCCGCCAATACAGAGAGCCATATAGCAGTAATTGACACTTGAAGAGGACATGCGAGCCCTGCCGTGTGAACAGCTGACATTTATTAGTGTGCTATCACTGTTCCCAAGCACTTAAACGTGCAAATTGCTTTAACCCTCAAAAATCAAACCCATGAGTTAGGCAATATTATTGTCCCCCTCTTGGAGATGGGAAAACTGGCCCTCAGATGGGTTATTTGCCATGCCCAGGGTCACTCAGCCAGTGGTGACAGCTGGAAATCGGACTTTGGCATTTGGCCTGGAGTTTGTTCCCCAGATTGATAGACTGCCTGTCCCTGAAAGCTGGGAGACCAGCTAGAGAACAGGGAGACAGGGTGCGACCGGGCCTTGGTCTCGTCTGCTTCATTGATTGCCCCCGTTTATCTCAGGGCCCAGCCACACCCTGTCACCCCTGCCACTGTGTCACCAGCCCCGTACCCCTCCACAGGAAGGCAGTCCGATGTCCTTTTCTGAAGGAAAAGGCGTCATCGTCTCCCTCTTCTTCTCTTCCAGAGCAAGACATCTTGCGACAGGAACTGAACACTCGTTTTTTGGCCTCTCAGAGTGCTGACCGCGGGGCTTCCCTGGGCCCTCCGCCCTACCTGCGGACCGAGTTCCATCAGCACCAGCACCAGCACCAGCACACCCACCAGCACACGCACCAGCACACCTTCACGCCGTTCCCCCACGCCATCCCACCCACCGCCATCATGCCGACGCCAGCACCTCCCATGGTGCGTACCCCAGGCAGAAATGTGAGGATAAGTAGAGCACGACTCTTTTCTTTATGCAGCACGTGGGACCGGGCTGGGCAGCGGGGCCACCAGAGATCGAATGGGGACTGACGGCTGTTGGCTGGAGAGAAGGGAATGTGTCCTAGTGCCCTGCCTCAGGCAGCTCTGACTTCAGGGGCCTAAAGTAGGAACTTCTTTCTAGGCAGTTGTATCCAGCACTGCGGGCGGAAATGATTCCATCTGCCCTCAAAACAGTCATGTCCAGTGTTGATGGCTAACTTCTTAAAGGGTTGTTTAGTTTTCTTGAACTTCCCGGGGGACTGTCACCAGGCAGAAAATGCACCTGCTTGTGCTTTGCATCAAGTGCTAGCACATACATTCTTGCAGGGTAATGGGGGTGAAGAAGAGAGAAGAGAAGGGAGAGAGACCTCTGCCAGGAGGCTGGGACTGCATTGGGTGCCACCTGTGCATTCCGATGGCTTCCCTAAACCCACTTTGTTGGAGGTGTTATATTTCTTGTGTTTCATAAGACAGTCCCTAATCTGGTATTGTGCTCTGTCAGCCAGTGTTCAGGGATCCCCGCAGGGACAGAACGCTCTGCCTTGGGGCAAGAGGAACCACTGGCCATGACATGGTCTTGCTTTAACTGGGGGCTAGCACATGTCCAGAACCAGTGAGGAATTTTTTTTTAAGTTAATAACGATAATTCATAGTGCCATATTAGAATGCTAAATATTCTCAGATAGAGTCCTGTCTAACAGTGAGTATTAGAGTCATTTTTTACTTATTTAATTTTTAATATTTCAGGAAATACTGGATTTTAAGGCCATTACTATAGGCATTGTGAGAATAAATTGCATGATTTTAAAAGGAGTCCACTTCACCCAACTTTGCTTCCTCTCCTTCCTCTCCCTCCCCCCATCTTGTTTAACTTACTTTTTAAAAATGTGTTTTTAAAGTTTGTTTTATAAATTTCATTTCAAGGAATATTAGCAATGAGGCCTTGTGACCAGAAATATGTTCTTAATAGCAAATCCTGTATCTCTTTTTTGGATGAATTATACTTAACAATTAGATTTTGAAGATCCTAAGATTTTGAGAAAGTTTTCTGCTGGCCTGTGTGAGCTGTTTCACAAATAAATTTAACCAAAGGTAGTTATAGCATCAATATGATGACATTATTTAGAGGGAACAATAGTATACTCTTTTTCTGTTCCAATGAAAGGCTGTCTGGCCTACCCCAGATCACTTTGTATTTGGGTATAATACATTTCAGAAGACAGCTGCATGGCAAGACAGTTTTTCTGCCAAAGTGAAGATGAAAATAGGGGGAATTCACTGGGTAAATCAGACCAAATGCTCACCTCTCTCTGATTTATCTGGATAATTGGCTGTTCTCTCCTGTTTAGAGGTTTGGTTCGTGCCAATCTGTAGAAAGAAAATAGTAGGAAGAAAGGCATCCTAGTACGTGCAGAACTAAAACGTACCACTTGGTTTTTAATTTTGTTCTTCCATTTCTGTTGGCTTCTTGTCAGGGAGACTCAGGAGCTCAGAATGGTTTCATATGTAATGAGGTTATGGGGTCTCATGACAGCTTAATGACAGGGAAGCTTTGTAGGGCCACCTCCACTGTAGCAGTGAACAAAAATGCAGATTAAGTAACTAGCTTTTGCTTTGATCCCTTTACAGTTTGACAAATACCCTACAAAAGTTGACCCATTCTACCGGCACAGTGTGAGTTTCATTACCATGCTACACATTGAATGTAACTGCTTTGCCATTTTTGTGCTCTTGCCACAGATCAGTCAATGACTAGCAGCCTTCCTTAATCATCTTTGCAAGAGTTCCCATTGCTCCTCGCCACTTTGGATGCTTGCTTTTGTGGTGTTTTGCTTTTGGTAAAGATGCAGTATCATCTTCTGAATCAAAAGATCATAAGCATTCCAAAGGCTTGAAAGCAGAGTTGCTCTTTAGTGGCAGTCAGGCATCTGTCCTGCAAAGTGAGATGTCTGCAATGGAGTCAGTAGAGTTCCAGGAGAGTCTGAAATCACAGCATTTCAGTCGTCAGTTGAAATGCCACTAACACAGAAGTTCTGGAATGCAACCTGAATTATTTCCTCTTAAATAGAAAGTCCCTTGTCTTTTTGACTCATGACTCTTCAACAAGTAGATTTTCATTTGCTCTAGACTAAATGTAGAACCTTCTTCCACATGGCTGGTATTGTTCTGTTGAGTTTGTTACAATAGAAAGTAAAAATATCACTTAATTAAAAGAAACTCCCAAAATTGAAATGAGTGATATTTTCTCTTTAAACTCATTCTCCTTTATTTAAAAAAAATAAAAAAAACTTGTTTTATGCCATTTTAAGAGTATGTTCTGGAACTTCAATTGATAACACCCTAAGTTATAGGTTCAGTTAACTTGTAAGACAAGAGCTTATTTTTATTCAAAGACCTTGAATATTTCCATGATATTTTGATGATGGGGTGAATACTGCATCATTTTTATCTGAAAATTTGCAAGTTTCTTTGCCAGTGATTTCTTTTTTTTTTTTTTTTAATGAAACCAGAAAAAAGAGAAGGTTAATCATGCTTGTAGCCGTGTTGATTCACCATACTCAACTGTTCTTGCTTAGGTTTGTAGATAGTGTTATCATTTGAGAAGTGCTACTTTAATAGATCAGCAAAGACTGAATTCATTCATATTCTGAACCAGATAATTAGATACCATGTTAGTCAAGAGGTTAGCTGAGAAGTCAAGGCTAGAAAATATTAGAAATCAATTGAAAATTATGTACTCTAGGGGCATTTAGAAATAACGTAAGATGAAAGACCTCTTCAAAAAGAAGTTAGAAAAGTGTATTTGAGTGATGCCTCCTCCCCCTCCCTCCCAACATGGTCCCCGCTGTTCTGCTCAGTACCAGAATACAAAAACATATTTCACGGGGACACCCAAAGCCCAGTAGACCTATGGGTTTCCTCTTTGGGTCTGGCCCATGGATGCCACCATTCTGCCCTTAGTCTATACTCTGCTGATTTAAAGTAAGGACCAGCTAACAAAATAATTCAGGCTGGGTGCAGTGGCTCATGCCTGTAATCCCAGCACTTTGGGAGGCCGAGGCAGGCGGATCACAAGGTCAGGAGACGGAGACCATCCTGGCTAACACGGTGAAACCCCGTCTCTACTAAAAATACAAAACATTAGCCGGGCGTGGTGGCGGGCACCTGTAGTCCCAGCTACTCGGGAGGCTGAGGCAGGAGAATGGCGTGAACCCGGGAGGCGGAGCTTGCAGTGATCTGAGACGGCTCCACTGCACTCCTGCCTGGGCGACTGAGCAAGACTCCATTTCAAAAAATAATAATAATTAATATAGAAAGTTGAGCACCCAAAAAGTGGCTCAGATTTACTTTCTAGGACCCACTGCGGTGCCTTCTGATACGCATATTCTACAGTCCTAGGCCAAAGATGGAGAATAAGCCTGGAGGCCTGAATTTTTGGAAGGTGTATGTATTATTACTTAGGCGCTTCAGGTTTTTAGTCAGGGGGAGGAATAGTCAGCTATATTTATATTCTAAGAGGTCAATGATGGAATAAAGCAAAAAGAAAGTGGTAAGAACATCCAGTTTTTAAATTGTAAACATTAAAGGGAAAAGCCCACCTGGAGGCAGAATACTAGAAATTTGAGTGTGTTTCACTGGGGCATGTATTTAATTACTCAGCTTTATTCAGTGTACTGTGGGAGAGTTATTTCATATTAGGAGTTATAGTGGATAATATATGAAGTACTCAGTCTCCCCTGCTTTGGGGATTAGGACATTATAAGGGGAATTAAGATGCAATGCACTCAAGTATCTAAAACACAATTTTAGACTTAAAAGTAGTTTTAAATGAGGGCACTTGGCTTGCAATCACTGTTTAAGTGGATTTAGTTCAATATCAATTAGTCTGAAAAACTTTGCTGCATCATTGAAGGGAGCAAAATGAAATAAAGACCAACAGAAAAAGGACGTGCTCTGAACACGGGATTGCGAAATGTGAATTTCAGTCATTACCAAAAATAACTAACACAAATACTTTATTAAGACGAGCTTCAATTATTGTTGTAATTTTGACATAATAAACCACCACGAAGGTGGGGCATTATTTAAAATATTTGTATGGTGGCTTGATAAATGGAAACAAACCAATAGGACCTCAAAAAGATTAAATTTTTAGAAGGAGGGAAAGTTGTGTTTGCATTGTCTTCAGATTCTCTGTATTTTTTTCCTCAATTGTGTCCTTTTATAGGCTGTTGATTCAGGAAAATTCATAGTCTTCATTCAGAATCATTCTTTTACCATCATAGAGTGGACTCCTACGTGAAGGGCTTGGCTTGAGTATCCTCCAAAGAGCTTGTTCATTTAATAGCAGATACCATTCAGAAGTGGCCATAAAAACTCAGACTTCATATGTTAATACGGAAGTGCTTTGAGTACCTGAGACTTAAACAAGAGCAACTGAAAGCTCGATAGTGATATTCCAGACTCGGGTTATTTCTGTGCAACTAGAATCCATCTTCTAGACAAATTGGCAGCTCCATTTAAAGTATACATCGAGTCGTTTTATTTTACCCTTTCACAAATATTTGTCATTATTTTAGATGAGAGAATTAAATTGTCCTCTGGAACTGCCACTTCTGCAACAACCTAATGAAGCAAGGATTGTGAATATACTCTCATTTCCTCAAACTATTAAAAGTCTGAAAGTACTAATTGAGTTTTAATGGTATAAAATCCTGGCACTCATGAAGACTTCTTTTTCTTCCCCCTTTTTTTTTCTTTTTTCTGTCTTTTTCCCCCTCTAATTAACTTGTAATTTTCTGGGCATCTTATTTGGCTCAGGATCCCTCCTGTTTTTGAAATGCATTAAAATCTCCAATCATTTAGGACTTCTATCTGATTTAACAATTAATAATTAGAAAAGCTCCCTTTCTAATGATGCCCTCACCCGGGATGTCATTTGCTGGCTGATTGATCCTGAACTACTTTTAACTTTTTAAGTTACACATTCGTGGCACGTCTGTGTGATCATTCCATCATGGCTTCTTGACTAATGGCATCAAACTGAGATTACGTGGCTTGCTCATGTCGATGTCTTTCTATGGGACGGGAATTTGAATATGTCACTTGCCTCCTACTAAAATCTTTTTTCCCCCTCTCCGTCTTTGGCCACAGCTCTTCCATTCCTATCCTCCTGCAGTGTCGGGCATCCCCCCTATGATCCCACCCACTGGCCCTTTTGGTTCACTACAAGGAGCATTTCAGCCGAAGGTAAGAAACCTCACAGTGAAAACACACAGGCATGTGTCTAAGTGGCGTCCCGGGCCAGGCGTGCAGGAAGTTCTGCGTCCTCTTGCCTGTGCAGTGACTCATTAATCAGGTCCTAAGTGACCACTGGGATTAGAGTGAGCCTATTTTTCTTTTTTTTCCAAGTCCATCTAGTTTTAAATGGCCGTGAAAATTTACTTTTCAAACTGTACTACCCAGATAATCTCAGTTAAGCTAAGATTTCTTGTGCTCTTCAAAATATACACAATATTTATTTTTTTACTACCAATATCGTGGACATAACTTCTGGTCAGGAATTCTATGAAATATCAGACACATGTGCGCCAGGTTGTTCCGCAGGTGTATGTAATTAGTAAAGACACAAAGCTGGGTCCTTACTGATTTTAGTAGAAGTGGGGATAAAGGTTCCACAACTAAAATTGTATCCTATGAATTCTCATTCTCCCTCATTTCCCTCGCCAACCCCATCGGCTGCAAACAGGGCCTGCCGGCAGGTGGGGTGGTCGCCTCCCATTTTGGTCCTCCTTTCTTTCTCCCTCTCTCTCAGCCATCCCACCCCTGCCATGGTTACACTGGCCAAGGCCAAGACTTTGTCATCAGTTACTAACATCCTAGTGTGAAATTAACCTTTCATCCTTTATAAAAATCAAATTCTGTTCTACCTAGTCAGTGATAATGCCGTCCAGCGTTGGCTACAGCTGTCTCTAAAGGTCAATATTGAAGAGTCATTCTCGAAACACTCTCTTTTTAAATATACTTACAATTTCTATTTTACCTTCACACAAAAATAAAAAGAGCCGTACTTTCATGTGGGTAACCATTCTCAGACTTGAAGATATTCTGCTGTGTGCCATTGGGTTTTCGTTTTTCTTTTCCCCACCATCTCATGGCTAAGGTAAAACACAGTTTTGGTCCAGAGTCTTCCAGGATAAGCACATAACTGCATTTCCAAAGACGTGTTTCATTAAAAGAATTAAAAGGCATTAGAGGTGGGGTCCCCTCCCCCTTCAAAATCACCTGCATTGAATTGCATTGAATTCAGTTCATCTATTGAATTTGCCTGCATTGAATTGCAGCCTATATGCAAGGTTACAGATATACAGGGCTTTTATGACTGCCTCGTTAAACACCTCCTGTCTGGAGATAAAATGATGGTGATTTTAAACTCCTTCCCCCAGTCTGCACCTCACTACTCCCTCAGACCCTGGTCTGTCCCCTCTAGGTTACACCAAATCTCTGGGGCCTCCCCAAACAGACTGGTAGGTCATTTAATAAATTAGACTATTTCCCTCGCTCACAATTATCCAATCACACAGAAAACTACATCTGGGCAAGAAAGTGTCTCTCCTGGTGTTGAAATAGGCCTTTCCAGGCCATCGTCCTGATTGAATATGTAGATTGCAGTTCATTAGTGGAGTTCTTCATATGTATGCAAATCAGGTTGTTAACAACTCCAGCTTAATTGTTAGTTGTACTGCAGCTGATTGCTTTTCTTTCTTTCATTCTTTTCCCCCCCTTCTCCTTGTAGGCAAGCTTCGGGCCTAAACTTGAGCTCCTTTTCCCCACGAGTTTAACTTCCTGGTGTGGGGGGTGTTCATAGAAGTTGTGATTTCTTCCATAAAATAGCTGGTGTCGTGTCCTGAATCCTTTCCCACTAGAAATAGTGATTGTGCCCAAAGTAGGCTTTTTATTGTTGCTAATTCAAAGGACAGAAGCTCACAGATAAGGTTAATATTAGCAATATTTGAGAATGGTGGTGGGAATAGGTAAGAGCAAGCAGAATTGCTTTAGAAATCATCAAAGAGCAGATCCGCAAGGTCCCTAAATTAGGTTCTCTTGTCCCATTTCCACCACTGCTAATGAGTAATTACTGAGTATAATTCCTTATTATTGTCTACCAGTTAAAACGGAGAGCTTAATGTCTGTAAAGTACTTCCAGTTATTCTGATGAGAAACACCTGATACTGCCAATTATAATAATGTTCACTTAAGCGTTTCTTGGAATGTTTGGTGATTAAGCAAAAAAACAGTGGCAGTCCCTGCCATGGGTTCATTCAGAGGAAGAGGAGTTCCAGGACAGCATTTACGTTTGTTGCTTCTCTTTTTTGGTCCTGTGCTTTTTATTGCAGTGAAATGTTCTGGGGACCTCTCTCTGCTTTTACATGCCATTGCTGGAGAGAGCAAGCTGTGGTCAGGCCCCCTTGAGAAAGAGCATGTGTGGTCCCTGAGAAAAATGAATCTTGCGTTTCAGAAGGAAACAAACAAATGAAGTTTGGCTTCTCTCATTTAGCAGAAGGGAAGGATCTTGCTTTCATGTCACCTGTTTTGTGCTTCCTAAGTAAGCTGTGGTCTAATTAATTTGTAGACATCCAACCCTATCGATGTCGCTGCTCGGCCTGGGACAGTCCCACACACTTTACTCCAAAAGGACCCGAGGGTACGTGCAAAGTCAGGCTTGGTCTCAGGTAACACCAGGGTGTGTGTGTTTGCACGGGACGGCCAGCCCAGTGCTCGCATCTTCCTTAGCTCCTTTGAGCGAGCTGCTGTTTCAGCTGTTCTTCTAGTTTGTGGAAGAAAATGCCAATTACTCTTAGAAAACACAGTCTCTCCTGCTCACTGCGAGCATAGGACACAAAGAGACCGACTTGCCGATGGGAGAAAAGAGGAATGAGTTACGGTCTGAGCCCAGAAATTGGACAGTGTCAGCTTGTATAGTTTTTACTTAACCAATCTTCTCTGTCTGTATCTCCTTAAATTGTCTTACACAAATGAAGTAGCTACAGAATGTTTTGAATGGAAAAGCACTAAGGCGCTTTTCTTCCTGGAAGTCAGGCTACACACATCCCCCCGCTTGCCTGGGGTCAGGAAGTTATTGTACTGCACGGCTCTTTGGCCCTCTATTTTTAATGTGCTAGGGATCCTTTTGTACTCTAGAGCTAAATAAAATATCCATTATGCTTTGGTTATGTTGTTTATTCATAATTTATTACCACTGCCTGCTTCCAAAAAAGGAATCTGAAGTTATACGATAGATACAATCTTGCCTCATTGTTATTTGTAGTCATCTTTATACGAAATATGAAAAAATCTTTAACAATATTGTCTTTTTACCTACATAAGGGCAGTCAGAAATTGATAACCAGAGTTAGATAGAAGTTTAAAATGACTCAACTATGTAAGTATGTCATGATGTATAGTGAACTTCTGGAAAATGTCTAATAGCTATAAATAATGTAAAGTCATCAATGTAAGGGTATTGGTAAAGAGAGCCTAATTCTCCTGGATGGATGGAAAGGACACCTCTCCCCAGATACCAGTTAGTAGACAGCTTTAAAAGCCAGGGGTCTGAAGGCCATTCTCCCTCAGACCTACCCGGTGTGGTTTGGAGCTCAAAACAGTGAAACTCCTGGTGTGTGATGTGAGCAAATCATGTTGCCAGAGGGCACATTGCTATTGATTAAACTTGTACAGGGGCTTGTCAGCGTAGATGTACCAAGGCTTGTGAAGTGGGGGAGGGGACACTTGGCACTTTTGATAGTGTGAAAATGGGTTAATTATTCTCTAAAAGGGCTTCATTTAAAAGTAAAATTCTAACATTTTAATTTCCCCTCCTAATGAAGCACTACAAATTTGTTAATTAGAGCAATTGTTTGAGTGACAGGCATGTAACCAAGTTGTCATTTTCTCTTCACAGTTGACAGATCCTTTCAGACCTATGTTAAGGGTAAGAAAGCTTCTTATAGAACTGTTTTGCAACCTCTATTTGACTCCCTGTGGGTTAAAAATACAAGTCTATTACAAGGAAATAAGCCATAGAAATGTTGGAATAAGACATTGGAATGACGGTGATTGGGTTTTTCAGATAGTGTGATTGAAAATGGCCTAAACTGTTTTGCTTTGACCGTTGGAGGCCATTGGCTTTTTTTTTTTATCTCTACAACAGAGAAAAGTCAACGAGTCCGATCTCTTGTTAGCAGTTCTGGTAAAAGGTTTGACTAGTTGGAACTTAAGGGGAAAGACTGAAGCTATAGGCTGAAGTTAGTCTCTCTTGCACTTAGAAAATATGTAGCTGGGTCCATTTATTTTGGCTGGTGGCTCCCTCTTTCTGTAGTAAGTGACATTGACTTGCCATAGCCGTTTGACCTCCTTTTAAGGTGCAGGAAGGAGGTACTATAAGCATCTGGTTTGTTAACATCTTGCTTAAAGCAAATTGTTCTCGAGGTCTGGAGACTGGCCAGTGTGATGACCTCTAAATGAATCCTGGTGGTTGGGGGTAAGACAGACATGATGAATTGTTGGACAGAAGATGGATGGACAGCAGATTTCTTGCTATGCATAACTCATTTCTAGGGCACATAATCAGATAATTTGATTTCTCCAGGGGAAAAAGGAGAATTGTGTCATCACTTAGGTGAGGCAGTATATTATTTGTGATTTCAAACTACCCATAATTTCATTGCAAGAGAAGAGAACTGACCCAGACTTGCATTTAAGTATATATTTTCGGAACTAACTCCATACTGTAGAAACCAGAAGCTTCTGTTCTTCGCCGATGTAGAATGAGGCTGTGTTTTCTTCTCATCTGTCCAGTAGTCACTGAGCGCGCACGCCGAGCTTATGGGTAGATTACTTAGCAGAAATGAAGTGAAAAGGTGGTCCCTGCCCGCTGACTGGTAGAAGAGAATACACTCACAGCACTCCACTCCTTATAAAGCAAGACATGAAATAATTGGGGAGATGTGGATTCAAATTCAACCCCAGAGGGTGGAGGATGGACTTGAGATCTGCAGAGGCCTAGATAGAGAACAGGAAGGAAGGAATATTCTTCTCTTTGTTTCTTTCTTTAAACTTAGGAACAGCGCCCACCAACACGAATGGGTAGTTGACTCTTAGCATTTACGGTAACTGGGCTTCAATCAAAATGTGAATTTCTTTGTACCACTTTGGGGGTTAAAATAAAAACCACCACGGTCTTGGGGGAGGTTAGGACAGGTTCTGTACCCTCTCTTATTTTGATTTGACTCACAGACATTCACTAATGAGCTCTTCTGAACAGCTGATTTGCATTATAGCATGGCAACATTTGTTAAGTAGGGCTTCCCACTCTACCAGGTCTGCCAGCTGGCAGCAGAAAAGAAAGAGAAGAGGCACAGAGTGGGATTCAGGCTTTTGCCGTCTTGTCCTTGGTAACCGGGGAGGCCCTTGTCAATGTGGTTTTCTGAGTAGCAAACCCACGTGGGGAGAGAGGGGGAGCTGGCTGTGACTCCCTTATGACTGGGCGCTGGAGAGCTACTGATGGAAGGCACTTGGAGAGTACAAAGCACTCTTGTTTCACGAAAAAAGCCTCTGCAGCCAAAATCTGCTGAAAGCTTTGGGGAAATTGAAGGTGGTTTTCTCTGAAATGTCTTCCTCCTAACCACGTTGCTCTTTCTTGTTCCAGAAACCAGGGAAGTGGTGTGCTATGCATGTTCACATCGCCTGGCAGATTTACCACCACCAACAGAAAGTCAAGGTCAGTCCGACCTTCGTGGTGTAGGGAAGAATGGGATGCACATGTGAGTGTGTGACGTGCTCGGGAGAACCTGATGAAGGAGGCATTTAAAACACATTTTACAGACCCATAGTTAGGAAGGATCAAGCCTCTCTTGGAAAAGCTACTCAGAAGTCTTACTTATTTTTTCCTAGAGTCAGGGTCTCACTCTGTTGCCCAGGCTGGAGTACAAGGGGACAATCATAGCTCACCACAGCCTTGAATTCCTGGGCTCATGTGATCCTCCCACCTCAGTCTCCCAAGCAGCTGGGACTTTAGGCATATACCACCATACTTGGCTAATTTCTTGATTGTTGTTTTTGTAGAGATAGATAGGGGTCTCACTGTGTTGCCCAGGCTGGTCTCAGACTCCTGGCCCCAAGCAGTTCTCCCACCTGAGCCTCCCAAGTAGCTGGGATTACAGTGCAAGTCACAGCAGCCAGCTCAGAAATCTTACTGTTAATTAGGGAAACCACTAGTGAAATTACAAAACAAAAGCAAACTGATAATGCCCCAGGGTTTTGTTCCCTTTATAATTTTGTCATTTTATTGATCCAAAGGTCTTGAATATGGATTAAATGCTAAAATAAAGCTTTTGGAAATAAAATTATAGTGACCAAGAATTAGAATACAGAAAATACTCTGCATCTGGGAAGAGCTACAAATGAATGTTGGGTTTGGGTTTTTGTAAAAATAGTGACTGGTGCATTCTTTTCATTTTATGGCTGTGGGAAAATGGTAGAGTCATGTGTGCCCTATATGAAGATGATGCCGCTGAACTGTCATTGGTCCTCCTGATGGTCAGTGCCAGGGATTGGAATACAGTCAGTACTTGCAGGAGCCACGTTCTGGCTAGTTACCTCGCTGTCCAAAGACGATTTTTCCTTTTTGTCTATATTTTCATCATAGGGATGAACATATTCCATGTTCTGCTAGAGCCTTTATGACTCAGTAGGGGAGAGATCAAGAACTTCTGCAAGTCCCTGGATACAGCATCAGCGCTTGGCTTAGGGAACAAAGTAACTGACAAGTCTGTATTTTACAGTCTGGGTATTTATAGGCTATGTTACGATGCCTGCAAAAATGGGAGCAAACAAGCAATCAAGTAACTCCAATAAGCTTCACTTAATCCATTTCTTCATGAACAAGCTTTTAGTCCTAACAGCATTTGGGAGTTCTCATGAAAGAAATACAGGAGACCAATGAGCCAGGAGATAGATAGAGCTCTTCATCACAGAAGAGACATGTTTTTAAAAGGGTTACGTGATTTTTAAAATAAAACAACCCAAGTTCCAGTCACTCTAGAGGCTGAGGCAGGAGAACCCCTTGAGCCTGGGAGTTTGAGTCCAGCCTGGGCAACATAGCAAGATCTCATCTCTAAAAAAAAAAAAAGAGTAAAAAATAAAAACCCGGTTAAAAGTTTTAAGATGCAAACCTCAGTAAATGAGGTCACTAAGATATTTTGCTTTGGTTGTCAGATACCTGCTCTTTCTTATAACATGCCATCAGTGAGTTTGGCTCATTTGTACTTTATTGTTAGGGGAAGTTTAATTGGAAGCCTTGTGGTCTATCTTAGAAAATGTGTGTGCTTTGAAGAGCTAACTAGATTTTGATGATTAGTTCAATTCAGTTTTTGTTCTGGTTGATGTGGTTAGTGGAACGGTAGGTAAAGCACATCTTCCTTGTAACTTCTTTGGTTAAAAGAGATGAGGGATGTTGCACGTGCCACTTTAGCAACTTCTTTCCCATAAAAGTGTCCCCAGTGACTTAAACTTTCATTATCCCAATTCAATTAGAAAGACCTCTTGAACATGAGATAACTTCGTTCATCTTCCCTTTTCAGCAAACTGCTTGTAATCCCCAAGCTCCATTTTGCTTCATGGCCCTAAGTTGTGGTTAATGGAACTGTGCTATGTACCATGCAATATTAGCACTAAATAATTTGGCCACCAAATTAAAGGAGGTATTCAAAAGAATTTTATAGATTCATAGTGAATTAGAAGCTTGGTTTTGAGGCTTGGCTATTACTCGATACTGGGACTTTCATTATAGCATTCCCTGTAGATTTGAGCAGAAATTACATCTTCCCTCTCTCTGTAACGTTCATTTACGCATTCTTTTAGTCGTTCACCCAGTGTTTATTGAAAGAGCCTACGCCTGCAGGTTCCTTACTGTGGCGGGCTGGGGGCATGCATCCTTCCTGGCGTCTAGTTGCTTAGAGTTCAGTAATGAGGATCAGTTGTGTGTAAAAAGTGAGGAAAGTGTGTGTGCCCTCTTAATGGGTGGTGTCATTTCCAGCTGGAGGTGCACGGGTAGCTTTTGCTTTCAGTAGGGGTGATGGGTGAGTGGGACGTTGCCGTCAGCAGTAAGAGAACAGCAGACTTCCCTGTCTCAGATCCTCACGCCATGCTCTGTCAATATAGATGCCCCCTCATGGGGCTTTGCTGTTGTACAGCAGGGCAAGGATCCCTCAGGACATGAGGGAGATTGAGCTGAGGCTAGAATGGGGCTAAAGGGGCTGAGAGCATCAGATGAGTCCGGGAGATCAGAAGAGTAGCCAGGCACGATGGCTCACTCCTCTAATCCAAGCACTTTGGGAAGCCAAGGCAAGCACTTTGGGATCGCTTGAGCCCAGGAGTTCAAGACCAGCCTGGGCAACATAGAGAGAGAGACCTGTCTCTACCAAAATGAAAAAACATTAGCTGGGCATGGTGACATGGATCTGTAGTCCCAGCTACTCAGGAGACTAAGGCAAGAGGATGCAGTGAACTATGATTGTGCCACTGCATTTCAGTCTGGGCAAAAGAGCGAGACCCTATCTATCTCATCTCTTTAAAAAAAAAAAAAAAGAGTGAAAGTCAGAAGCAGGTACTAAGGGCAGTGAAAACCCAGGAGACTGATGGGGAAGAGGTCATAGCAAGGGAAATTCAACTAGAAGCTTCAAGTCCCAGGACCCCATGCCTTGGGAGCAGTGCTTATCCAAGGCAGTGTGAAGCCAGTTCAAAGAGAAAGCTGTCAAGAAACAAGGAGGTGGGGCAGCTTTGAAACCATGCTGGTGCAAGGGCCTCCAGCCTAGAGAAGGATGCCAGGGGAAAAGATTGAGAGGAAGATTAAGACCCAATTTCTACTGCCTAAGAGGATGGTAGGCGGAAAGATTAGCCTGAGGATAGATAAATAAGACAAAACAGAGTGATTTCTGTCCATGATAAGGACTTCACACAAGAGTTTGTTTTTTTTTTTTGGAGACAGCCTCGGTCACAGCAACCTCCGCCTCCTAGGTTCAAGCAATTCTCGTGCCTCAGCCTCCCCAGTAGCTGGGACGACAGGCGTGCACCACCACGCCTGGCTGATCTTTTGTATTTTAGTAGAGACAGGGTTTCACCATGTTGCCCAGGCTGCCCTTCAACTCCTGAGCTCAGGCAGTCCGCCCGCCTTGGCCTCCCAAAGCGCTGGGATTATGGTTTACTTGTCTGGATGGACACTGCCCTCCCCCAACCTTCCTCAGGTAATTACAGGTAGTAGGAAGAGAAAGGGCCTCTGTTAGTTAAATTAATACTCCTACTTTGTTTTTCTTTGTTATTGTTATATAACAGTGATCATTTGAAAGTTAGCTTATAGACATGCAAATATTTCTTCATAACTTTTGGTTACTAATGTACTGTGAGCTATTAGAGTATGGCAAAGAGTCATTAAACAAACAATTAATTTATACAGCAGATTGTTCATGCAGAATTCCTAATAAAATGAGCTTTAAGACACTATTATTTTAAACCTTACTAAAATGGGCCTTTACAGCAAAACACTGAACTACTTTGGGAGTGGTGGCAGTCTCCATAAATAGGATATGGTTTTATTTCTCAAGCCATTAACCTTGAAGACCAAACATAGCTGGGTGCGGTGGCTCACACCTGTAATCCTAGCACTTTGGGAGACCGAGATGGGCGGATCACTTGAGGTCAGGAGTTTGAGACCAGCCTGGCCAACATGGTGAAACCCCATATCGACAAAAAATACAAAAATTAACTGAGCATTCTGGGAGGCACCTGTAATCCCAGCTACTTGGGAGGCTGAGGCAGGAGAAGCATTTGAACCCAGGAGGTGGAGGTTGTAGTGAGCCGAGATCCCACCACTGCACTCCAGCCTGGAAAGCAGAGTGAGGGAGACTCCGTCACAAAAAAAAAAAAAAAAAAAACCAGACCAAACACTAGTGTTGTCACTAGACATTTCTGGTGTAACAGGCACTACCGGCCTGCAGATCTGACATTTGAGGGTGAAATGGTTTTTGTGTAGCTGCTTTCTCTCACAGTGTTTGTAAACTTGAACCCAAGTGCACCGTTCACAGTCTCCAGCTCCAGCTCTTCACTAACACCTTTATTCCTTGCTGTTGGCCTTGGGACCCTTACTGTTCCCCTTGCTGTGTAGAAACAGATGCAGTCAGACCCACATAAGCTGGACTTTGGACTGAAACCTGAGTTCCTGAGCCGCCCTCCAGGCCCCAGTCTTTTTGGAGCCATCCACCACCCCCATGACCTGGCACGGCCTTCAACTTTGTTCTCTGCCGCTGGTGAGTGTGGGTTTGGGTGGGGGGACAGAGCTGAGAAATGTAGTTCTCAGGTAACTAAATAAATGAGGTTTGGGCTCTGAGCTGCCGCTCAGTCACCACCTACAAAAATACAGTTAATGCCAGCTTGCAAGGCAACATCGCAGCACATCCAGGGAGTTGGGAATCTTCATTGATACACTCTCTTTCATTAAAGGAGGAGGCAGAGATCATCTTTCCCTTACAGGGATTCACATTGCTTCGGTTCATTATTTGCTTCTATATTAAACCAGTATAACTCACAAGCATGTCAGTTGCTATTGAGAAAGATCTGAAGGCTTGCAAGGGCAGATCGGAAGGAAACAATGCCAGGAATTATAGAAGGATGCGGTCGCCCTTAATACGGTGCCCGCAGAGCACTGTAATTTTGCACCGGGATGCTCAGTCATGCCGTGTTTTAAAGTCCTGAGGATAAAGAAAGGCGATTAAGGCAGTTGCCAGGAGTATGGTCTGTGATAGGGAGGTTGGGCCACTCGGTTGCTGGTTTTCTCTGCTACAAAACGTAATACTATTGCCTGGTTGGTTATAGCGGTGGAAGAAATTTAGGAAACGGTGTAAACACCCAAGTGACCTGCTCATCGGATCTGTAATTCATTTAACCTCTGAGAATACACACTGTCAAGTGTGCGTGTGGAAGGGGTGAGGTAGAGAGTGACGATTATGCTCATTCCTGCTCCAGGTACAAACAAAAGACAGCGGCTGTAAGGACTGTGTGTGTGCTGGATGAGAACAGCCCTCTTGGTATTAAGGGTTTCTTGTCATTCTGTCTTCTCTAAAGCTTTTTTAAGTGTAATTTCTGGCACACAGAGCTCAGCTCAGTTAACACTTAAAAATGATGGCACTGAGCTCATTCTGCTAATAACTTCATACCCACTATGCTAAGTAGAATTTATTCTTCTGGACGTAAGCAGTCAAGGGGCTCCCCATTTCTGATCCTTACGAGACAAGTCTTACAGCCATCCTGCCAGCTGCCACCCCAGGCTTTTATCCAAGACTCACTGTTGGTGGACCTCTGGCTCTTCTGTTCAGGAAGAGAGAAGCACCCACACTGCAAGAAATCATCATTATAATGGGCCTTAGCTACCAAAGCAAGTGCGTCCCCCTGGAGGGTAGATGGAATTTGCTAAGGTCTCAGGTTTTTCTCTGTCAGTGCTGTCTGGGGACATATTTGAAGGCTCTGTTACCATGGCACCTAGGCTCTGAGACAGGGCTACATGAAGAGCAATTTTTGGAAAGAATAGATTTCTCTCTGGCTTCCATTTGAGCCAAGTGGATGAATTGGCTTCTTTTGCTTCAATAATTCTGGAACTGCAAGGCACCCCTGGGGGCCCTGGGCTCAGCAAAGCTCTGGTCTTCATTGAAGCATTAATTAGCTTGCACTACACAGACAGTATGTGGCCAAAATTTTATTTAGCTGACAACACTGCTAACGGCCTGATGAATATTCTGGAATATATTCACTTGGTGGAGGCGGGGTATCATTTTTACACTTCCCAGGTGGAAAATAAGCCAGTATGCAGGGCTGAATAGATAACTCCTCAGGTGTCTTCCAATTCCGAACTACTGTGACGGGGATGATGTTCCTCCTGTACTGAGTGGCTTCCTCTCCAAACCCAGGCCACAAGACTTTTGCAGCCCAGGGAACAGCAGTCCAAAACATAAATCGAGTTAACAGAGTGTAGACAGCAACAACCCCTACGTTTAATCCATTTTCCTAAGGGAATTTATATTTGTTTATAGGAACTTAGACAAAATGCAAAGGATTATGGAACAGTTTTTAGTAAATTCTTTATCCAGGCCTTGTTTATACTTCCATTCTAGAATGTAACCTTCTTTAGCATAAGCAGTATGGGATTCTGCCCAAAATAGTTATTTGGTGAACCTTGTAACTGATGTGTATAACTTGTACATACTTAAGAAATCCAGCCATTTTCATCTTGCTATTGGGTGCTAATCCCATGAATATAAACTAGAGACTTCTTCAGATGACCCTGGCAAATCTCTCGTCTAGGACAAAGCCTGCCTTCCAGGAAGCTAGCCTCCTTAGCTAGTAAGTAGCCTCGTATTAACAAGCCCATTTGGTGCCCTAAGGCCTTTAGAAATGTCCTTCCCTAATTCACATTTGCACACTCTCTTTCTCTGTCTCCTTCCTTCCTTCCTTTCCTGGCTTCCTTCAGGAACAGGAATAGAGGCATCTTCAAGAAGTACACATTAGGCAAAATACAGAGAAGAGGAGGAAATGTGGATCAAGGGACAACTGAAGGAAACCACTAAATTAGACCTGAGTTCCCTGGCAGGCAAAGCAAAAACCTGTCAGAGTCAGTTATAAGATTTTCAGTGCCCCAAAACATAAGAATCAACCAGCTTTTCCTGGCATTGAAAGTTGAGAGACATCAGAGGACTTCATCTCCTAAAACCTAATTGAGCTCACAATAATGAGTTTTATAGAGTCGGGTCTTATAGTATCCTTCGATGTGGGTGCATGCGAACTAACATACTCTTCAGGAGAAGGGATTCTGCAAGTCCCCAGAGCAGCGTAGCCAAGAACCACAGCTTCAGGACCACCCCTCCTGAGCCAGAGATGATAACGGGCTGGGTTTCTGGAAGTGTTTCTCAAAGTGAAAACTTGGTCCTCCGAGATGCTCTATGAGGAGTGGATTCCATGATGAAATGTTCCCCTCTTAGAGAACGAAGGAGCCTATAAGCTTATTAATAAGCTTATTAATGGCTCTAAGAAGCCCTTCAGTAAAGAAACTTGCTTAGCTTTTTTTAATCCAGTATTTCTCCAAATTTACTTGGTTATAAAGCCTCCCCTCCTCCCATGACCCAGGGCAGTTATCTCTGTCTTTGTAATACTGTGTGTCATCGGCTTAAAAAAGAAATACCTGTTTTTGGTGGTGGCCAGCCACGCTGGGAAAGAGAAAGAGGGATGATTGATTTTCTGCTTCCTAAAAAAAAAAAAAAAAAAAAAAAAAAAAAAACACACATTTTCTTTTACCCTGTGTCTTGCCTGCAGGGGCCTGGGTGGACTTCAGCCATGACCTCCCTTGAACATATTTTCTCACGGGGCCCTTAAGCAAGTAGAAGCCGGTTGCATCTTCGAAGTTGGCTTTTTGTAAACTCTGGTTTCGTTATGTTTGACTTAACAGGTGCTGCACACCCAACTGGGACCCCTTTTGGGCCACCTCCTCATCACAGCAACTTCCTCAACCCTGCTGCCCACCTAGGTGAGTCGCCCAAAATAATGGGAACTGAGATGTGTGCTTCAGGCAACCCTGCTGTGTTTACCATGCTCCCGCTGCACCTCCGGGCAAGCTGGTGGGAGTCCCAGATACCCTGCTTACCATTTAGGCAGGAGATGGTGCTCTCTTAGGAGTTTCAGTACATCCCGTCCAGCTTCCAGATTTCATCTCTTACACCGCATTCTTTCGGTAGTAGAGCTGTGCTCGGCAGTGGTTCTGCCTGAACTTCCCATGGTGCAGTGGGTGAGAGCCATTCCTTGGTATCTCAGGGAATCCGAGTTTACAACAGCCTGTTCCTGCCCATTGGAAGAAGATGGTGAGCTCTTGCCCCATAGCAAAGGTCACCTCTAGGAAGCGGAAAGAAACACAAGCTGACGTTATGGAGAGGAGTTATTCTACATCTCACTGCCCCGATAAATGAGTCTCTTCCTAATAAAGGTGCATGCTTTGTGTGGCCTTTGTGTATTCGATCCCATCTGCAAGTGTACAGGCAGATTCAGGCATTGGCTTGCACAACATCAGGGCATATCATAGGCACGCCCTCAGAGTTTCATCATGGATTCAGATGCCACCTCCTTTCTGTTCTGTTAGAATCTGCAGAGTGCATTCCTGGCAGAGGCGAGACTGGGCGGGAAGGCAAGTTAGTACATCCTAGCTTGAGTAGTGTCCCCACTGGGCAAAGGAAGAGTAATACAAAATACACAGTTGTAGAAGAAGAGTCCTCAGAAATATTTTGCTAACCCAGTGCCTAAATCCAAGTGTAATGAAAACCTTTTACACCATCTGGTAGGAAAAGTGGGACAGGCCAGGTGGGGGCGTAGAGAGGGCAGGGATCCCGCATCGCCCTGCTCCCAGGAAGCTCTGGGTTCCTCTCCCAGCAGAGCCCCTGACCATTTCCTTCTTCCCCATCTTGTTTGCAGAGCCTTTTAATCGGCCGTCTACATTCACAGGCCTAGCAGCAGTTGGTGGCAATGCCTTCGGGGGACTTGGAAATCCTTCCGTTAGTGAGTACCTCTAACTTTTAAAAATCTGCCTTGGACTTTTTATCTCCTGTGATCCGCATATGGCTCAAGACCTTTCTAGAGAAAAGGAAACTATGCTCTGGGGGGACCAGTGTAGGTTATATCACTGCAAAAGCAGGCCTTCACAGTGGGGTGAGGTGGAAGTGTGCAGAGCCACCACTGTGAGGGCAGCCCCCTGTGGCTATCCAGTTCTGAGGGGCAGGAACGGCAGTGTAGTTGATGACCACAGAAAGTTTACTCAAGTGCGGAGTTTCATCCACATCCCATCTCTGCTCTCCAAGATTTTGGCTGCAGCTCACATTACAAGTGAAAGCAATAGTTACAGCAATTGTTACATTTCATCTTGCCCGTGGCATTCGTGGAATTGAAAAAAGCACAATGAAAAATAGCAGGAAGACACCACCAGGCTGCGACACCACCAGGCTTGGGATAATCAAGATTTGGCACCATTTTATTCTCCATCATCTAGGAGGACTCTGCAGCTTTCTACTATTAAAAAAGCCCATCTCGATTAGGAGAAGAATTACAACCCCATCTCACGTTCTAAACATTAGTGTTTAGTCGCTGAATATGCAAATTATTTTCTTTCATGCTACATACCATATATTCCGGGTACAGGAAGAGCTAAAACGTGTCTCTGAGCATACCGTCACAGGTCGGTCTTTATTTAAAACACAGGAAGGAGACCTGTGTGTCTGGTGAGGGCAAGGTCCTGTCTGGTCTCTGGTGACACTTGAGAGGGCCACGGTGGGTAGAGGAGACAGTGACTTCTACTGTGAATCAATTTAGAATTGTTAATCCAAATCCCACCATCATAACACACCCTTCTGCATGCCTGGAACTTCTGCATGCACCAGATACGTTGAATTAGGTCATCTCAGTACCCATTTGGTCCCTTTTCCTTTTTAACTTCCCCTGTCCCCACCTTTGCTTTTGGTTTTAAAAAGAAAAAAAAAAGCTGTGAGCTACCTCTCCAGTGTAGGACAAGACTTCCTCTAATGAATTTGTTAATCTCCTTTCCTTTTCCAGCTCCCAATAATATGTATTCATTTTAACTCTGAATGCTGTTAAAAGTTTTTTGGTAAGTACCTTCATTACAGCAGATTATATAATTTCTCTTAAACCTTTTTGTTCTCCACTTCACCATTTCAGCACCCAACTCAATGTTCGGCCACAAGGATGGCCCCAGTGTGCAGAACTTTAGCAACCCTCACGAACCCTGGAACCGGCTGCACCGAACGCCTCCGTCGTTCCCGACCCCTCCGCCCTGGCTGAAGCCAGGGGAGCTGGAGCGCAGCGCGTCCGCTGCAGCTCATGACAGAGATAGAGATGTAGATAAACGAGACTCATCTGTTAGTAAAGATGACAAAGAAAGGTACGGAAAGAAACCGCTCTCGAGTCCCCACGGGGGAGCCTGCTCTATGCCAAGTACCAGTGGAACTGGCCGCCCACCCTCCCTGTCCCAGCCTCGTGCTTTAGCCGCCCCGGTAGCCTCAGCTCCTCCCCACAGCCAGTGCCCGCAGCCCCTCGCAGTCCCCATGGCCCATAGCATATGGTGACCGTAGGAGATAGCAGAGCTAGCGACAGATTCCTGTCTCAGTCGCAGTTATACATCAGCACGTCCCAAGTCCCTGTTAGCGTGTCCAAACAGAAGTCTTTCTCTAGAAGACAGGGAGTTGGAGCTTCGGGCCAGACACACACAGCATGAATCAATTCCATATTTGCTTTCAAGTCCGTGCAGTCCATTTAACCATCCATAGGTTTTTCTCGCTCTTTTCCTCTTTTTGTTTTCTTTTAGAAAGCCATGTTTGCATTGCCTCATCATATTTTTCTCAAATTTTGTTCAAACTCAAAGCCTGGGGCTCACAGATGACTAATAAAATTTTACTCACATAGATGTAGAGAAACGTCGACAAGCAGTTTTGGTTTGGTTTTGGTTTCACTAGTGGATAATTTTGTTAACCGTTGTCTCTGCACTTGGTAACCCATGCCTAAAAAAAAAAGTAGCGTTAAACAGGGAATGTCTTGGAGTTTTTTTTCCAAAGAATATCGTAACGCATTCTTGACAAAAATGTCTTTTTTTTTTTCTTTCTTTAGGCTATTTATTTTCACTTTAAATGAACTGATAAGGAATGCACAAATATGCTTGACAGAAAATACCTAATCCCAATTTCCTTGCAGTATTTAAGATTCAAATTTGATCCGAATCTTTAATGTTTCTTTTCTTTGTATACCGTGTATGTATGTGTGTGTGTATATCCTAGTAATTTCAAAGAAAGAATTCAACTTTGCAGGCTCTAAATGGGGCAGATTAGTAGATACTCATCAGAGGCCATCATGCTGACTGATAAAAGAAAAACAAATTTTCCTTCAAGGCAGTATGATAACAATCTCTTAACCACTGGGAGGAATGTTTATGACATTCATCTCTGAGCTGTGAACTGCCAAAATGAGGCACGCCTAGCAACATAACCTGGCCGACCCTAGGCCGCGAGCTCTCTGTACACAGCCTGTCACTAGGTGCAATGCAGGATGTGGCCACCAGCCCTTTGCGTGTTTTTCTGGATGGCGTCAAAATGGCCTCTTGGATTAAAGTCAGGAAGCTTAATAAATAAAATATACTCTTCTTCCATCCTTCCCTTAAAAGTTATTCTTCTTCTCTGCATGTGGGCAAGAAACAGCCCTTATAGGGGAGCCTCCTGAATACTCTGTGGTCCTCTGATCCTTGCACACCAGCACCAAGCCAGCATGGCAGCCTGCTGCTCTCCTCAACTTTGCCATATCTGTCTTGGCACCATCCGTAAGACCTGCCTGGTCTTAGTTTTAACTCAAGTTTTACCTTATTGTCATTCCATTTGTTTTTGCATTTTCTGCCCAATACTCTTGAGCCCCCATCCAAGACAGGTCTCTAAAATTCTTGTCTCGTGTTTTCACTCACAGCTGCTCTCTAAAATTGTTTTCAATGTCCCCATGAGGTTTCGTGTTTAGGGACCTGCTTTTCCTACTGCCTTCCCTCCGTCTTCTCATCAGACTTTGGCTTTCTTATCCCATCTGGTGCACAAGTGCTCTTTGCAACCCAAAAGTCCTCCAACTGTGGCTTCCTTTTGAGCCTTTCTCACGTGCTGTGTCTTGGAGATGGCTCTGTATCCACGTTCTTTGCTCTGAAACTGGTCACTTGTCCTTGTAAGGAGCAAGAGACTTCTGTGACACTGATGTTGAACCCTTTCTTCCACTGGTTCAGTGTTGCAAAGTTGGAAGAAAAGTGATACTGGGCGTTGGGCTCTTAAAACGTGATTCTTTACACTAGATGATCCCGGGAGTCCAGACAGTCGGGCTGGATTGCCACATCATTGCCTTATTGACCACATGCAGCCATCTTGGCTTTCTGGAAGCTCTTCTTCTGTGCTCTTGGTTGAGGCTCTTAACATGCAGAGAGATTCTTGCTCCCAGCAGACTCCCCCTCACCCTCATCCCTGGTCCATCTCCCCCATTAAGCTTCCTCTAAAATCTAGGTAAGTAGGATAAGGGTGGCTGGCTCTGCCCTGTCCAGGGCACGGCTGCTGCCTTGGCGACCATGGGAAGCAGCCCCCAGCCTGTCCTCTTCACACCACCATTTCACCCGCAGCCCCTGGCCCGGCCGACTCGCCCCTTTCATTTCATCTGCGTCCTTGTCTTCCCCTCTCTCCCCCAGGGAAAGCGTCGAGAAGAGACACTCCAGCCACCCTTCACCAGCACCTGTCCTCCCGGTGAATGCCCTGGGACATACCCGCAGCTCCACTGAACAGATCCGGGCTCATCTGAACACTGAGGCTCGGGAGAAGGACAAACCCAAAGAGAGGGAGAGAGACCACTCGGAATCCCGCAAGGACCTGGCCGCCGACGAGCACAAGGCGAAAGAGGGCCACCTGCCCGAGAAGGACGGGCACGGCCACGAGGGGCGCGCCGCGGGCGAAGAGGCCAAGCAGCTGGCCCGGGTGCCGTCTCCCTACGTGCGGACCCCGGTGGTGGAGAGTGCCAGGCCCAACAGCACCTCGAGCCGGGAGGCCGAGCCGCGCAAGGGTGAGCCGGCCTACGAGAACCCCAAGAAGAGCTCCGAGGTCAAGGTGAAGGAGGAGCGGAAGGAAGACCATGACCTGCCTCCAGAGGCCCCGCAGACCCACCGGGCCTCGGAGCCGCCGCCTCCCAACTCCTCGTCCAGCGTGCACCCGGGGCCCCTGGCCTCGATGCCCATGACGGTGGGGGTGACGGGCATTCACCCCATGAACAGCATCAGCAGCCTGGACAGGACTCGCATGATGACCCCCTTCATGGGCATCAGCCCCCTCCCGGGCGGAGAGCGCTTCCCGTACCCTTCTTTCCACTGGGACCCCATCCGGGACCCCTTGAGGGATCCTTACCGAGAACTTGACATTCACCGGAGAGACCCGCTGGGCAGGGACTTCCTGCTAAGGAACGACCCGCTCCACCGGCTCTCGACTCCCCGGCTGTACGAAGCCGACCGCTCCTTCAGGGACCGGGAGCCTCACGACTACAGCCACCACCACCACCACCACCACCACCCGCTGTCTGTGGACCCTCGGCGGGAGCACGAGCGGGGAGGCCACCTGGACGAGCGGGAGCGCTTGCACATGCTCAGAGAAGACTACGAGCACACGCGGCTCCACTCCGTGCACCCCGCCTCCCTCGACGGACACCTCCCCCACCCCAGCCTCATCACCCCGGGACTCCCCAGCATGCACTATCCCCGCATCAGCCCCACCGCGGGCAACCAGAACGGACTCCTCAACAAGACCCCTCCGACAGCAGCGCTGAGCGCACCTCCCCCGCTCATCTCCACGCTGGGGGGCCGCCCGGTCTCTCCCAGAAGGACGACTCCTCTGTCCGCAGAGATAAGGGAGAGGCCCCCTTCCCACACGCTGAAGGATATCGAGGCCCGATAAGCCGAGAACAGGAGCAAGAACGAGGAAGAAGAAACCCTAGGCAGACACCAGGCCAGGCTTGAGAGACAGAACTCCTGCATGGCTCACACAGACTGGGGGGGAAAGCCCCACCCCTTCCCCTTGTAAAAAATGTATAGACTCAGTGCACATTTTGAAATGTTTTGTATATTATATGTTGAGATTTTTCAGATCTTTTAGCCCAGTCATATGTTCTCACGTCTCCTACTTTTTGTTTCTCGTATAAAACTTTTTGATTTGAACCAAAACAGTGAAGATGACAACACACACCAATTGGATGATAATTGTAGCGGGGGCGGTGGGGGGGAGAAGTCCACGCCATCCATCATGCAAAATTCTTTCAGATGAGGTGGGAAGGCCGTGTACATAGTTATGTAAAAAGAGATTGCTTCATGAGCTAATGGTTCATATATGCAAAAGGGTAAGATGAAAGCTTTACTTTGTACAAATGTAAATAGATAAAGTAACATAATACATTAATACTTCTTAAAATGTGCTATTTGCAAACTTACTTAATATCAGTGAACACAGTCGGCTAAAGCTGTGTTCCCATATATTGTTATAGACAGCTAAACCCTTCAACTATGCAATGAATGTTCGGGCTTTTCACAAAAGCCCGCCTAACTCAAAGGAGCCTTTTCAAATCCATTTACAGCATACTTAAGGTCATATTTTCCCTGAACAAGCGCTTACGTGATATGACTCTGTTTTCCTTGCTTGTTTTTTTTCAAACGGAGAAACATCCTGTTTTGCAAATTGGACCCCAGGCTGGAACTTAGCATCTGAAGTTGCCGCTTGTGGGCTCTGGGGGAAAGTGTAGCCCCGGAGAGGTAACTGAGGACATGAGCAACCAGTGCCAGGGAGGGTGGGATTTGCCAGATGCCAAAATCAGGGGACGGGTGGTGGTGTCTGTCAGACACACACAGGTCGCCAGTGACTTCACACACACCTCATGTGAGAACCATGCCTTTTTTAGTGTGTCCTATTTCATACCTGTACACACTTCCTCGTTTTGTAATGAGATTTACTTACACCCAAACAGATCCTGAAAGAAAGCTTCAAGTTTTCTCAGATGATGGATATGTTTTCACTGTATTCAATAACTGACGGATGTAAGGTGCACGTTTCCTGATGTGACGCACTGTATTCCAGCTGGTGATCAAGTCTGGGAACAGCCGTAACAGGTCAACCTTGTGGAGCCATCGCGAGTTAGAGGGTGAAAGATGGCAGAAAAAAAAGTCTTGTGTGTGAGTGTGTTTTTTGAGTTTGCATCAATCTTAATGTCTCTTCATAATACTTTTATAATACATTAAGCCTCTTGTCTACATATTTGGAGAGAATATGACTTTACTAGCAGAGAAATACAATATATCTTGTCTACTGGACTGTAAAATATATGTATGAAATAAAATTAGTTCCATTTGGTCTTCTAGTATATTAAAGTGCTATCTGACGTTGTTATCCTGTTTTTGCAAAAAAAAAAAAAAAAAAAAGTTAACTACAGACCATTGTTTCTAATAAGCAGAGAGATCTATTTTAGTAGTAAACTGAAGGTTTAGTTGTGAGCTTCAGATTTTGTGAACTCCAGATGTTGTGCGGTGTTTTTTTTTTTTTTTAAGACAACAACTAAAAAAAATGCAAGGAATATGTACACTGGAACTGTAGTGGTAGCTTTCAGTATTGTAAAGAGATTGTTCTATACGGACCTTTTTGCTGTTTATCCTGTATGTAATAAAGTCCTTTCTAGATCCTATGTGAAAAGAAAAGTGAAGCAACTGAATCTTCAGCATGTTCTCATCGGCGGAGCCTTCTTGTGTAATGTAAACTGTGCCATGTTATTAAAAAATGTGAACTAAGCTTCCAGCTGCTTGTTTGTGTGAGGTGACCATCATTACCTTAGGGAAGAAGCCATACCTGTACAAGACCGGGCTCTTGAAAAGAAACACCTCGAACCCAGCCCGTGTAAGAACAGAAGGCTCACCTGCAGTGGCTGACCACCCTACCCAACTCGGTTAGTGTCTCACCAATTTGTTACTATAAACATTTGCACCCCACACAGTCGCTTGTGGTTTGTTTTTTGAGGAGGGGGGGTTCTGTTAGTTTTTCGTATGTCCAAGATACTGTAAAAGGTACTTCTGGATTTTGTAGACGTGTGTACAGTGTGGGCCACGTTAGCCAGTTGTTTGTGCCTGGCTACTTCAAAACTCAGCGAAAGTGTTTGCTTTTCCAGCAGTGATGAGAATTCTGACCTAGGGCCTGTGACAACAGTTTTTGCTTGCTCGTTGTATTGCATTTCAATCTGTGGACTCGGTCAGTCATATGTTACTTAAGACCTTCCAGATTTTTTTTTCCTGTCTTAGCTTTTTCTCTCTTTTAATTACGTGGTGTAGTCCTCATCAGTTTGCAGTCTCCCTGTCCTCTAAAATCTGTTTTGTTTTTTTCCATGATGTTAAAAAAACAAAAAAATGTTAAATTTTCTTATACCGACCTGATGAAATTGCTATTTGGATGAGATTATTTGCATGGGTGTTTGTATGTTACTAGGGAAAAAGTAAAAGCAGTTCAAGTTAGCAAGATCTGGGTAGCTGCTGAATGGGAATCAGAATAGAAATGTTCAGAAATTAGCGGGGGGGCAGATCTGTGGTTGGCGAGTGCTGTGGACTCCCGTGGTTTCACAGGGGCATCTGAGAAGTGCATCCAAGGCACTGGAAAAGTCAGTCCAGGGCGAGAAAAGGGCACTGAGAAGTCGGTCCGGTTGCAGACATCCGCTAATCTGGGCAGAGCAGTGACTTCTTGAATAAAAGCCCATTTCACACAGCCCTGTTTTCCTACGTTAATAACTGACTCCAAACTGGAAAAAATAAGGAAGAAAAACCCAGTGGATTGGAAAACACGATAAACACTGTGTTTTTCCACATCAGGCACTTCTCAGGCCCCTGCAGACAGTAGCAGTGGCGCCTTGCTTTGCTATTTTTCACTGCTCCAATTGTACACCTATTTTGACGTCGCCATCTGCAATGTCAGAACGTAGGAGAGTCAAGCTCTCAAATCAGCCACGGTATCTAATCCCCAGGGCTTCATTCATCTCACCCTTTGCATATTTTCCCCCTAATTACGCTCAGCTCCTCGGCACTGATGGGTACCAGCACCAATTTGATTTCCTGCTAACCTATAGATGCTCTAATTATCTCCCCCATCTTTGACTGACAATGATCTTGTTACCTTCTAATGGTACATGACAGGTAAAATAGCGAATATAATGATGCAATAATTAACCACTTTGGATGGATATTTGCCACGGCATTTGCTGTTTATCCATTTTTCTGCCTCAATCAAGGTAGATGAGGGGAAATAAGACGCAATTGTTGACATTCTTTACATACGTAGCATAAAAGAAGTTGAAGACAGAATTTTGCAGTGCAGGTAGCTGTGCACTTGTGGGGTGCCCAAGGCCTTGTGTGTATTCATGCTGGAAAACAAACTAGGCCTCAGTGGCATCAATCGGTTGAAGGAAAGAGGATAACAAATGTAACCTGGGCTTTTTCATATGTTATTTTTTAAATTCTGCCATCCTTTTTTTCTGTGCATTTCTGATTTTTTTTGTTTGTTTGTTTGTTTGTTTTTTGAGACTGAGTCTTGTTCTGTTCCCTAGGCTGGAGTGCAGTGGCATAATCACAGCTCACTGCAGCCTCCACCTCCCGGGATCAAGTGATTCTCCTGCCTCAGTCTCCTGCATAGCTGGGACTACATACAGGCGCCCACCACGCCCAGCTAATTTTGGTATTTTTAGTAGAGACGGGGTTTCACCATGTTGGCCAGGCTGGTCTCAAACTCCTGATCTCAGGTGATCTGCCCGCCTTGGCCTCCCAAAGTGCTGGGATTACAGGTATGCGCCACGCCTGGCCTGAAAAATTCTTAAACATGCAAAGTCTTCTTGCAATAAAATAGGGTTATTTTCCAGATAGGAAATCATATTATCTAAGGCTGTCAATTCCACAATATGAAATTGCTAGTCTTTGCCACTGTCACAAGTACTAAGCTAAGGTTTTCGTGTCTCACGCCCAAAATGCTACAAGTTCCTAATGATGAGCTTGGTGGGAAGGAGTCCTTGGGCCACAGTCATGGGGGCTGAATCCACCCCGTGTGCCTTCACAGTCGGTGACCCCGTGCACAAAGAGCCTCTTTGGAACTCAGTTTCTTAATGTGCAAAGTGACACAATCTGAACAAAATGAAGCCTAAAAACATGAAGGTCGTAAGCCCAAAATTCATCAGCATGGCGTGGGTGGAATTTTGCTGTGTGCCGTCCCAAGGTTTATAGAAATTGCAGACTGGGTAGAGAATGGCCCACAGCCCACACAAAAAGGAAAATAACTTTTTCTAAAACTTTAGTGGCAGCCAGGCAGGGTGGCTCACACCTGGAATCCCAGCACTTTGGGAGGCCGAGGTGGGTGGATCACTTGAGGTCAGGAGTTCAAGACCAGCCTGGCCAACATGGTGAAACCCTGTTTCTACTAAAAATACAAAAATTAGCTGGGTATGGTGGCAGGCGCCTGTAATCCCAGCTACTCGGGAGGCTGAGGCAGGAGAATTGCTTGAACCTGAGGAGAGGCGCCTGCAGTGAGCCAAGATTGCGCCACTGTACTCCAGCCTGGGCGACAGAGTGAGACCATGTCTCAGAAACAAGCAAGGCCAGGCACTGTGGCTCACACCTGTAATCCCAGCACTTTGGGAGGCCAAGGCGGGCGAATCACGAGGTCAGGAGGTTCAAGACCATCCTGGCCAACATGGTGAGACCCTGTCTCTACTAAAAATACAAAAAACTAGCTGGGCATAGTGGCAGGTGCCTGTAATCCCAACTACTCAGGAGGCTGAGGCAGGAGAATTGCTTGAACCCGGGAGGCAGAGGTTGCAGTGAGCTGAGATCACGTCACTGCACTCCAGCCCAGTGACAGGGTGAGACTCTGTCTAAAACAAACAACAACAACAAAAAACTTCAGTGGCTAAAGATTCTTGCTAAAGATTTGCTGAAATGTTTGGCAAGTCCAAAAGGAATGAGTGGGTGACTACAGGGCTTCTAACTCACAGGTGTTTCTCACCTGGTAAGGGGAGGAGCTGATTAAAACAGCATCTAGTTAAGGCACCCAGGGTATTGTCACAGAATCGCCACCTGCTGTTCTACCCAAAATGTGCCCTGATGCTGACGGACACAAGATGGAGCTTAGCCTCTGGGCCCGTGTTCGGAGAACTCTGTGGCCTGGAAGAACAGAGACCGGACCAGAAGCCTTCAAATCCTAGGCTTGTGTGCTGTGCAGTTATTGGGCAAATAGGCCTTAGTTTCCTCATCTGTAACTTGAATTTGTTGGGTGATGTTGAAAGGCCTCTTCAAGATCTGTTTGGATTTTGGATTTTGCGTCTCTATTCGGCCTCAGATTTTTTTTTTTTTTTTTTTTTTTTTTTTTTTTTTTTTTTTTTTTTTTAGGAGACTGGGTCTCACTCTGTCACCCAGGCTGGAATGCAGTGGGGCATTCATAGCTCACTGCAGCCTCCAACTTCTGGACTCAAGGGGTCCCTCCTCCTCAGCCTCCTGACTGACTGGAACCACAGGTGCACACCCCCACACCTGGCTCATTCTTTTATTTTTTGTAGAGACCGGGTCTCGCTATGCTGACCAGGCTGGTCTTGAACTCCAGGCCTCAAGTGATCCTCCCTCCTCAGCTTCCCAAAGTGCTGGGATTTCAGGTGTAAGCCACTGCACCTGGCCTTTGTTTTTGTTTTTGTTTTTGAGACGAAGTCTCGCCTTTTTGTCCAGGCTGGAGTGCAGTGGCACGATCTCCGTTCACTGCAACCTCCGCCTCCCGGGTTCAAGCAAATTTCCTGCTTCAGCCACACGAGTAGCTGGGATTACAGGCATGCGCCACCATGCCCAGCTAATGTTTTTATATTTTTACTAGAGACAGGGTTTCACCATGTTGGCCAGGCTGGTCTCAAACTCCTGACCTTGTGATCTGCCCGCCTCGGCCTCCCAGAGTGCTGGGATTACAGTTGTGAGCCACCGCGCCTTGCCCTACACCTGGCCCCTTTTTAAACATGATTTACCTTCTCACACCCTGCACTCCAGGAAGGCCAAGTGAGTTGCTATTCCACATGCTTCCTGGCAGCGTCTTATCAGCATCTGTCTGCAGAGTATCTTTTACCTCTTTCCAAAGGCCCTGGTGTCAGAATCTGAGCCACACTAAAGGTCAGCACAAAGCCATCTCCGTAAATCCTTCCCTCTTTGGGGCTGTCTTAGGGCCTGGCTTGGGCTACTCCCCCACCTTCCACTCAGCGCTTCCTGTTCTGCGGTTCTGCACCTCTCTATCTGGATCCTCAGCTCCTGGAGGCAGGGGCCTGTGTTTGATGCTCCAGAGGCCACCCCTGGGCTGGTTCACTGAACGGAATAGGCTGCACAGAGCCCTGTTTTTAATCAACTGCAACACGCACACATGATCATCTAGACACACACACCGGAAACAAGCTTAATGAAACCATACCCTTCTTAAGTGCAGTGAACTCTTGATTTTTTAATTCCACTCTTTTCTAATTCTTTTTGTATTTTTGAGACACAGTTTCACTCTGTCGCCCAGGCTGTCGTGCAGCAGTGCAATCTTGGCTCACAATAACCTCCACCTCCCGGGTTCAAGTGATTCTCCTGCCTCAGCCTCAGCTGGGATTACAGGCACGCGCCACCACGCCCAGCTAATTTTTGTATTTTTAGTAGAGATGGGGTTTTACCATGTTGGCCAGGCTGGTCTCGAACTCCTGACCTCAGGTGATCCACCCGCCTCAGCCTCCCAAAGTGCTGGGATTATAGGCATAAGCCACCACGCCCAGCCTCTAATTCATTTTTTAAAATGCTGGTTGCAACCCACTACCTCATCTCACAGCCCCTGTGAATCATGAGTGTCAATGCCTAGTTTGAAAAACAGTATCATGGAAAAAATCCTCCAGGCCTTAAAGGAGGGTGAGGCTCAAGGATGAGGGTCAACACTATTTTCTGCTGTCAACCTAAAGCCCCTACTCTGTTCTTGCTGGCTATCCCAGCAGCCTCTGACCTGGTCTCTCCCCTGCACCACCCTCTACACTTCTGCCCGTTCTCATCACATCTCTTCCAGGTCCCCAAACCATCCTCTACTTCAAGAGCTCGCCCCAGTGGAGCCCAGACTTCTTACCTGGGCTCCTGGGCTGAACACCTCTAGTGCCCAGAGATCTGTTGGCTTCATCTCCCACACGCCATTCCCGGTCGACGGTCCTCCACCTCTTCCCCATCTGGCAAACTCATTCATGCTTTGAGATTCACCTCAAAGGCATCTACCTTGGGATCACTTGAGCCTTAGAGGTCAAGGCTGCAGTGAGCCATGATCTCAACACTGTACTCCAGCCTGGACGACAAAGTGGGGCCTTGTCTCAGGAAAAACAAACATAAAAGGCCTTCACTTCCATGATGCCTCTCCTGATTGCCCCTTGTCCCCCATCGTAGTTAACTGTTTAGACCAGTGGTTCTTTTCTTTTCTTTTTTTTTTTTTTTTTTTGAGACAGGGTTTCACTCCCGTTGCCCAGGCTGGAGTGCAATGGTGTGATCTTGGCTCACAACAATCTCCGTCTCACAGACTCAAGTGATCCTCCCACCTCAGCCTCCCAAGTAACAAGGACTACAGGTGCACACCACTGCACTGGCTAATTTTTGTGTATTTTTTGTAGAGACAGAGTTTTGCCACATTGTCCAGGCTGGTTTCGGACTCCAGAGCTCAAGTAATCTGCCCGCCTTGGCCTCCCAAAGTGCTGGGATTACAGGAATGAGCCACCACTCCCAGCCAGACCACTGGTTCTTAAAAGTGTGGTCCCCAAACCATCAGCAGCAGCAGCACTGGGAAACATTAGAAGTGCAAACCCTCAACACCCACCACCCACCCCCACCCAACCTCCTACATTCAAAACTCTGATAGTGGGGCTCAATGATCTGTGGTTTAACAAGCTTTCTGGTAATTCTGGTACACGATCAACTTTGAGACCCACTGACTTAGACCACAGAAGGTCAAGAGAAAGTTCTGGCAAAAAGCTGCACCAAGAAGTGCCAGGTAACAGCAAATGATCATAGAAGAAAAGCGGTATTCTCTTAAGGACCTTCCAGCCTGACCCTTGATCCTGCTGGATTATGAAGAGGTTGTAACCTTGTTTGAGCCAGAATGATGCTTTCAGCTTCCGGATCTATCCCAGCTCCTTTCCAGTGTATGTTCACTAATTCCTGCATCACTAGCAGGATGAGCTGGATGGAGAAGTTGGCCTCTCCCCAGCAACAATGATAGTAGCCAATGTTAACTGAGTGCTTTTGGCATGTCAGGCACTGTTTTGCATGCTTCTAACTGGATTATCTCCCTTACTGGTCTCAGCGACCTTGCAAGGCAGGTATAGGTGCAACTTCAATTGGACAAATAAGAAAAATGAGGCACAAAAAGGTGAAGTCATTTGCCCATGTTCAAGTGCATAACCTAAATACACACCCAGGCAGTTCCCCTCTAGAGCCTGCACCATAACCATGGCCCTGTGCTACCAAAGAGAAAAGGCTTGCTGAGTTAATTCACCATATAAACAGCCAATGTTTACCTGCCAAACACACACTTGTAATTAGCACCCAGGCTGGAGTGCACTGGGATATCATAGCTCAATGCAGCCTCAAACTTGAACAGGGAGACTGAAAACTAAATTTGGAAAAGGCTTCGAAGGCCAGGGAATAAGAGTCTTCCTTGCAAGGACTTCAAACTTTGTCCTGTGAGCAATTGGGAACTTCTCAAATTTCTGCAAGTAAAGTTTTAGGGAGATAAATTTGGTGGCAGTGAGGGTAGAGTCCACTGACAAATGAAACCAACCACTGATGCTGCCACACCCCATAGTCCCAGGTAGCCCGCAGGCCCACGTGAATTCCTCCTGCTTTTGGTTTAGTGTCATTTCCAACCTCAGCCCCACTCAGACATCCTGCGGCTTGACCCAAGCCAGTGTCTATATGCTGTGGCCTGCATTCACCTCTCTAGACAGTTAGAGGGGGTTCCCATCTAGTCATCATGATACCCCATGCATTGTGACCCCATCTTCACGTAATTGCCTGACCAGTTTCTTGCCTGCTGCCCAGAAAAGCCAAACACCAAGAACAGCAGGAGTTGCAGCAATGAAAGAGTTTAATAATCACTGGGCCAGGCAAACAGAAGGATGGGAGAGGTTTCTTAAATCCACCTCCCTGAGAATTTGGAGACTAGAGTTTTTCAAGGATAATTTGGCTGGTGGGTAGGCTAGAGAATGGGGAATGCTGATTGGTTGGGTTGGGGATGAAATCACAGGGGATGGAAGCTGTCTTCTTGCATTGAATCAGTTTCTGGCTAGTGGTCACAGATCTGGTTGATCCAGTTTCTTGGTATGGCTCATTGGTCCAGGTGGTGCCAGTTAGTCTATCAGAATGCAAGGTCTGAAATATGCCCTGAACACCAGTCTTAGGTTTTACAATAGTAATGTTATCTATAGGAACAACTGGGAAGGTTACAACTCTTGTGACCACTGGCTACCTGACTGCTGAGCCATAATTCTAATCTTGTGGCAAATCTGTTAGTTTTAGACAAAGGTGGTTTCGGTCCCCAAGCAAGGAGGGGTTAGTTTTAGGAAGATACTGTTATCATCTTTGTTTTAAAGTTAAACTATAAACTAAATTCCTCCCGTAGTTAATTTGGCCTACACCCAGGAATGAGCAAAGATAGTTTGCTTGTGAATTTAGAAGCAAGATGGAGTTAGGTATATCAGACTTGTTACCATAACTTTTGCAAAGGTGGTTTCATTTAGGCTGCCAGCATCAAGAGATGCTCATATATATTTATCCCTCTCCTCACCTCCTTCCTCCACCCACAAGGGTCAGGAGACAGCATCAAACTCTGCACCCCATGACACTGCCCCATGTCAGAGCCTCACCAGCACCCCATTGCCTTGGGACCTCAGGGCTAATTTCCTCATGCCTTATCCCCAGTGTCAAGTCCTAATGGTTCCATCTCCCACCTTCCTCATATCCTAAGCCCTCATATCCATCTCTCTTCTCTGGACCATCCTTTCACCATCCTACTGTCCTGGGAGGACACAGGCTCCTCTGCAGCTCTCTAGAATGGGGGCATCTTCTCTCCGTCATCCTCCTCACTATGCCCTGAGGTGGGCAGGGGTCATCCTGCTCTGGCTGCTGCTCTCAGAGCATCCTCCCAGCTCCTGTCACCCTGGGAGCAATCAGCTGCTGACCACTCCCTGCTCAGTCCTCCAAGATGTTTCCCCAGATCACTGACAGCACTTCTATCACCATTTTCTTTCACCATTTTCATATCCTCAGGGAGCCTCTGCTCTCTCATGTTGTCACTCCCTGGGCTCTGGCTCAATCAATAACTGCAGCTACTCCCTGATCTCGTCTCCAGTACTGCACTCTGACCCTGCCCCTTGCTGCCTCCTCCCTTACAACCTCCCAACTCAGCAATCCTTTGGTTCTACCATGGCCCTATCTCTGGCTTCCCTCTTTGTTCACTTCCTTCCTTCCTCAATTGAAGAATTATTATAATCATTTCCTTGCTTATATCCTCAATGCTATCGTTCCTCTCTTGCTCTGTTGAGCCACATACTGCAGCAGCTACATCTGAACCTTGGTTAATTAAATGCATTTCTTCCCTCCCCATGATTAGGTGAGAGAAAAGCACAAAATTGTGCTGTGATCATGAGCTTTTTTAAAAAAAGCAATAGTTTTTGGGATACAGGTGGTTTGTGGTTACATGGATAAGTTATTTAGTGGCAACTTCTGAGATTTTAGTGCACCTGTCACTGGAGCAGTGTATGCTGTACCCAATATGTAGTCATTTTTCCCTCAACCCCCTGCCAATCTTCCCCACTGAGTCCCCAAAGTCCATTATATGTGATCATGACTTTAGGTGGGGCCTTAATGCTTCCTGGAAATCACATTTGTTTTCTACTCTCGTGGGTGGCAGTCATGCCTGAGAGTTGGCTTGTCCAAGACTGATTTCCTTCAGGCTGGCCTGTGAAACTCTGAAAACCAGCTATAATACAAAGCTTAAAGCCATCAATCTTGGAAAACTGGAAGGCTCAGATACCAGCCCTCATCCCACCCAGGGAAGAACTAAGGCCTCCCCCCACAAACCATGAACACTTAGCTGGCAGGACAGCACCAGAGCAAAGGTGCCCAGACATTGCATTGCTCTTCTGTCCTGGCCCCAGTTGATACCACAGAAGGAGCCAGAGCTTTCCTACTTATGCAAGTTAAAGACCCTGTGGACCAAAGATTAAAGTGTCTATCCAGGAGTCTAGACTTGGGCAAGAGGGACCTTTTGCCTGGACACACACACATTTAGTAAAGAGCACATGGCCACCTCTGTCACTTGGGACTCACTGTGTAGAGTATTGCTGTTTAACAGCTGCCAGTCCCCTAAACATTCTCTCTTCTGGCTGCCACCACCTAGACCCCAGGGACCTGCTTCATGTCTTGCCTCGTGTCCTCAAGGTAGGAGGCAGCTGCTTCCAGGATCCCAAATCAACATATCCAGGATCAAAATAAACAAAATCAACATTCGATCCTGGATCAAAAATCAGTAGTAGTAGTTTTTATACACAAACAGTGAACTGTTCAAAAAATAAATAAAACAATCTCAGATACTTGGGAGGCTGAGGCAGGAGAATTGCTTGAACCCAGGAAGCAGAGGTTGCAGTGAGCTGAGATCACACCACTGCACTCCAGCCTGGGTGACAGAGTGAGACTCCATGTCATTTTTTTAAAAATCTCATTTATGTTAGCATTGAAAAATATTTAATACTTAGAAATAAATTTAACCAAGAAGGTAAAAGACCTGTACACTGAAAACTGTAAAATACAGATAAATTGAAGACGACACAAATAAACGGAAAGATATCCTATGTTCATGGATTGGATAATTAATATTCTTAAAATGACCATACTACCCAAAGCAATCAACAGATTCAATGCAATCCCTATCAAAATTCCAATGACATTTTTCACAGGAAGAGAAAAAAATAAATAAATATTGTATGAAACTGCAAAAGACCCCAAATAGCCAAAGCAATGTTGAACAAACAGAACAAAGCTCAAGGCATCACGCTACCTGATTCCAGAACATACTACAGTGCTACAGTAACCAAAACAGCATGGTACTGCCAGGCACCATGGCACCCACCTGTAGTCCCATTTACTTGGGAAGCTGAGGAGGGACAATGGATTGAGCCCAGGAGTTCAAGACTGCTGCAGTGCACTATAATTGCCAGAACCCATCTCTCAAAAACAAACAAACAAACACAATATAACACCTGCAAGGACAGCATGGTGTGGCACGAAAACAGACATAGACCAGTGGGACAGAATACAGAGCCCAGAAATAAATCCACACATTTACAGTCAATTGATCTTCGACAAAGATGACAAGAGTACACAATGGAGAAAGGACAGTCTCTTCAATAAATGGTATTGGGAAAACTAGATCTCCACATACACAAGAATGAAAGTATTCCGTTGTCTTACACCATATGCAAAAAACTCTAAATGGATTAAAGACTTAAATATAAGACCCGAAACTGTAAAACTCCTAGAAGAAAAAAATGGGGGAAAACTTCCTTGACATTGATCTGGGCAATGATATTTTTGGATATGACCCCAAAAGCACAGGCAACAGAAGCAAAAAAATAAGACAATGGGGATTGCATTAAGCTAGAAAGCTTCTACACAGCAAAAGAACAATCAACAGAGTGAAGAGACAATCTACAGAATGGAAGAAAATATTTGCAAACCATACGTCTGATAAGGGGTTAACATTCAAAATACAACTTAATAACAAAAATACAACCTGATTTTAAGATGGGCAAAAGGGGGGCTTGCAGGGAGGTGGGGATGGTTAATGGGTACAAAAAATAGAATGAATAAAACCTGCAGGGGTTTTCCGTGACTATAGTCATTAATAATTTAATTGTACATTTAAAAATAAATAAAAGTGTAATTGGATTGTTTGTAACACAAAGGATAAATGCTCGAGGGGATGGATGCCCCATTCTCCATGATGTGATTATGAGCATTGCGTGCCCGTATCAAAGCATCTCATGTACCCCATAAATATATACACCTACTATGTATCTGCAATAAAAAATAAATAAATAATGGGCAAAGGACCTGAATAGACATTTCTCAAAAGAAGGCATACAAGGCCAGACACGGTGGCTCACGCTTGTAATCCCAGCACTTTGGGAGGCCGAGGCAGGCAGATCACCTGAGGTCGGGAATTTGAGACCAGCCTGACCAACATGGAGAAATCCTGTCTCTACTAAAAATACAAAATTAGCCGGGCGTGGTGGCGCATGCCTGTAGTCCCAGCTACTCAGGAAGCTAAGGCAGGAGTATTGCTTGAACCCCAGAGGCAGAGGTTGTGGTGAGCTGAGATCACACCATTGCACTCCAGCCTGGGCAACTTGAGTGAAACTGTCTCCAAAAAAAGAAAAAAAAAAAGGTGGGGAGGCCAACAGGTATTATTTTTTAATGCTCAACAGCACTAATCATAAGGTAAATGCAAATTAAAACCTCAATGAGATATCACCCCACACCTATTAGAATGGGTATTATCAAAAAGACAAAAATACCAAGTACTGGCAAGGCTGTGAGGAAGAGGGAACCCTTGCACGCTGTTGGTAGGAATGTAAATTGGTACAACTGTTATGGAAAACAGTTGGGAGGTTCCTCCAAAAACTGAAAATAGAACCACCATACCATCCAACCATCCCATTTCTAAGTATACATCTGAAGACATTGACGTCAGTAAGTCAAAGAGACATCCGCACTTCCATGCTGGTTGCAGCACTATTCATGATAGCCAAGATAGGGAGTCAGCCTGGGTGTCCATCCACAGATGAATGGATAAAGAGAAAGTGGTACAGGCACCCAGTGGAGTATAATTCAGCCTCAACAAATAAAGAAATCCTGTCACTTGCAATAACACAGATGAACCTGGAGGACATTATGCTAATGAAATAAGCCAAGCACAGAAAGACAAATACTACATGATCTCACTTATATATGGAATCTAAACAAAGTTGAACTCATAGAAGCAGAGAATGGTGGTCGCCAGGGATTTGTGGGGCCAAGGGTGTGTGGGAAATGGAGAGTTGTTGGTCAAAGGGTAATAAAATTGAAGAAGGGGGGAAAAAAACAGCAGCTGCTTCCAAATGCCATAAGGTTGTTTATGTCAACACTGGAGACAGAGTCAGCTTCAGAGAGAGGCGGCAACACTTCGCACAGGAAAACCCTGTTTAATTCATGCATCAAACCCTTCTTCTCAAGATCGTGTTACTATGAAAAGTAATGGCAGAAACCACAATTACTTTTGCACCAACCTAATATGCTAGATTTTTGCATAATATAGTGTTGTTTCTCAGGGTAGAGCTTCCAGCTTCTCACTCGTTGTGCTATTCCAGTATGTGGTTCTTGATATATGCATGAATGGGCACTGTATTCACAACATCTGCACGTAGCAACTGAGGAAATTTCCTAATGATGAATAACTGGTATGACTCTTACATTTCCATCTACGCAGGACCAGAGGTAATACGAAAAAAGCATGATACTGATTCTTTTTTTTTTTTCTTTTTTTGAGACAGAGTCTCTCTGTGTCGCCCAGGCTGGAGTGCAGTGGCGCAATCTCGACTCGCTGCAACTTCCACTTCCCAGGTTCAAGCGATTCTCCTGCCTCAGTCTCCCAAGTAGCTGGGACTACAGGCATGTGCCATCATGCCTGGCTAATTTTTGTATTTTTAGTAGAGACGGGGTTTCACCGTGTTGGCCAGGCTGTTCTCAAACTCCTGACCTCAAGTGATCCACCTGCCTCAGGCTCCCAAAGTGCTGGAATTACAGGCGTAAGCCACTGCACTCAGCTGATACTGATTCTTTACACTGAAAACAAACACTAGAATTCTAGAATTGCTCATAGGTATATTTTTATAAATTATTTGCTAAAATTTAAAATATTTTCAAATCTCAAGATAGTATTACTGAATCAAATGGCATTAAAAAATTTTAATATAAAAACTGTTCTCCAATAGTTATAATTTATAGTTTGACTTTAATTTGGAGATACTTTTGAATATCTAAAAGTCACTGAAAGTAGGCAAAATAATTTTAATTTTTAAATACTTTCTCAATGGAAACTTATTCAAATGTTGGGCAACTTGAATAAAATATGTTTTTTAAATCTTTTTTTTTTGAGACAGGGTCTCACTCTGTCACCCGGGCTGGAGTGCAGTGGCACGATCATAGCTCACTGCAGCCTCCAACTCCTGGGCTGAAGTGATCCTCCTACCTCAGCCTCACAAGTAACTGGGACTACAGGCACATGCCACCACAATGGACTAATTTTTAAATTTTTAGGAGGGATGGGGTCTCACTGTGCTGCCCAGGCTGGTTTCAAACTCCTGGGCTCAAATGATCCTCCCGCTGCAGCTTTTCCAACGTGCTGGGATTACAAGCATGGGCCACCACTCCTGGCCCTTCACTGAACTTTTGGATGATAATGGTTTCCATTTCCCCAGCTCATTCCTTATTGCCTTGGAGAATCCTGGATCCCTGGGCTTCTTGTAGAACATCCTTATTTGATGGATCTTCTGGCTGTACATCCACCTGAGCTCCCCATTTCCCTGCATTTTTAAATCCGTTTCTCCATCTATGGCAGCAACTCAAGATCATGGAGGGCATTGTACTTTTCCTCCCTATTAGGGGCAGGATGTGCTTGGCTGAGTCTTCCTGTAGGCTCACCTGACAAGAGGGGCTATCGGGGCAGGTCCTGGATGCATAGGCAACGTTGTTTTGTAGGGGACAACATTATCCCCAAACAAGGAGGGAGTGACTGTTCTTAATAAGGAGAGGTGGGCATGTCTGTAGGCTCTGAAGTTTCAGCAGGCCGGGCGCGGTGGCTCATGCCTGTAATCCCAGCACTTTGGGAGGCTGAGGCAGGTGGATCACGAGGTCAAGAGATGGAGACCATCCTGACCAACATGGTGAGACCCTGTCTCTACTAAAAATATAAAAATTAGCTGGGCGTGGTGGCGTGTGCCTGTATTCCCAGTTACTCGGGAGGCTGAGGCAGGAGAATCACTTGAACCCGGGAGGCAGAGGTTGCAGTGAGCCGAGATTGTGCCACTGCACTCCAGCCTGGGCGACAGAGCAAGACTCTGTCTCAATAAATAAATAAATAAATAAATAAATAAATAAATAAATAAGAGGTGGGCACTTCTTTTTTTTTTTTTTTTTTTTTTTTTTTTTTGAGACGGAGTCTTGCTCTGTCGCCCAGGCTGGAGTGCAGTGGCGCGATCTCGGCTCACTTTAAGCTCCGCCTCCCGGGTTCACGCCATTCTCCTGCCTCAGCCTCCCGAGTAGCTGGGATTACAGGCGCCCACCACCATGCCTGGCTAATTTTTTTTTTGTATTTTTAGTAGAGACGAGGTTTCACCGTGTTAGCCAGGATGGTTTCGATCTCCTGACCTTGTGATCCACCCGCCTTGGCCTCCCAAAGTGCTGGGATTACAGGCGTGAGCCACCGCGCCCGGCGAGGTGGGTACTTCCGGAGGCTAAGAAGGTTCAGCAGAATCTGATAGTTCTAAATATTTGGGGGAATCTTATGTATCAGGGTCCCACATACCCTGACCTAGATACCTTAGACCTGGAGTATTTAAGCCGCTCAGGAGCTCAGCCACGGTAATGTCAAGTCTTGAGCCTGGTCTTCAGCTTTTGGCGCCCTCTTGCCACAGCATGTGAGAACCTTTGTAAGTTCCCTGGGGGGCCCTGGGAATTTCACACACGGCTTTTAATTGTCGGTTCATCACCCACAGCTTCTTAATATATTTTCCTAGGATATCAATGACACTTAGCAATAATTACCTAATTATTTGTTACTGTTTTTTCTCTCTTCTCTTTCATTTCACAGATAATAACTATAAATTCTGGGCAAAATTAAAAGAAAGCAAACAAGAGGAAGAAGAGGGCTGGGTGTGGTGGCTCACACCTGTAATCCCGGCACTTCGGGAGGCTGAGGCAGAAGGATTGCTTAGGACTACAAGTTGGAGACGAGCCTGGGGAATGTAGCAAGACCTCATCTCTGCAAAAATTTTTTTTAAAAAATAGTCAGGTGTTGTGGTGCCTGCCTGTAGTCCTAGCTACTCAGGAGGCTGAGGTGGGAAGATTGCTCCCTCCCACGATCCATGGTTACGGTCAGCTGTGATCGTGCCACTGAACTCCAGCCTGGGCAACACAGAGAGACCTGACTCGAAGGAAGGGAGGAAGGGAGGGAGGGAGGGAGGAAGGGAGGGAGGAAGGGAAGGAGCCTTAAAACCTAGACACTGGAGAAGGAAGAAGGCAAATTCTAGAGAACTTTCAAAAGTTGGAATGAGGGTTAAGGGGTTTTCCTGGTGTATGGCTTTTAGTCATAAGGAAGCTTTAGTTGTTAACAAAAAATCTAAAAGAAAACCACAGTTTTGGCCGGGCGCGGGGGCTCACGCCTGTAGTCCCAGCACTTTGGGAGGCAGAGGCGGGCGGATCACAAGGTCAGGAGATCGAGACCATCCTGGTTAACACAGTGAAACCCCGTCTCTACTAAAAATACAAAAAATTAGCCGGGCGTGGTGGTGGGCGCCTGTAGTCCCAGCTACTCGGGGGGCTAAGGCAGGAGAATGGCGTGAACCCGGGACGCGGAGCTTGCAATGAGCCAAGATTGCGCCACTGCACTCCAGCCTGGGCGACAGAGCGAGACTCCGTCTCAAAAAAAAAAAAAAAAAAAAAAAAAGAAAAAAGAAAACCCACAGTTTTTCTGTTCTTGAGAGCTGAGGACAGGGCTTGTATTCCTGGCTAAGAGAGAATCAAAGGGAAGGGACTTAGAGCACGTAGGAGAGGAGGTGGTGGCCTCAGGGAATCATTGCTTCTCGGGGAGAAAGAGGAAGTAAGATAGGGAGGGGTCCCTTAGAGACTTGGTGGCAAAGGAAAAAAATGAAACGAGAAATGAAAGGTCCACAGAAACAAAAGCAAATCACAAAAACAGAGGCCACGAAAACGCTTCCCCCTACAAAAATAACAGCACTGTTATTTTGTAAAAGTGAACTTTACCAACAGAAGAGAGCATTTTTTTGAACCAAGAAACACAGTCGCCATTCCAAACCTTCACCCATTTGCACACCACTGTCATTGCATTGTTACAAATAAAACAGCAGATCCTAATGCATGCAGGTGACTAGAAGTAAACCGAAGCAAGAAATAAAACATTTCAGCTGGTGGAAAAATATTCCCCCCAAAATTGTCTAGACGGGCCAGGCGCAGTGGCTCACGCCTGTAATCCCAGCACTTTGGGAGGCGGAGGAAGGCAGGCAGATCACCTGAGGTCAGGAGTTTGAGACCAGCCTGGCCAACATGGCGAAACCCGTCTCTACTAAAATTACAAAAATTAGCCGGGTGTTTCCTGTTTACCCAGGAAATTCAAATGGATTTAGGAGCTCTGTGTTAGGATGTTACTATCACCTCCATCACACAGGAAATTATGAGGGTTTTAGGAGCTCTGTGTCAGGAACCAGATCAAAGAACAAATGTTTGAACAAAAGATGCCCCTAGCACCACTATCACTCAGGAAATTACAAGGAGCTCTGTGTCAGAAACCAGAGGCAGAGATCAAATATATATATTTTATTATGCCACACGTGGTGAAGTGTCGTGTTGTCCACAAGTTATCTCAAATGGTAAAGAAAAAAAAGTCTATATGTGTACACACAAATACACAGAAAGATATGTCTCAAAATCTTAATGAGTGTCAAATCTAGGTGAAGGGTATATGGGTGAATTATATTATTCCTACAAATATATTGCAAAAAAGTTCTGTATTGAAATTCTTCCAGGAGACTACAAGCATACCATGAAAAGGATAAACAAAGCCGACTCTTTTTTCTTTGCCAACACTAATTAAATTGACAGCACTCCCAGGTGACAGTAATTGAGAAAGAGACTGAGAGAGAACAAATTACCAATATCAGGAATGAAAAGAGGTACTCCACCTCAGATAATAAAAGGATATTATATTTGCTTTCTGCAGATTTGAAAATGTAGATGAAATGGAAAGATTTGAGATGCAGCTTGGTAACTCCTATTAAAAAAAAAAAAGAAAGAAAACAGCCCGCTGGGATTTTGATTGAAATTTCATTGAATCTATAAATTTATTTAGGGAGAATTGACATCTTTACAATGTCAAGCTTATTATTATTATTTTTTTTAAGACAAAGTCTCACTCTGTTGCCCAGGCTGGAGTGCAGTAGCGTGATCACAGCTCACTGCAGCCTCAACTTCCTGGGCTCAGGTGATTCTCCCACCTCAGCCTCCTGAGTGGCTGAGACTACAGGTGCATGCCACAATGCCTGGCTAACATTTTTTTTTTTTTTTTTTTTTTTTTTTTGTAGAGATGGGGTTTTGCCTGTTGCCCAGGCTGGTCTTGAACTCCTGGGCTCAAGCAATCCTTCCACCTCGGCTTCCCAAAGTGCTGGGATTACAGGCATGAGCCACCATGCCCGGCCTATGTTGAGCTGTTTAATTCATAACCAAGGTATTCATTTATTTAGGTCTCCTGTGATATTTCTCAAAGAGATTGTAGAGTTTTCCTAGAATTCTTGCAACACAATGGTCAGATGTGTTGTAAGGTCCAGAGTTGAGATTTCAGCAAGGGACCCAATAAACAGAAGGTCCCTAGAGCCAAAACACATACTTAGTCAGGAGATTCAGGAGCATGTGTCTCACCAATTAGTCTTTTGAACAACGTGGCTTTGTTTGTTTGTTTTGAGGCAGGGTCTTGCTGTGTTGCCCAGGCTGGGGAGCAGTGGTGCAGTTGTAGCTCACTGCAGACTCAAATTCCTGGGCTCAAGTGATCCTCCCACCCCAGCCTCATGAGTAGCTGGGACCACAGGCACATACCACCATGCCCATCTTATTTTTAAAAAATTGTTTGTATATGTCCTTTTATTTTGTTGAGCAGTGGTTTGTAGTTCTCCTTGAAGACGTCCTTCATATCCCTTGTAAGTTGTATTCCCAAGTATTTTATTCTCTTTGTAGCAATTGTGAATGGGAGTTCACTCATGATTTGGCTGTTTGTCTGTTACTTGTGTATAGGAATGCCTGTGGTTTTTGCACATTGATTTTGTGCCCTGAGACTTTGCTGAAGTTGCTTATCAGCTTAAGGAGATTTGGGGCTGAGGCGATGGGGTTTTCTAAATACACAATCATGTCATCTGCAAACAGGGAGGGTTTGACTTCCTCTTTTCCTAATTGAATACCCTTTATTTCTTTCTCCGGCCTGATTGCCCTGCCAGAACTTCCAACACTATGTTGAATAGGAGTGGTAAGAGAGAGGGCATCCCTGTCTTGTGCCAGTTTTCAAAGGGAATGCTTCCAGTTTTTGCCCATTCAGTATGATATTGGCTGTGGGTTTGTCATAATTAGCTCTTATTATTTTGAGATATGTCCCATCATTACCTAGTTTATTGAGAGTTTTTAGCATGAAGGGCTGTTGAATTTTGTCGAATGCTTTTTCTGCATCTATTGAGATAATCATGTGGTTTTTGTCTTTGGTTCTGTTTATATGATGGATTACGTTTATTGATATATGTGTATGTTGAACCAGCCTTGCATCCCAGGGATGAAGCCAACTTGATCGTGGTGGATAAGCTTTTTGATGTGGTGCTGGATTCGGTTTGCCAGTATTTTATTGAGGATTTTTGCATTGATGTTCATCAGGGATATTGGTCTAAAATTCTTTTTTTGTTGTGTCTCTGCCAGGCTTTGGTATCAGGATGATATTGGATTAAGAAAATGTGGCACATATACACCATGGAATACTATGCAGCCATAAAAAAGGATGAGTTCATGTCCTTTGTAGGGACATGGATGAAGCTAGAAACCATCATTCTGAGCAAACTACTGCAAGGACAGAAAACCAAACACTGCATGTTCTCACTCATAGGTGGGAATTGAATAATGAGAACACTTGGACACAGGGTGGGGAACATCACACACCAGGGCCTGTCATGGGGTGGGGGGAGTGGGGAGGGATAGCATTAGGAGATAAACGTAATGTAAATGACAAATTAACAGGTGAAGCACACCAACATGGCACATGTACACATATGTAACAAACCTGCACATTGTGCACATGTACCCTAGAACTTAAAGTATATTTAAAAAAATTGTTTGTAGAGATGAAGGTCTCACTATGTTGCCCAGGCTGGTCCTGAACACCTGGCTTCAATTGGGAATACAGGCATGAGCCACCACTCCTGGCCCAACATGGTTATTATCTGCATGTCTAAGGCAGAGTACACGTGGGACCAGATGGGATCATAAAGTGTTCCAAAGGTTAACCAATTTAGGGGTATTATAGCTGTCATCATAGAAGTAGCATGATCCATACTACATTTATAGCCTATCTGTGAAAGGCAAAACCTTGAAGCCTTTAGAATACAAATAGGATAGAGTTTTCTTAACCTTGGTACTATTGACATTTTCGGCCAGATAATCCTTTTTTTGTGGAAGGCTCTCATGTGCATTGTAGGATGGTTTAGCAGCATAAGTGGCCACTAGATGTCGATCTGTTACTCTAGATGTCTGTAACAACCAGTTTTGACAACCAAAAATGTTTCCAGACATTGCTAAATGTATCCTGGGGCAAAAGTTACCCCTAGTTGAGAACTGCTGATAAACAAGAATATCTTCACGATTTCAGTGTAGGAGGAAAATATTTAAATATGTCACAGATAACCATAAAGGAAAAGGTTGATAAAGTTGATAATATTGAAATTAATAATTTCTTTCTGCAATAGATATAAAAAGAATAATAGATCGTGACCAAATAGAGCTTGTCTCTAGAATGCAAAGCTTGATCAACATTTAAAATAAATCAATGTCACTTATCAAATCAACTGACTTAAGAAGGAAAATCACATTGTCATCTCAATAGATTTAAAAAAATTTGATGAAATGCATCACCCATTCATGATAAAAATTCCCTATGGACTAGGAATAGAAGGCAACCTTCTCAATATAAGTTTTCTACAAAGAAACAAATTAAAAAACAAACATTTCACAATTAACCTCACACTTAATGGTGAAAATAGAATAGTTTTCCCTTCAGATGAGGAACAAATCAAAGATAGCCACTCTTACTACTTCTATTTAACACTGCACTGGAGGTTCTAGCCAGAACAAAAAGGCAAGAAAAAAAGAAAATCATATAGATTGAAAAAGAAGAAATAAATCTTTATTGACATGTCCACATGATTATGTAGAATATTTCAAAACATGAATCTGCAAAATATGCTATTAAAACTAAAAGTGAGTTTAGCAAAGTTATGGGATACAAGATCAATATACAAGAATCTGGTTATTTCTATATACTAGCAATGAACAATCAGAAATAAAATTTTTTTAAAACATCATTTGAAAAGGAAATACAAAATAGTAAGAAAACAACAAAATAGCAATAATAAGTCCTTACTTATCAATAATTACTTTAAATGTAAATAGATTAAACTCTCCAATCAAAAGACAGCATGTCTGAATGGATAAATAAAAACAAGATCCAACAATATACTGCCTATGGGAAACTCACTTTAGGCTTAAGGACACACATAGGCTGAAAATGATGGGATGCAAAAAAAATTCCAAACAAATAGTAACAAAAAGAGAGCAGGGTGGTTATACTTACATTAGACAAAATAGACCTTCAGTCAAAATCTGTTACAAGAGGCAAAGAAGGGCACTATATAATGGAAAAGGGGTCAGTTCATCAAGAAGATATAACAATTGTAAATATGTATGCACCTAACATTGTAGCAACTGAAGCAAATATTTAAAGAAAATATTAACACAGCTGAAGAGAGAAACAGCAACATAATGGTAGAGAACTTTGCAACTCCACTTCCAACAACAGATCAATCATTTAGATGGAAAATCAATAAGGAAACAGTAGGCTTGAATAACACTATAGACCAAATGAAACTTACAGACATAGCATTCTGCCCAACAGCAGCAGAATATACATTCTTCTCAAGTGCACACATTCTCCAGGATAGATCATATGTTTGGGACACAAAAGAAGTTGTACAGATTTAAGAAGACTGAAATCATTTCAAGTATCTTTTGTGACTACAGTGATATAAAACTAGAAATCAATAATAAGAATAATTTTGGAAAATTTACAAGTTTGTAGAAATTAAACACCACACTCCTGAATGACCAGTGAATCAAAAAATAAATCAAAATTGAAATTAAAAAGTACCGAGATAGAAAAAAATGGAAACACAACATACTAAAACTTATGAGATGCAGCAAAGGCTGTTCTAAGACAGAAGTTTAGAGCAATAAATGCCTACATTTAGAAAAAAAGAAAAATATCAAAATAAACAGCTTAACTTCCCACCTCAAAGAACAAGAAAAAGAAAAACAAACTAAGCTCAAATTCAGCAGATGTAAGGAAATAATAAATATTAGAGCAGAAATAAATCAGAGACTAGAAAAAAAATAGAAAAGGTCAACAAAACTAAGAGTTGGTTTTTTGAAAAGATAAAAAAAGTGACAAAACTTTAGCTAGACTAACCAAGAGAAAAAGGCATAGGACTTGAATAAATAAAATTTAAATGAAAGAGGAGTTATTACACATGATGGCACAGGAATATGAAGGATCCTGAGACTGCGATGAACAACGATATGCCAGCAAATTGGATAACCTAGAAGAAATGGATAAATTCCTAGAAACATACAATCTTACTTATCCATAATTACTTTAAATGTAAATGGATTTAACTCTACCAAGAGTAAATCATGAAGAAATAGAAAATTTGAACAATAATGAATAAAGAGATTGAACCCATAATCAAAAACCTCCCAGGACAAGACGGCTTCACTAGAGAATTCTACCAAACATTTAACGAAGAATTAATCCCAATCCTCCTCACTCTTGCAAAAAATTGAAGTGGAAGAAACACCTTCAACTTCATTTTATGAGGCCAGTGTTACCCTGATACCAAAGTCAGACAAGAACAATAAAAGAAAATAAAATTATAGGCCAATATCCCTGATGAACATAGATGCAAATATCCTCAAGAAAATACCAGTAAATTGAATCCAACAGCCTGCCAAAAAGATCATTCACCATAATCAATTACAATTTATTCCTGGGAAATGCAAGGATGTTTCCACATATGCAAATCTATAAATGTGATATGCCATATTAACAGAATGAAAGACAAAAACAATATGATCATCTCAAAAGATGAAGAAACAGAATTTGATAAAATTCAACATCCTTTCATGACAAGAACTCTTAACAAATTAAGCATAGGAGAAATGTACCTCAAATAAAGTTCATATATGACAAGCCCACAGCTAACATTATCAACAGTGAAAAGTTAAAAGCTTTTCTTATCATATCAGGGACAAGGGTGCCATATCTCACCACTTCCACTCGACATAGTACTGGAAGTCTTAGCTAGAGCAATCTGTAAGAAAAAGAAATAAAAGCCACCCAAATTGGAAAAAAAGAAGTCAAATTTTCTCTAAATAAATATATATATATGTTTCTTGGGAAATATATATATTCTTTGGAAATATATATATTTTATATATGTATATATTATATATATGTTTATATGTATTCATATATATGTATATTCTTTGGAAATATATTTCCAAATAAATTGTTGGATAACCTAGAAGAAATAGATAAATTCCTAGAAACATACAACCTACCAAGATTAAATTGTGAAGAAACAGAAAATGTGAACCAATAATGAACGAAGAGGTTTAACCCATAATCAAAAACTTCCCAGGACAAGATGGCATCATTAGAGAATTCTACCAAATATTTAAAGAATTAATGCCAATCCTCTTCACTCTTGTACCTATAAACCACACCATACCAAGTAGTATTCCCTGTTGTGTATATATATATGGGTACATGCACTTGTATGTTTATCACAGCAGTATCCATAATAGCAAAGTCATGGAAGCAACCTAAGTGTTCATCAACACAGGACTGGATAAAGAATATATATGTATTTCTCTGATGATTATGATTTTGAACATTTTTTCACATTTGTTGGCTACATGCATGTCTTCTTTTGAAAAAAAATATATATACTCAGCCATAAAAAAGAATAAAATCAAGACTTTTGCAGCAACATTGGCCTAACTGAAATGACTTAGAAAGTCAAATACTCCATGCTCTCACTTATCAGTGGGAGCTAAACAATGGGTACATATGGACACACAGAGGGAAGAATCGACATTGGAGACTCCAAAGAATGGGAAAATGGGAGAGGAGTGTGGCTTGAAAACCTACCTATTGGGTGCAATGCTCACAACTTGGGTGATGGGTGCACTGAAAGCCTAGACTTCATTGCTACACAATAATGCATGTAAGAAAGTTGCATGCACTTGTCCCCCTAAAAATTAAAATTAAAAATTAAAGAAAATAAAATCAGTTAGGTTTCTCTACACTAACAATGAACTGTCCAAAAAAGAAATTTAAAAAAAAATCCCATTTACAATAGCATGAAAAAGAAGAAAACACTTAGAAATAAATTTAACCTAGAGGGTAAAAGATCTATACACTGAAAACTATAAAACATTGATGAAAGAAATGAAATATGCAAACCAGTGAAAAGATATCTTGTGTGTGTGGATTGGAAGAACTAATACTATCAAGGCTGGGTGTAGTGGCTCACACCTGTAATCCCAGCACTATGGGAGGCTGAGGCGGGCAGATCACCTGAGGTCAGGAGTTTAAGACCAGCCTGCCAACATGGTGAAACCTCATCTCTACTAAAAATATAAAAAATAGCTGGGCGTGGTGGCTCATGCCTTTAGTCCCAGCTACTCGGGAGGCAGAGGTGGGAGAATCGCTTTAACTTGGGAGGCAGAGGCTGCAGTGAGCTGAGTTTGTGCCACTGCACTCCAGTCTGGATGACAGAGCAAGACTCTGTCTCAAAAAACAAAACAAAACAAACAAAAAAAACCTAATACTGTCAAAATGTTAATACTACCCAAAGCAATATACAGTTTCTTTTTTTTTTTTTAAGATGGAGTCTTGCTCTGTTGCCCAGGCTGGAGTGCAACGGAGCAATCTCTGCTCACTGCAAGCTCTGCCTCCCGGGTTCATGCCACTCTCCTGCCTAAGCCTCCTGAGTAGCTGGGACTACAGGCACCCACCACCACACCTGGCTAATTTTTTTGTATTTTTAGTAGAGACGGGGTTTCACCATGTTAGACAGGATGGTCTTGATCTCCTGACCTTGTGATCCGCCTGCCTCAGCCTCCCAAAGTGCTGGGATTACAGGCTTGAGCCACCACGCCCGGCTGCAATATACAGTTTCAATGCAATCCTTATTAAAATTCGAATGTCATTTTTTATCAAAGATAGAAAAAACAATTCTAGAAAATATATGGAACCACAGTAGACCCCAAGTAGTCAAAGCAAACTTGAGAAAGAAGAACAAAGCTGGAGATATCACATGCTCTGATTTCAAACTATATTATAAAGCTATACTAATCAAAACAGTACGGTATTTGCATAAAAACACATGCATAGACCAATGGACCACAAGAGAGATGGCTGGACATGGTGGCTCATGCCTGTAATCCCAGCACTTTGGGAGGCTGAGGAGAGTGGATCATTTGAGTGCAGGAGTTTGAGACCAGCCTGGGTAACATGGCAAAATCCCATCTCTACAAAGAAAATTCAAAAATTAGCTGGAAGTGGTGGTGCATGCCTATAGTCCCAGCAACTCAGGAGGCTGAGGTGGAGGGATTGCTTAAACCCAGGAGGTGGAGGTTGCAGTGAGTTAAGATTGTAGCACCACTGCACTCCAGCCTGGGTGACAGACAGACGGAGACCCTGTCTCAAAAGGGGGGTGGGAGAGAGAGAGAGACCGACCAGAAATAAATCCACATGTATGTGGTCAAGTAACCTTTGGGAAAGGTGCCAAGATATTCAATGGGGAAAGGATAGTCTCTTTTATAAATGGTATTGGAAAAACTCGATATTCACATGCAAAAGGATGAAACTGGATCACTGTCTTACACCATACACAAAAATTAACTCTAAATTGATTAAAGACTTAAACGTAAGACTTGAAACTGTAAAACTCCTAGAAGAAAACATAGGAAAAAAACTTCTTGACATTAGCCTTGGCAAGGATTGTTTTGGATTAGATACCAAAAGCATAGGCAGCAAAAGCAAAAATAGACAAATGGGACTGCATGAAACTAAAAAGCTTCCACACAGCAAAGGAAGCAGTCAACCAAATGAAAAGGCAATCTGTGGAATAAGAGACAGTTTTTGCAAACCACACATCTGATAAGGGATTAATATCCAAAATATATTAATATAAGGAACTCATACAACTCAATAGGAAAAAACTGAATAACCTGATCCAAAAATGGGCAAAAGGCCTAAATATACATTTTTCCAAAAGAGCCATCTGAATATCCAGCAGGTGTATGAAAAGTTTCTTAACACCGTTAATCATCAGGGAAATGCAAATCAAAACCACAGTGAAATAACACCTCACAGCTATTAGGATGGCTATTATTGGCTGGGCGCGGTGGCTCATGCCTGTAATCCCAGCACTTTGGGAGGCTGAGGCGGGTGGATCACCTGAGTTCAGGGGTTCGAGACCAGCCTGGCCAACATGATGAAACCCCGTCTCTACCAAAAATAGAAAAAATTAGCCGGGCATGATGGTGGGTGCCTGTAATCCCAGCTACTAGGGAGGCTGAGGCAGGAGAATCACTTGAACCTGGGAGGCAGAGGTTGCAGTGAGCTGAGATCGCATCACTGCACTCCAGCCTGGGCAACAGAGCAAGACTTCATCTCAACAAAAAAAAAAAAAAGGATGACTATTACCAAAAAGGCAAGAGATAACAAGCATCTCTTGGGGTGAGAGGTGTGGAGAAAAGGGTACCCTTGTAAATTAGTGCAGCCATCATGGAAAACAGTATGGAAATTCCTCCAAAAATTAAATATAAGAACTACCATATGATCCAGCAACCCCACTTCAGGATATATATCCAAAGGAAACGAAGTCAGTATCTAGAAGAGATATTTGAACTATGTTCATTACTGCATTATTCACCATTGCCAAGATATGGAAACTACCTAAGTGTCTATCAGTGGGTGAATGGATAAAGAAAATGTGACTCATATACACAATGGAATAGTATTCAGCCTTAAAAAAGGAAATACTGACATTTGCAACATGGGTAAACCTAGAGACATTAAGCCAGACACAGTAAAACAAATATTGCATGATCTTACTTATCTGTGGAATCTAAAAAAGTGGAACTTATAGAAGGAGAGAGTAGAATGGTGGTTCCTAGGGTCTGGGGGTGGGGAAATGGGGAGATATTGTTCAAAAGGTACAAGCTTTCAGTTACAAGATAAATAAGTTCTGGGGGTCTAATATACAACATAATGACTATAGTTCATTATACTGTGTTTTTAAAAATTTGATAAGAGAGATTTTAACTGTTCTTTCCCTCTCTGCCCCATTAATGGCAACTATGGATGGGGATGGATGTATTAATTTGATTGTGGTATTCATTATGCAACATATACATATATCAAATCATCACATCGTACATCTTCACTATATACAGTTTTATTTGTCAAGTATATCTCAAAATATCTGGAAAATAAAAGTACCTTTTGCAATAGCATCAAAAAAGAAAAAAAGGTGCAAACTTTGTATAAAAATTACAAAATGCTGGCGAAAGAAATCAGAGAGACCTATCTGCGGAGATATCCTATGTTCATGGATTTGAAGAGTCAATATGAAGATGCCAATTCCCCCCAAACAGATCTATAGATCCAATGCAATTCCAATCAACATTCCAGAAGACATTTTTTGCAGGAATTGAGAAACAAATTCTATGATTTAAAGGGCAAGGCAAAGGACTCAGAATAGTCAAGGAAATTCAAAAACTAAAACAGTTGGGAAGATTCATGCTACCTGATCCCAGGAGTTACTCTAAAGCTACAGGAATCAAGACTGTACAATGGTGAAAAGATAGACACATGGACCAATGGGACAGAACAGAGTCCAGAAATAGACTCACATATAGTGAATTGATTTTTCTTTCTTTTATTTTTATTATACTTTAAGTTCTAGGGTGTGAATTGATTTTTGACAAAGGTCAAAAGGCAATTCAGTAGAGACAGGATTTCTTAGATTCAACACTAACAGCACAATCCATAAGTAATGAATTAGTAAATAATACTTTATTAAGAAAACCAAACTTCTGCTTTTTGAAAGACACTATTAAGAGTCTAAAAAGACAAGCCATATACAGGAGAAAATTTTCCAAAACGTATAGCCAATGAAGGGTGCATCCAGAACATATAAAGAAGTCCCAAAATTCAAAAATAAGAAAACGAAAATTCAACTAAAAAGTGGAATAAATATTTGAACAGTAATTTCAAATCATATATATATATATATATATATGTCTAGCAAAGAAGGACACTAGTCATTAGGAAAATGTAAATTATAATGACAATCACTATGTATGCCAAGTGCTGGTGAGGGTGTGGAGCAACTGGCTCTTTCTTATGCTGCTGTGGGAATGTAAAAGGGTTCAGCCATTCTGGAAACAGTTTGGCCATTTCTTAGAAAATTAAGCATGCACTCACCATATAATCTAGCCATTCCACTCCTTAAAGGAAAATTTAAGGCTGCACAAAAGTCTTAAACAAGTGTTTATAGAGGCTTTATCCAAAATCAACAAAAAGCCTGGAAAGCAACACAAATGCCCTTCAACAGGTGAGTGGACAAACTGTGGTGCGTCCCAAAGAATGGAGTATTACTCAGCAATGAAGACTGGATGATTGACACATGCAGCATTGATAAATCTCAAATGCATGATGCTAAGTGAAGGAAGCCAGACTCAAAAGGCTTCAAACAGTACGTGTCCATTTATATGGAATCCTGGAAAGGGCAAAAGTTTCCTTGACAGAAACAAATCAGTAGTTGCTCGGGGCTGTGGATCAGGAGTGGTGGCTACAAAGGAGTGACAACAGGGAATTTTGGAGTGTGGTGCAATTCTGTGTTTCGATTGTGGTGGTGGTTATGCCATTAGGTGTATTTGTCAAAACCCACAGACTTGTTTACTAAAAAAGGTGAATTTTAGCAGAAAAATTAAAAATCAACTCCTGTTCATTAAAAGACACTGTAATGACAGGACAAGCCATAAAGATCTCTGCTCTATATAACCAACAAAGAAGAGATATCCAGAATACATAAAAGGTTTTATGAGTTAAAAACTGAAGAGCAAAATTGGCAAAAACTTGAACAATCACCCTACGGAGAGAGATAGAAACATCCATTAAATATGAAACGGTGCAAAATCACCTCAAAATGGCTTACAAACTTAAATGTAAGACCTGAAACTGTAAAACTCCTAGAAAAAAAAAAACAGGGGAAATGCTCCAAGACATTGATTTGGGCAAGGATTTCTTGGAAATGATCCCAAAAACGCAAGTAACAAAAGCAAAAATAAACAAATGGAATTGCATTAAACGAAAAAGCATCCGCAGAGCAAAGAAAACAAGTAACAGAGTGAAAAAACAACCACAACCACAGACGGGGAGAAAATATTTGCAAACCTCACATCTGATAAAAAAATTAACACCCCCAAATACATCAAGGGCTCAAAGGACTCAACAGCAAAAAACCAAAGAACTCAATTTAAAAATGGGTAAAGGGCCCAAATAGACATTGTCCTGTAATCCCAGCACTTTTGGAGGCTGAGGCAGGCAGATAACTCGAGGTCAGGAGTTCTAGACCAGCCTGGTCAACATGGTGAAACCCTGTCTCCCCAAAAAATACAAAAATTAGCTGGGTTTGGTGGTGGGCACCTGTAATCCCAGCTACTTGGGAGGCTGAGGCAGAATTGCTTGAACCCAGGAGAGGCGGAGGTTGCTGTGAGCTGAGATCATGCCACTGCACTCCAGCCTGGGTGATGGAGTGACACTTCATTTCAAAAGAAAACAACAACAAAAAGGAAAATACAGTATACTTACTCCTGCAAGAATGGCCATTATCAAAAAATCAAAAAATAATAGATGTTGGTGTGGATGCAGTGAAAAGGGAGCACCTCTACACTGCTGGTGGGAATGTAAACTAGTACAACCACCATGGAAAACAGTGTGGAGATTCCTTAAAGAACTAAAAGTAGAACTACCATTCGATCCAGCAATCCCACTACTGGGTATCTACCCAAAGGAAAAGAAGTCATTTTGAGAGGTGAAGCCTGCTGGGTGGGGACTTGGAGAACTTTTCTGTCTAGCTTAAGGATTGTAAACACACCAATCAGTGTTCTGTGTCTAGCTAAAGGTTTGTAAACGCACCAATCAGCACTCTGTAAAAACACACCAATCAGCGCTCTGTGTCTAGCTAAATGTTTGTAAATGCACCAATCAGCACTCTGTAAAAACGCACCAATCAGTGCTCTGTGTCTAAAGGTTTGTAAACACACCAGTCAGCACTCTGTAAAAAACACACCAATCAGCACTCTGTAAAAACGGACCAATCAGCACTCTGTAAAATGGACCAATCAGCAGGACGTGGGCAGGGCCAAATAAAGGACTAAAAGTTGGCCACCCAAGCCAGCAGCAGCAACCTGCTCAGGTCCCCTTCCATGCTGTGGAAGCTTTGTTCTTTTGCTCTTCACAATAAATCGTGCTGCTGCTCACTCTTTGGGTCCACACTACCTTTATGAGCTGTAACACTCACCAAGAGGGTCTGTGGCTTCATTCCTGAAGTCAGCCAGACCACGAACCACCGGGGAGGAAAAAACCACTCCGGATGTGCCACCTTTAAGAGCTGTAACACTCACTGCGAGGGTCTGCAGCTTCACTCCTGAAGTCAAGCGAGACCACAGAACCACTGGAAGGAAGAAACTCTGGACACATCTGAACATCTGAAGGAACAAACTTTGGACACACCATCTTTATGAACTGTAACACTCACCGCAAGGGTCCGCAGCTTCATTCTTGAAGTCAGTGAGATCAAGAACCCCCTGGAAGGAACAAATTCCGAACACAATTTTACTAAAAAGATACCTGCACATGCATGTGTATAGCAGCACAATTCACAATTGCAAAAACGCAGAACCAGCCCAAATGCTCATCAGTCAGTGAATGGATAAAGAAACTGTGGTGCGTGTGTGTGTGTGTGTGTGTGTGTGTGTGTGTGTGTGTATACGTACAATGGAATACTACTCAGCCATAAAAAGGAATAAATTAATGGCATTCACAGCAATCTGGATGAGATTGGAGACTATTATTCTAAGTGAAATAATTCAGGAATGGAAAACCAAACAGCATATATTCTCACTCATAAGTGGGGGCTAAGCTATGAGGATGCAAAGGCATAAGAATAACCTGATGGATTTTGAGACCTCGGTGGGAAAGGGTGGGAATGGGGTGAGGGATAAAAGACTACAAATTGGGTTCAGTGTACGCTGCTTGGGTGATGGGTGAACCAAAATCTCACAAATCACCACCAAAGAACTTACTCATGTAACTAAATACCACCTGTTTCCCAATAACCTATGGAAATAATTTTTTTAATGGTATATATACACAGTGGAATACCATTCAGCCTTTAAAAAGAAGGAAATTCTGTCATTTGTAACAACATGGATAAACCTGAAAAACTTACTAAATGCAATAAGCCAGGCACAGAAAGACAAACATTGCATGTTCTCACTTATATGTGGAATCTCAGAAAGTCAAATTCATAGAGGTAGAGAGTAAAATGGTAGTTATCAGAGACTGGGAATAGGGGTGGATGGTGTCTTAGTGCATTTTGGTTTGCTATAAAGGAATACCTGAGGGTGCGTCATTTATAAAGAAAAGAGGTTTATTTGGCTCACAGTTCTGCAGGCTGTACAAGAAGCATGGAGCCAACATCTGCTTCTGGTGAGGACCTCAGGAAGCTTCCACTCACTGTGGAAGGCAAAGTGAAGCTGGCACCACATTGCAAGAGAGAGAGCAAGAGAGAGGAGAGGAGGTGCTAAGCTCTTCTAAACAACCAGCTCTTGTATGAACTAACAAATGAGAACTCACTCATTACCATGTAGATGAGACCAAACCATTCATGAGGGATCTGTCCCTGTGACCCAAACACCTCCCACCAGGCCCCACCTCCAACACTGGGGACCACATTTCAACATGAGATTTGGAGGGGACAAACATCCAAACAATATCAGATGGGGAAAAGGGAGATGTTGATCAAAGGATACAAAATTTCAGTTAGACAAGAGGAGGATGCTTTAGTGGCCTATTTGCACCACATTGTGGCTGTAATAAATAATAATGCACTGTGTATTTCCAAAGACATGAAATGGCACAAGCCTCATTAGTCAACAGAAAAATGTACAACCACCCAACAGACAAATTAAAACATCTGACAATATCAAGAAATTGGGCCAGATGCAGTGGCTCATGCCTGTAATCCCAGCACTTTGGGAGGCTGAGGCAGGCAGATCACTTGACGTCAGGTATTCGAGACCAGCCTGGCCAACATGATGAAACCCTGTCTCTACTAAAAATACAAAAATTAGCCGGGCATGGTGGTGCACACCTTTAATCACAGCTACTCGGGAGGCTGAGGCAGGAGAATCACGTGAATCTGGGAGGTGGAGGTTGCAGTGAGCTGAGATCGCACCACTGCACTCCAGCCTGGGAAACAGAGTGAGACCCTGTCTCGAAAAAAGGAATTTCAAAAATAGGTGACATAAAACCAGACTTTTCTAGAGATAAGCACAGAGGTGATGAACTACAAAGAGAAACAAGCGCTGTAGAAAGCATGGTCTCTCGTGGAGCAGTGGAGGGCTTAAAGTTGGGAGGGTGATGTGTGGGGCTGCCAAGATGCCAGCTGTGGTCTTTTACTTGACTTTAACGGTGGTTACCTAAGTGTCTGTTTTACAGCCCTACGTATGTTTTTTTGCATGCAACAACAAAAAAAATTCAAGTCATGTCATCCCTCTGCTCAAAACCTTCCAGAGATTCCCTCTCAGCTAGAAGGCAAAGCTCTTCAGACCCTGTGACCTGCACTGTCCACCCCTGACTTTTTCACTCGCACAGATCCAGCTGCATTGGCCTCCAGACATGCTCCTACCTCAGGGCCTTTGCATGTGCTGTTCTCTCTGCCGGACCAGTCCTACCCTCAGACATTTTCACAGATCTCTCTGCTTCATTATTTCAGATCTTTACTAAAAACATGTCCTCCTTAGTGGGGACTTCCTTGGCCACCTGACATGGTTTGGATGTTTTGTCCCCTCCAAATCTCATGTTGAAATGTGACCCCCAGTGTTGGAGGTGGGGCCTGGTGGGAGGTGTTGGGATTGTGGGGGTGGATCCCTCATGAATGGCTTGGTGCCCTCCACATGAAAATGAGTGGGTTCTCACTCTATGAGTTCACGAGAGAGCTGGTTGTTTAAAAAGTCTGGGCTGGGCACGGAGGCTCACGCCTGCAATCCCAGCACTTTGGGAGGCTGAGGCAGGTGGATCACATGAGGTCAGGAGTTCGAGACCAGCCTAACCAACATGGTGAAACCCTGTCTCTACTAAAAATACAAAAATTAGCCAGGTGTGGTAGAGTGTACCTGTAATCCCAGCTCCTTGGGAGGTTGTGGCAGGAGAATCGCTTGAACCGGGGAGGCAGAGGCTGCAGTGAGCTGAGATCATGTCACTGCACTCCAGCTGGGCAACAAGAATGAAACTCCATTTCAAAAAAAAAAAGAGTCTGGAATCCCCTCCTCTCTCTCTTGCCATGTGACACACCTGCTCCCCTTTTGCCTTCCACCGTGAGTAAAAACTTCCTCCCCAGAAACTCAGCAGGTGCTGGCACCATGTTTGTACAGTCTGCAGACCCACGAGCCAAATAAACCTTTTCTTTATAAGTTACCCAGTCTCAGGTATTCCTTTATAGCAATGCAAAATAGACTAATACACCACCCTAACTAAATGGTCTGCTCCTTCCCCCAAACGCACAGAACACACAGCCACTTCCTTTCTCTTTCCCTGCTGTCTCTTCCCTTTGGCACAATTACCACTTAGTGTACTACGTATTTTGTCTAACAACATCTTGTTCATTGACTGATTTTCCTCTCTAAATCTAAGCTCTACAAGGACAGAAGTTTTGCCTCCCCCCTCCCACTGTTTTGTCCTCAACACTTACAACAGTGCCTGGCACATAATAGGTGCTCAGAAAAAAATGGTCAAATTCATCATCGTAAGGATGATTTTGATCTGATATGTGAAACTCCTTTCCTCTCCTCAATAATTTTTTTTTGATTGGGTCTTGATCTGTCACCCAGACTGGAGTGCAGTGGCACAATCTCAGCTCACTGCAACCTCCACCTTCCAGATTCAAGCAATTCTCTTGCCTCAGCCTCCCAAGTAGCTGAGATTACAGGCACGCACCACCACATGTGGCTAATTTTTGTATTTTTTGTAGAGACAGGATTCAACATGTTGCCAGGCTGGTCTTGAATTCCTGGGCTCAAGCAATCCTCCCGCCTCAGCCACTCAAAGTGCTGGGATTGCAGGCATGAGCCTCCACACCCAGCCTCAATAAGAAGTTTTGAAATGAAATTTACATAACATAAATGAACCATTTGAAAGTGTACAGTTCAGTGACATTCAGTACATTCACAACTTTGTGCAGCCACCACCTCTATGATTCCAAAATATTTCATCACCCTAAAAGGGGACCCTGTCCCCATTAAGCAGTCACTGCAAATCTCCTCTCTCCAGCCCCCAGCAACCATTAATCTGCTTTGCATCTATATGGGTTTGCCAATTCTGGATATTTCATATAAATATTATACATTTCACAGATGATATGTGACCTTCTTGTCTGGCTTATTTCACTTAGCATGTTTTTCTTTTTCTCTCTTTTTAAAAATAATTTCAACTGTTATTTTAAATTCAGAGGGTGCATGTGTAAGTTTGTTGCCTGGGTATATTGCACGATGTTGACGTTGGGGGTATGAATGATCCCATCACTCAGGTAGTGAGCATGGTACCCAATAGGTAGTTTTTCAATACTTGCCCCCATCTTCCTTCCACCCTCTAGTAATCCCCAGTGTCTATGGTTGCCATCTTTATGTCCATGTGAACCCAATGTTTATATCCCACTTACAAGTAAGAACATGTGCTATTTGGTTTTCTGCTCCTGCATTAATTCACTTAGGTTGATGGTCTCCAGGTGCACCCATGTTGCTGCCAAGAACATGATTTCATTCTTTTTCATGGCTGCATAGTATTCCATGGTGTTCCATGAATCTATATACCATATTCATTGTGGTATATATATATATGTATGTATGTGTATATATGTGTGTATGTATACATACAGATACACATATATACATGCGTATATACATATATACATATGTATCTGTATGTGTATATATATACACATACACATATACACACACGTATATATCTGCATATGTACACATGTATATACACACATATACACATATACATATATACATGCATATATACACATATGTATATCTGTATTTATATATACACATAGGCACACACATGTGTATATCTGTATATATACCTGTGTGTATATACACACACACACCATGGTATACTATGCAAAAAGAATGAAATCATGGTGTGTATATATCACATTTTCTTTATCCAGTCTACCATTGATGGGCACTTAAGTTGATTCCATGTCTTTGCTATTGTGAATAGTGTCACTTAGCATGTTTTCAAGGTTCATCCACATTGTAGCACATATCAACACTCCATTCCTTTTTATGGCTTGACTAATAACAACTGTGTGTATAAAGCACATTTTGTTTATCCATTATTCAGCTGCTGGGCAGACATGTGGTTGCTTCCAACTTTTGGCTGTTGTGGAAAACATGGCTATGAACATTCATGTACAAACATTTCTCTGAATACTTGTTTTCAATTCTTTTGGGGGAATCTCTTTTTTTTTTTTTTTTTTTTGAGATGGAGTCTTACTCTGTTGCCCAGGATGGAGTACAGTGGTGTGATCTCGGCTCACTGCAACCTCTGCATCCTGGGTTCAAGCGTTTCTCCTGCCTCAGCCTCCTGAGCAGCTGGGATTACAGGTGCTCACCACTGCACCCAGCTAGTTTTTGTATTTTTTTAGTGGAGATGGGTTTCACCACGTTGGCCAGGTTGATCTTGGACTCCTGACCTCAGGTGATCTGCCCGCCTCGGCCTCCCAAAGCCCTGGGATTACAGGTGTGAGCCAGCTCACCTGGCCAAAGGCATCTCTTCTTAATACTGATGTCAGGAGCCTGCACCAGCTCCTTAACAAACACTTCACTAGGAGTTAGCATTATGTGGCTGAGGGATGTGGGAGTCAACTAGCATTGGCCTCAAATTCCAGCTCCGTGCTTATAACTTGTTCTCTGAGCCTGCCATTCCTCGGCTGTCCAGTGCAAAGAGGAAAGCTGTAAGGATTAGGGTTCCTGAACACAAAGTGTCTGCAGCATTTACCCTGTGTGTGTGTGTGTGTGTGTGTGTGTGTGTGTATTTCTGTGTATGTTTTAGAGAGACAAGGTCTTGTTCTGTTGCCCAGACTGGAGTGAGTACAGTGGCGTAGCTCACTGCAGCCTCGAATTCCTGGGCTGAGGCAATCCTCTGGTTTCAGCCTCCCAAGTAGCTGGAATTCTAGGCACCTGACACCATGCTAGACAATTTTTAAAATTTTTGTGTAGAGACGGGGTCTCCCTACATGGCCCAGGCTAGTCTCAAACTCATGGCCTCAAGCAATCCTCCTGCCTCGGCCTCCCAAAGCGCTGGGATTACAAGCATGAGCCACCACGCTCAGCCGAATTTTTCCTTCTATTATTATAATTTGAAGGAGGATGATCTAATAGAAACCTTCCCTGACCTGAGCTGACACCGGTGATGTACCCCTGGATAAAGCATCTCTGGACCCATTTGCACAACTAGGACCTCAGCCCTACATCCTCATCTCAGCGCAGTTGGGATCTGAGAACATATGTAAGGGTTAGCGTGGCTGAGGCACCCCCGCAACCAAGGCTTGGGCGATGGTGTGATTGCAGGGAAGCGCCTTTGCAGAGGAACCGTCCGGGCTTCCTGCTATTGCACGGTCTGGACACCAGAGGGAGCCATGAGAACAGATTTTTAGCAGGACCCGCTGTGTGCGCTCCCGCGCAAGCCTGTTTGGATGGGAACGTGGTTTTGGGCAACCCCTGTGCAAAACCGCTGCCTCTGTTCAGGGGCATCCCTCCAGAAATGAGTGGCTTAGCTCTGAAGGTGACGATGCATGTGGGCTAGCTCTCCAGAAATCAGGCCGACTTGCTATAAACGCCCCATTCCGTCCAGCTCAATGAATGGCCTTCCTTCTTTTCTCTCCCCATTCCCTTCCTTCTCGTTCTCCCTCCTTTCCTTCCTCTGTTTTTCCTTCCTAATGTGGACAGTTGCTGCTCTCATTCGTCTGCTTCCTCTAAGCTTGCATGGTTGGCATGCACATGTTTCTTACAGTAGAGTCATTCTGAAATGCGCCTTAAACTCTTGCGAGTTCATTTCCTATTGCCATCCACAGAAACCCCAAGTTGCTACATCCGTTTGCACTCAGAGGAAGCATTCCAGGCAGTGGAGTGTTCCTAGCGACCAGCGCGGGGCTCCTCCATGGTTTCTCATTAGGGGTCGTCTCGGGCTTAGCAGGCTCACTTGCAATATGGGGGTGAATTGTGCAGAAATGCATGGGCTGTTCAAGTTGACGGGGTGGGAGTGTTTCTGTTTTTCTCTCCAGCTGTGCTGCCAAGAGCCAGGGTTGGTCCCCGGTCTCAGATTCTATGTCTGGCCCAACTCTAAGCTCCTGAGAGTCTGCCCCGGGAAAGTCACAGAACAGCGACAGGCGGGTCGCCCGGTCTGACCTCAGCCTGGTACTGAGTGCTTCTGACCCATTTCCTCGTTCACCCCTGCTGATGCCCCAGCTGCACCTCCCCCCTCCCCCACCCCACAACAGCTGTCCCAGAGCCACCAGCATCAGGTTTCCAAGTTCTACTCCCCTCCCTTCACCATCTGCTTCACAAGGCCAGGAAGCCATTATGGTCCCTCCTTCCCATCTCCCCGAACTCTGGGAAGAAACATGGTTATATTGCCCAGGACATATGAAAGATGAATTTTAAACAACACACCCAGGCTGGGTGCAGTGGCTCACGCCTGTAATCACAACACTTTGAGGGGACGCTGAGGCGGGAGGATCGCTTAAGTCCAGGAGTTTGAGACTAGCCTGGGCAACATAATGCGACTCCTGTCTCTAAGAAAATAAAATAAAATGAATAGCCAGTCATCTTTTGGGCCCAGGAGGTCAAGGCTGCAGTGAGTTGTGATTGCACCACTGCACTCCAGCCTGGGCAACAGCAAGACCCTGTATCTAAAATAAACAAAAAAGAAAAGCCATCGAGCTGACACCTTGATCTTCGACCTCACTGAGGTCCTCATGTGAGAATTCCAGCCTCCAGAACAGTGGGAAAATAGATTTCTGTTTATTTTATTTTTTTTTGAGGTGGAGTCTCGCCCTGTCACCCAGGCTGGAGTGGAGTGGCGTGATCTCTATTCACTGCAACCTCTGCCTCCCAGGTTCCAGCAATTCTCCTGCCTCAGTCTCCCGAGTAGCTGGGATTACAGGCGTGTGCCACCACACCCAGATAATTTTTTCTATTTTTAGTAAAGACAGGGTTTCACCATGTTGGCCAGGCTGGTCTCGAACTCCTGACCTCAAGTGATCCACCTGCCTCGGCCTCCCAAACTGCTGGGATTACAGGCGTGAGCCACTGTGCCCAGCCCAATTTCTGCTGTTTAGAAATACCCAGCCAGTGGAACTTGTAACAGGGGCCCCACTGACTAATACGCCCCTATGCAGGCTTGCACAGGGTGGTCAGGAATGGACTTCCAGCCCTCAGGTGACACCCATCTGCAGCCTCTAGCAAGCAGCTAGAAATCAGGAGAGATGGTCTTTTGTGAAAGATGTTGGGGTGCTATGGACGCCACACCCCTCAGGCCCTTATAAGGGGACAGAGGCGTGCTCCCTCTTGTCTCAAGCCCAGCTGGGGAGTGGGCTGCTTCTAGGACACCATGTAAAGGATTTGATATGTGTTCCTGGAGCAGGGGACCCTGTGGACTGGTGTCTATTTTTTTTTTTTTTTTTTTGACAATTTGATTCAACTTTATTATTTCTTTAGTTATTTAAACCTGAGTACTACAGCAACATTATTCTAATTTTTTATTGTGATAGAATTCACATACCATAAAATTCACCACGTTGAGGTGGGTTTTAGTACATTCATGAAGTTGTACAACTATCACCACTGTGTAATCTGGAACATTTTCATCAGCCAAGAAAAAGCCCACTCCCTCCTCCCCCTACACCCTGGCAAGCATGAATCTACTTTCTAGATTTGCCTACTCTGAACATTTTATGAGAATGGAATAATATAATATGTGTGATCGTTTGTGACTGGATGTTTTTAAGTTTTATTCATGTTGTGGCACGTATTCTTCTTATTATTTTTTTAAAGAAACAGGAGCTCACCCCATTGCTGAGGCTGGAGTGCAGTGGTGCGATGATGGCTCACTGCAGCCTCAAACTCCTGGGCTCAAGCAATCCTCCCACCTCAGCCTCCCGAATAGCTGGGACTACAGGTGTGCATCACCATGCCTGCCTAATTTTTAAATTTTCTGTGGAGACGGGGTCTTGCTCTATTGTCCAGGCTGGTCTTGAACTCCTGGGTTCAAGGGATCCTCCTACCTCTGCCTCCCAAAGTGCTAGGATTACAGGCATGAGCCACAGCACCTGGCTATGTATTAGTATTTTACTCCTTTCTATGATGGAGTAATATGGATTATTATAGTCCTTGTATAGATACAGCACACTTTGTGTATCTTTTGATCAGTTAACAGGCATTTGAATTGTTTCTGCTTTCTACCTACCATGAATAAAGCTGCTGTTATAACCATTCATATACGTGGCTCTGTGTGGACATGTGTTTTCATTTCTCTTGCATTTATATGTACAGGTAAGTGAAATTACTGGGAAACTATGTTTAGTCTTTTTTTTTTGAGAGGGATTCTCACTCTGTTGCTCAGGCTGGAGTGCAGTGGCACAATCTCGGCTCACTGCAACCTCTGCCTCCTGGGTTCAAGCCATTCTCCTGCTTCAGCCTCCCGAGTAGCTGGGATTACAGGCATCCACCACCCTGCCCGGCTAATTTTTGTATTTTTAGTAGAGACGGGGTTTCACCATGTTGGCCAGGCTGGTCTCCAACTCCTGACCTCAGGTGATCCGCCTGCCTTGGCCTCCCAAAGTGCTGTGATTACAGGAGTGAGCCACCACACCCGGCCATATGCTTAGCCTTTTTAAGGACTGCCAGATTGTTTTACAGAGTGCTCTACCATTTTATATTCCCACCAGTGACATATGAGGTTTCCAAATTTTTGCACAATTTTTGACCACACTTGTTATTGTCTTTGCCAGTAGTGGGAGTGAGGTGGGTGTGAGGTGGTATCTCGTGATTTTGATTTGAATTTCCCTAATGGACTAATAATGTTCAGCATCTTTTCATGTGTTTATTGGCCATTTATATATCTTCCTTGGAGAAATGTCTATGTCTAAATGCCCCCAGTAAGCAGATCCTTTGCATATTTTAAATATCACGGCCGGGCATAGTCACTTACACCTGTAATTCCAGCATTTTGGGAGGTTGAGGCAGGAGGATTGATTGAGTCTGGGAGTTCAAAACCAGCCTGGGCAACATAATGAGACCCCAATTCAAAATAAATAAATAAATAAGAAATAAAAAATTAGCTGGGCATGGTGACATGTACCTGTAGTCCCAGCTACTAAAGAGGCTGAGGCAGGAGGATCACTTGAGCCCAGGAATTCAAGGCTGCCACTGCACTCCAGCCTGGGCAACAGAGTGAGACCCTCTGTGAAAAAAAAATTGCATTGTCTTTTAATGATCGACCTGTAAGAGTTCTTTTTTTTTTTTTTTTGAGACGGAGTCTCGCTCTGTCACCCAGGCCGGACTGCGGACTGCAGTGGCGCAATCTCGGCTCACTGCAAGCTCCGCTTCCCGGGTTCACGCCATTCTCCTGCCTCAGCCTCCCGAGTAGCTGGGACTACAGGCGCCCGCCACCGCGCCCGGCTAATTTTTTGTATTTTTAGTAGAGACGGGGTTTCACCTTGTTAGCCAGGATGGTCTCGATCTCCTGACCTCGTGATCCACCCACCTCGGCCTCCCAAAGTGCTGGGATTACAGGCGTGAGCCACCGTGCCCGGCTGCGTAGTTCTTTTATAATGCAAATTTTCCATGAACTTTTTGAAGACCTCTCATGTATATATTCCTTGTGAAATGTGGAACTAATTTACATATTTGCCTATTTTTGGATAATTCTTATAAATCAAATCATAAACAATGTGTCATCTTTTTATATATGGCTTCTTTCACTTAAAGTCATGCTTTAGGTTTACCCACACTCTACCTTATATTACATTAGTACAGTAGTCCCTCTTTATCTGGAGTTTTGCTTTCTGGGGTTTCAATTACCTGCAGTCATCTGTGGTCTAAATATATTAAATGAAAAATTCCAACAATACACAATTCATAAGTTTCAAATACCATGCCATTGTGAGTAGTATGCTGAAGTCTCATGCAGTCCCACTCCATCCTGCCCAGGTGGTGAGTCATTCCCTGGTCCATTATATTCACACTGTAGGTGGACATTATCTGCCTATGAATCATTTAGTAGCTGGCTCAGGGATCCGATTGAAGAAAAGCATTTCAGGCTTCCACTGGGATTCTTGAAACATATCCCCCAAGGACAAAGGGGGATTACTGTACCTCATTCCTTTACTATATATATATATATAGTGTATAAATATACACTATATATATATACTATATAGTATATATAGTATATGTGTGTGTGTGTGTGTGTGTGTGTGTGTGTGTGTGTGTGTGTATATATTTTTTTTTTTTTTTGAGATGGAGTCTCGCTCTTTCGCCCAGGCTGGAGTGCAGTGGTGCAATCTTGGCTCACTGCAAGCTCCACCTCCCAGGTTCACGCCATTCTCCTGCCTCAGCCTCCCGAGTAGCTGGGACTACAGGCGCCCGCCACCACGCTCGGCTAATTTTTTGTATTTTTAGTAGAGACGGAGTTTCACCATATTAGCCAGGATGGTCTCGATCTCCTCACCTCGTGATCCGCCCACCTCAGCCTCCCGAAGTGCTAGGATTACAGGCGTAAACCACCGCGTCCGGCCTCCTTTACTATATTTTTATCCATTAATTTATATTGTGGTAAAATATATATAACATACAATCTATCATTTTAACCATGTTTGAGTCTGTAGTTCAGTGACGTTAAGTACATTCACAATGTTGTGCAATCACTATGTCCAGAACTTTTTCACCATCCCAACCAGAAACACTGTACCCAACAGACAATAACTCCTCATCCTCCCCTCCCCCTGTCCCCTGGTAACCTCTACTCTACTTACTATCTCTATGAATTTGCCTATTCTAGGTACCTTACATAAGTGGAATTATATAGTGCATTAGTTGGTTTTTGCATTGCTATAAAGAAATACCTGAGACTGGGTAATCAATAAGAAAAGAGGTGTAATTGGCTCACAGTTCTTCAGGCTGTACAGAAAGCATGGCAGTATCTGCTTCTGGGAAGGCCTCGGGGAGCTTGCAATGATGGTGGAAGGTGGGGGAGTGGGGGAGCAGGCATCTCACACAGTGAAAAGCAGGAGCAGGAGAGTGAGGGGGGTGATACAAACTTTTAAACAACCAGATCTCATGAGAATTCACTCACTGTTGCAAGGACAGTACCAAGGGCTAAATCCTCCATGAGAAAGGTCTGCTTCCATGATCCACTCACCTTCCACCAGGCCCCATCTCCAAAACTGGAAATTACAATTCAATATGAGATTTGAGTGGGGACACAGATCCAAACTATATCATATAGTGTGTGTCCTTTTGTGTCTGGCTGATTCCACTTAGCATAATGTCCTCAGGGTTCGTCCATGTTGTTCCATGGATCAGAATTTCATTTCTTTTTATGGTGAATGGTGCTGCATTGTAGGGATAGGCCACATTTTTCTTATTCATTCCTCAGTGGATGGACATTTGGGTAGTTTCCACTTCCTGGCTATCGTGACTAGTGCTGCTATGAATGTTTGGGCACATGTGTTTGTTTGAGTTCGTATTTTCAGTTCTCCAGGGCATAGCCCTAGGAGCGGAATTGCTGGACCACATAGAAATTCTGTGTCACTTTTTGAGAAACTGCCAAGCTCAGTCATCTGTTTTAATGGGCCCCCAACGCCTTCTAGCAACTCTGATTTATTCTCATTTTACATATGAAGGAAAGCCAAGGTTCAGAAACATGTCCGAGGCCACAGCTCATAAAGAACCAGCCAAGACAACAACCCAGATCTGTCTTAGGCCCACATCTGAGCTCTTTGCTCCTCCCAATGTCCCCAAGGCATGGCGTGGCTCTTTCTCTAGGTTGGACTGGGCCTGGTGCTGTGATCTCTGGGCTCCAGAGACAACTCTGTGCACAGTCCCATGTGACCTAGGACCTATCCCTCCTTCCAAATGACCCTTCCCTGAAGAAGAGGACAGGACTTTGATTCTGGCCTCCCCTCTGCCTACAGCAGAGCTTGGAGATGGTCCCATGAGAGCTATGTCATGCTTGACCCAATGATCAGGTTACCAGCCTCGTCTCCTCTCCTTCTTCCCAGGACTTGGGAAAGGGTACCCTGGCTGTCTCACCAACTGAACTACTCTGACCTGAATCCACTGTTGTTCTCACTGTCCAGAAAACAGCCCTGGCCCATTTCCTTTACCTAGAGCCCACTGGGCACACTTACAGCCTTCCTACCTCTACCAGCAGCTCCCAGTCTCTCTCATCATGGGGCAGTGAAGGGGGACTTTGAGGTCAGGAACCTCCCACTAGGAGCATCAAGCCCAGTGGACGCAGGGCCCAAGGCCAGAGCTGTTGGGAGCCTGCAGAAATGAGAATAAAAAGAAGGCCGCAAAACTGAAATGCTATGAAACACTTAATAAAAGTTACAACTTCATTAATTAAACATTCTGGTTTGTTAAATACAATTAGGTTCCCTCTTCAAACAGCTTATCCAGTTTCCCTGTTCTCCATCCTATAATTCCAAACACCCCCTTGCCTTTGTTGCACCCCAACTTGTCTGAATATGCCTAGGCATGCCTGAACTTGCTACAACCCCAGTCCACATTCCTTTCCTTATTAGGGAATAGGTTCCCTTCCTAGTACCCCCGTAAGTGACCCCCCTTCTGTCTCTTCTCACCCCCCTTATGTGCCAACCTTATCTAAGAAAGTTTAAATGTTTAGCCAATTGGGACTAATTTAGACTGTGGGGTCCAACCCTAGCCAACAGGGGAAAGACACAGCAGAAACTGTGTTAGAGATAATTAAAACCCCTGCTTTTCTTTGTTCTGGGTGCTCTCGCCGTTGGTGCATCTGTGAAACACACCCTCCTATGGGAGTAAATTGCCTTTCTGAGAGAATTTTTGTCTCAGTGCTGGTTCTTCTTTGCGGCACTGAGCATTTATTTCCAACAAATTTAGTGGCCCATATGGGGAAACTAATCCTCCCCTGGGAAAGGGTCTCTGATCGCCTCTCGTGAGGAGACACGTCCCGCTGCCTTGTTGTGGCAGCCACAGTGTGATGAATAAACCTGGACTGTCAGCAATGCAGGAAGAAAAGGCCTTCAGTTACTGGGGCAATCGGATAACTCTGTGCACAGACCAAGGTAAGAAAGGCCATGGGAGCCGGCAAAGTATTTCCTTGGTGGTCAGGACCAAGGCAAGAAAAGCTTCAGGGGCAGTGAAGTATTCTTTGGTTGGGATATACCAAGGCAAGAAAAGCCACCGGGGCGGTGAGGTATTCTTTGGTCAGGACACACCAAGGCAAGAAAAGCCGTGGGAGTCGTGAAGTATTCTTTGGTGGTCAGGTTATCTTGGAGGTTGAAAGTGTGTGAAGGTGCAAGGAATCCCCAGTAGTGGGGTTGAGCCTCCAGGAAAAGGGGTACAAGACATGTCTAATATGAGAAATTGAGCCCCCATTAACCTCCAAGAGGGAGGTGCAAAAAAAATGTCTAATATGAGAGATTGAGCCCCCATTAACTTCCAGGACGGGAAATATCCCTAGTAAAAGAAGAACTACAAAGGATCAAACACAAAAAAAAGCAACAGATAATAAAATATTGTTGTTTTATTTGGACCCAAGAACCAATCCTCAGATCCTCAGTTTTCTGGCCAAAGTTTGGGTCAAATAAGGAATAGATTTGTCAGCTTTTAGTAGAACATATTAATGACAAGAGTCCTTTCTCCCAGGAGGAAATAGATTATGCCCTATGTTGGTAGTAGTGGCCTGACCCTCTTTACCTCCTAATGACTGCAGGAAGTAAGCCACAAGCCAACTCCTCTAAGCCGCCTAACACTCCTGACCCTAACCTCCCTCCCGCTCAGGCTGAAGCAGTCTGCCTGAGCTGCAGGGCCTGCCGGAGGTGCACAAACAGTGTGAGGGGAACCTCCCCTATGCTAGGAAACTCCCAGCCCAAAGGAGGGCATCCACAGTTTCCAGTGTTACTCAGGTAGAAGTTAATGAAAATGCTTACAAAAGTGGCTCTGGCATGCAGATGGCAGAGGACAGCAAGAGGGTAAGACACACCAGACACTGCCCGGCATCCAGAGAGTGAAGGACAAAGCCCAGTCTGGTGGCAAATGGAAAGTTTAGTGTAGAAAAGGCTCTGTGTGGGACTTGCTGGCAAGATGGCCAAATAGGAACAGCTCTAGTCTGCAGCTCCCAGTGAGATCAACACAGAAAGCGGGTGATTTCTGCATTTCCAAGTGAGGTACCCAGTTCATCTCAATGGGACTGGTTGGACAGTGGGTACAGCCCACGGAGGGTGAGACGAAGCAGGGTGAGGTGTCGCCTCACCTTGGAAGTGCAAGGGGTCGGGTGATTTCCCTTTCCTAGCCAAGGGAAGCTTTGAGAGACTGGATCAGGAGGAATAGTGCAATCCGGCCCAGATACTGCACTTTTCCCATGGTCTTCACAACTGGCAGACCAGGAGATTGCCTCCATAGCCTGTCTCAGCAGGTCCCACTCCCACGGAGCCCAGCAAGCTAAGGTCCACTGGCTTGAAATTCTCGCTGCTAGCACAGCAGTCTGAGGTCGACCTGGGACACTCGAGCTTGGTGCGGGGAGGGCGTTCGCCATTGCTGAGGCTTAAGTAGGTGGTTTTACCCTCACAGTGTAAACAAAGCCCTGGGAAGTTCAAACCGGGCGGAGCCCACTGCAGCTCAACAAGGCGGCTGAAGGCACACTGCCTGTCTAGATTTCCTCCTCTCTGGGCAGGGGATCTCTGAAAAAAAGGCAGCAGCCCCAGTCTGGGACTTATAGATAAAACCCTTAGCTCCCTGGGACAGAGCACCTGGGGGAAGGGGCGGCTGTGGGCGCAGCTTCAGCAGACTTAAACGTCCCTGCCTGACAGTTCTTAAGAGAGCAGTGGATCTCCCAGCACAGTGTTCAAGGTCTGATAAGGGACAGGCTGTCTTCTCAAGTGGGTCCCTGATCCCCGTGTATCCTGCCTGGGAGACACCTCCCAGTAGGGGCCAACAGACACATCATACAAAAGAGTTCTCGCTGACATCTGGTGGGCACCCCTCTTGGATGAAGCTTCCAGAGGAAGGAACAGGCAGCAATCTTTGCTATTCTGCAGCCTCCACTGGTGATACCTGGGAAAACAGGGTCTGGAGTGGACCTCCAGCAAACTCCAGCAGACCTGCAGAAGAGGGGCCTGTTAGAAGGAAAACTAACAAAACAGAAAAGAATAGTAGCAACATCAACAAAAAGGACGTCTACTCCGAGACCCCATCTGAAGGTCACCAACATCAAAGGCCAAAGGTAGATAAATCCACGAAGATGGGGAGAAACCAGCGCAAAAAGGCTGAAAACTCCAAAAACCAGAACGCCTCTTCTCCTCCAAAGGATCACAACTCCTTGTCAGCAAGGGAACAAAACTGGATGGAGAATGAGTTTGACGAATTGACAGAAGTAGGCTTCCGAAGGTGGGTAATAACAAACTCCTCTGAGCTAAAGGAGCATGTTCTAACCCAATCCAAGGAAGCTAAGAACCTTGAGAAAAGGTTAGACAAATTGCTAACTAGAATATCCAGTTTAGAGAAGAACATAAATGACCTGATGGAGCTGAAAAACACAGCACGAGAACTTCTTGAAGCATACACAAGTATCAGTAGACGAATTGATCAAGTGGAAGAAAAGATACCAGAGATTGAAGATCAACTCAATGAAATAAAGCAAGAAAACAAGATTAGAGAAAAAAGAGTGAAAAGAAAGGAACAAAGCCTCCAAGAAATATGGGACTATGTGAAAAGGCCAAATATACATTTGATTGCTGTACCTGAAAGTGACGGGGAGAATGGAACCAAGTTGGAAAACACTCTTCAGGATATTATCCAGGAGAACCTCCCCAACCTAGCAAGGCAGGCCAACATTCAAATTCAGGAAATACAGAGAACACCACAAAGATATTCCTCAAGAAGAGCAACCCCAAGACATATAATCGTCAGATTCTCCAAGGTTGAAATGAAGGAAAAAATGTTAAGATCAGTCAGAGAGAAAGGTCAGGTTACCCACAAAGGGAAGCCCATCAGACTAACAGCAGATCTCTTGGCAGAAACCCTACAAGCCAGAAGAGAGTGGGGGCCAATATTCAACATTCTTAAAAGAATTTTCAACCCAGAATTTCCTATCCAGCCAAACTAAGCTTCATAAGTGAAGGAGAAATAAAATCCTTTACAGACAAGAAAATGCTGAGAGATTTTGTCACCACCAGGCCTGCCTTACAAGAGCTCCTGAAGGAAGCACTAAACATGGAAAGGAATGACCGGTACCAGCCATGGCAAAAAACATGCCAAATTGTAAAGACCATTGACACCATGAAGAAACTGCATCTACTAACGGGCAAAATAACCAGCTAGCGTCATAATGATGGATCAAATTCACACATAACAATATTAACCGTAAATGTAAATGGGCTAAATGCTCCAATTAAAAGACACAGACTGGCAAATTGGATAAAGAGTCAAGACCCATCAGTGTACTGTATTCAGGAAACCCATCTCATGTGCAAAGACACACATAGGCTCAAAATAAAGTGATGGAGGAATATTTACCATGCAAATGGAAAGCAAAAAAAAGCAAGGGTTGCAATCCTAGTCTCTGATAAAACAGACTTTAAGTCAACAAAAATCAAAAGAGACAAAGAAGGGTATTACATAAGGATAAGGGGATCAATGCAACAAGAAGAGCTAACTATCCTAAATATATATGCATCCAATACAGGAGCACTCAGATTCATAAAGCAAGTTCTTAGAGCCCTACAAAGAGACTTAGACTCCCACACAATAATAGTGGGAGACTTTAACACCTCACTGTCAACACTAGACAGATCAACGAGACAGAAAATTAACAAGGATATCCAGGACTTGAATTCAGCTCTGGACCAAGCAGACCTAATAGACATCTACAGAACTCTCCACCCCAAATCAACAGAATATACATTCTTCTCAGCACCACATCGCACTTATTCTAAAAACCGATCACATAATTGGAAGTAAAATACTCCTCAGCAAATGCAAAAGAATGGAAATCTAATAAACAGTCTCTCAGACCACAGTGCAATCAAATTAGAACTCAGGATTAATAAACTCACTCAAAACTGCACAACTACATGGAAATTGAACAACCTGCTCCTGAATGACTACTGGGTAAATAACAAAATGAAGGCAGAAATAAAGATGTTCTTTGAAACCAACGAGAACAAAAACACAATGTACCAGAATATCGGGGACACATTTAAAGCAGTGTGTAGAGGGAAATTTATAGCACTAAATGTCCACAAGAGAAAGCAGGAAAGATCTAAAATCAACACCCTAACATCAAAATTAAAAGAACTAGAGAAGCAAGAGCAAACAAATTCAAAAGCTAGCAGAAGACAAGAAATAATTAAGATCAGAGGAGAACTGAAGGAGATAGAAACACGAAAAACCCTTCAAAAAATCAATGAATCCAGGAGCTTTTTTTTAAAGATCAACAAAATAGACTGCTAGCCAGACTAATAAAAAAGAAAAGAGAGAAGAATTAAATAGATGCAATAAAAAATGATAAAGGGGATATTACCACTGATCCCACAGAAATACAAACTACCATCAAAGAATATTATAAACACTTCTATACAAATTAACTAGGAAATCTAGAAGAAATGGATAAATTCCTGGACACATACACCCTCCCAAGACTAAACCAGGAAGAAGTCGAATCCCTGAATAGACCAATAATAAGTTCTGAAATTGAGGCAGTAATTAATAGCCTACCAACCAAAAAAAGTCCAGGACCACATGGATTCACAGCTGAATTCTACCAGAGGTACAAAGAGGAGCTGGTACCATTCCTTCTGAAACTATTCCAAACAATAGAAAATGAGAGAATCCTAACTCATTTTATGAGGCTGGCATCATCCTGATACCAAAACCTGGCAGAGACACAACAAAAAAAGAAAATTTTAGGCCAATATCCCTGATGAACATCGATGCAAAAATCCTCAATAAAATACTGGCAAACTGAATCCAGCAGCACATCAAAAAGCTTTATCCACCATCAAGTCAGCTTCATACCTGGGATGCAAGGCTGGTTCAACATACACAAATCAGTAAATGTAATCCATCACATAAACAGAACGAACAACAAAAACCACATGATTATCTCAATTGATGCAGAAAAGTCATTTGACAAAATTCAACAGCCCTTCATGCTAAAAACTCTCAATAAACTAGGTATTGAGGGAATGTATCTCAACATAATAAGAGCTACTTATGAAAAACACACAGCCAATATCATACTGAATGGGCAAAAACTGGAAGCATTCCCTTTGAAAACGGGCACAAGACAAGGATGCCCTCTCTCACCACTCCTATTCAACATAGTATTGGAAGTTATGGCCAGGGCAATCAGGCAGGAGAAAAAAATAAAGGGTATTCGATTAGGAAAAGAGGAAGTCAAATTGTCTCTGTTTGCAGATGATGTGATTATATACTTAGAAAACCCCATCATCTCAGCCCAAAATCTCCTTAAGCTGATAAGCAACTTCAGCAAAGTCTCAGGATACAAAATCAATGTTCAAAAATCACAAGCATTCCTAACACCAATAACTAGACAAACAGAGAGCCAAATCATGAGTGAACTCCCATTCACAATTGCTACAAGAAGAATAAAATACCTAGGAATACAACTTACAAGTGATGTGAAGGACCTCTTCAAGGAGAACTATAAACCACTGCTCAAGGAAATAAGAGAGGACACGAATGAAAAAACGTTCCATGTTCATGGATAGGAAGAATGGATATCATGAAAATGGCCATACTGCCCAAAATAATTTACAGATTAAATGCTATCCCCATCAAGCTACCATTGACTTTCTTCACAGAATTGGAAAAAACTACTTTAAATTTCATATGGAACCAAAAATGAGACAGCATAGCCAAGACAACCTAAGCAAAAAGAACAAAGCTGGAGGCATCACGCTACCTGACTTCAAACTATATTACAAGACTGCAGTAACAAAAACAGCATGGTACTGGTACCAAAACAGATATATAGACCAATGGAACAGAACAGAGGCCTCAGAAATAACACCACACATCTACAACCATCTGATCTTTGACAAAGCTGACAAAAACAAGCAATAGGGAAAGGATTCCCTATTTAATAAATAGTGCTGGGAAAACTGGCTAGCCGTATGCAGAAAACCGAAACTGGATCCCTTCCTCACACCTTATACAAAAATTAACTCAAGATGGATTAAAGACTTAAATGTAAGACCTAAAACCATAAAAATTCTAGAAAAAACCCTAGGCAATACCATTCAGGACATAGGCATGGGCAAAGACTTCATGACTAAAACACCAAAAGCAATGGCAACAAAAGCCAAAATAGTCAAATGGGATCTAATTAAAATAAAAAGCTTCTGCACAGCAAAAGAAACTATCATCAGAGTGAACAGGCAACCTACAGAATGGGAGAAAATTGTTGCAATCTATCCATCTGACAAAGGGCTAATACCCAGAATCTACAAAGAACTTAAACAAATTTACAAGAAAAAAACAACCCCATCAAAAAGTAGGCAAAGAATATGAACAGACATTTCTCAAAAGATGACATTTATGCAGCTAACAAACATATGAGCAAATGCTCATCATCACTTGTCATTAGAGAAATGCAAATTAAAACCACAATGAGATACCATCTCACACCAGTTAGAATGGCGATCATTAAAAAGTGAGGAAACAACAGATGCTGGAGAGAATGTGGAGAAATAGGAATGCTTTTACACTGTTGGTGAGAGTGTAAATTAGTTCAACCATTGTGGAAGACAGTGTGGTGATTCCTCAAGGATCTAGAACCAGAAATACCATTTGACCCAGCAATCCCATTACTGGGTCTATACCCAAAGGATTATAAATCATTCTACTATAAAGACACATGCACATGTATGTATATTGCAGCACTGTTCACAATAGCAAAGACTTGGAACCAACCCAAATGCCCATCAGTGATAGACTGGATAAAGAAAATGTGGCACATATACACCATGGAATACTATGCAGCCATAAACAAGGATGAGTTCCTGTTCTTTGCAGGGACATGGCTGAAGCTGGAAACCATCATTCTCAGCAAACTAACACAAGAACAGAAAACTGAACACTGCATGTTCTCATTCCTAAGTGGGAGTTGAACAATGAAAACACATGGACACAGGGAGGGGAACATCACACACTGGGGCCTGTCAGAGGGTGGGGGTAGGGGAGGGATAGCATTAGGAGAAATACCTAATGTAGATGACAGGTTGATGGGTGGAGCAAACTACCATGGCACATGTATACCTACGTAATAAATCTGCACATTCTGCACATGTACCCCAGAACTTAAAGTATAATAAAAAAAAAAAAAGAAAAGGCTCTGTGTGTTAACTGGTGGAAAGACTGTTTATAAATGTATACAGTTTTGTTTTCTTGTAATAAAAGCCTCATAAGTTTACTTTATACCAGTTGTAACATTCTCATTTTTTTGGTTGTTCTTTTTTCTTTTTTTAATGGCAGCTAAAGATATACAGATTACTGTTAAATTGCAGTCCTTTTTAAAAAAATATTTTCTTGAATTATTTAGAACATGCAAGCCTGGTATTTTTAATCAAATAAAATATTTATAAAATAGGTGTTCTCTTATTCTGGATTCATCCTGGTTTTCTAATACCAATTGTAATATTTACAATATTCACCAAAACTTAGAATTTTGCAAATACTGGAATTCTACCAGTGCTTCTTTAATAAGCCTTGCATGTATAATTTGAAATTTTAACACTGGCACTCAAAATCTACATGAAATGTATGTTTAAAGTATTTCAAAATTTACATTGAAACATAACTTCATTAGAAAATAAACTATAAGCCTAAGTAGGTTTTTAATTTTATCAACTGGAATGCTATTAGTCGGTTTTTCACCATACATTCCTCATTTTACATTCATTTAACCTGCCAATTAATTTATTTTATTGTAGTTTTTAGCATTTGCTTTTTTTTAATGCTTTTTCAAATTAGCAAGTCTTTTTCTTTCTGATTAAAAATGTGTGTGTGTATATATATGTGTGTATATATGTGTATATGTGTGTGTGTGTGTATATATATATACACACACACATATATTTAATCACACCAACTTTACCAAGTAAAACCAAGCCACACTGATTTTAAGCCAATTAAGAAAACTGCCATTTTTAAAGTGTAGCATTTCAGGGTAAAGACCCATGAAATGACTTAGTGTATTCTAGACTACCAAAAGAAAACCACTTCAAAAATTTTGTTAAAAGTTTTAGTGTTGTCTGAAAAGCAAGAAGGAAAATGGTAGTAAAAGAAGAAGAGAGGAAAAGACAGCAGTTTTGTCTGGTTGTGCCAGACATTTCACAAGTGTAAAAGGAAATAGGAGAAGCTCAAAAGTATATGTAAGAAGAGAGGAAAGAGAAACTGGGAGAGATAGGAAGGGAGAAAGTGAGAAGGGAAATCAGAAAGAGAAAGGGGAGGAAACGGCAGATGTGGAGAGCCAGAGAGAGAGAGAAAGAGGACGAGACTGAGCATGAGGGAGAGAGGAAACAGGGAGGGGGAGAGAGGAAACAGGGAGGGGGAGAGAGGAAACAGGGAGGGGGAGAGAGGAAACAGGGAGGGGGAGAGAGGAAACGGGGAGGGGGAGAGAGGAAACGGGGAGGGGGAGAGAGGAAACGGGGGGGAGGGAGAGGGAGGGGGAGGGAGGGGGAGGGAGGGGGAGGGAGGGGGAGGGAGGGGGAGGGAGGGGGAGGGAGGGGGAGGGGAGGAGACGGGGAGGGAGGGAGCACGAGAGAGAGAGACAGACAGACAGAGAGAGAGGGAGAGAAATGGGGGAGAGAGGGAGGGGGAGAGAGAGAAAATAAGATAAAGACTTAAGGAAGAGACCCTTCCTTAAGAAGGCTGTGGCCAGGTGCGGTGGCTCACGCCTGTAATCCCAGCACTTTGGGAGGCCGAGGCGGGTGGATCACCTGAGGTCAGGAGTCTCTACTAAAAAAAATACAAAATTAGCTGGGTGTGGTGGTGCATGCCTGTAATCCCAGCTACTTGGGAGGCTGAGGCAGGAGAATTGCTTGAACCTGCGGGGCGGAGGTTGCCGTGAGCCGAGATTGCGTCATTGCACTCCAGCCTGGGCAACAAGAGCGAAACTCCGTCTCAAAAAAAAAAACAAAACGGCTGTACCTCCCTAAAATCTTACCTTCATTTTACTAAAGGAACTACACCTGTTATTCCTATAGCTAATGCTAAAATCAAGGTGTCCGTTATAAAAGATCTAAAACAAACCCTAGCAATTGAGACAGGATACCGAGATACAAATGCCTGGCTGGAACGGATTAAATATTTCGTCTGCACCCTAAGCAAAAGCTTGTGCACACGGTAGACCAGAGGCCCAGATCGTCTCCTCTCCACTTAGTCTCCCCGCCGACCGGGCATGAGCTGTATGTATGGTAACTCTTTTTCAAGACCCCCACAGCCTGGGAAGACAAATCGTGCCAAGCTCTTCCTCTGCTGTTCCCAGTTCAACACCCTGCGGGTCAGGCCCCAAGGGCCATCCAGCCTCCGCCTTCCAATGCCAAAGTTTACCTCGTGTTTCTCACAACGGGGAAAACTTAGCGTTCCTCGGAGACTTCAGTCTGGCAATAAAAGATTTAGACAGAAACAGAAAGATTGGAGAGAGAGAGAGAGAGAGGAAGAGAATGAGAGACTGGAAGAAACAGATTAAAGAGAGATACAGAAGGTGAATCTGGGGAGAGAGATAGTGTAAAAGGAAGAGAGAGGAAGAGACGAGACAGACAAAAAGCGCGAGCAAGAAGGTGAGAGAAATTAAGAACTATGAAAGACAGCAGCTAGGAGACAAAGGAGGCAGAAGACTGCCTGGGTGCCACAGCACCCACACCGTCCTCTTGCCCCCTGTCATTGCGACCCCAGAGCTGGTCCTTGATGGAGGAGAGCCGACCTCGCAGCAGCCTGAGCCTGGCCAGCAGCGCCTCCACCATCTCCCCGGTCAGCAGCCTAAGTCCCAAGCTATATGTAATACAGTTCTCAGAGTCTATGGAGGTATAAAAATTTATGCTTTGGCAAAACAAGTTACAGATAGTTGCCTAATATGTAAAAACAAAAACGAACAAAAAAACTAATAAGCAAACTCTAAGAAGGTCGCCCCTTAAAGGAAAGGACTCAGGATTAAGGCCGTTCCAAAGTGTCCAAATTGATTACACTGAAATGCCCCAAATAGGTCACCTAAAGTACCTACTAGTGATAGTAGATCACCTTACTCACTGGGTAGAGACTATTCCCTTTTCAAGTGCAACTGCCAGTAATGTAGTGAAAGCATTAATTAAAAATATTCTACCCAGGTTTAGATGAATAGAAAATATTGATTCAGATAATAAGACTCATTTCACTGCACGTCATTAAGAAATTAGCCCAAGTACTAAACATAACATAGGAATACCATACTCCCTGGCACTCACCTTCGTCAGGAAGAGCATAGAGAATGAACCAAACTCTGAGGAGCCACTTAAACAAATTAGTTTTAGAGACTCCTCCCCATTGCCTTGTTAAGGGTCAGAACCGCCCCTCGGAAAGATGTCAGCGTATCCCCTTATAAAATAATATGTAAGTTGCCTTATTTACACTCTACTGCTGACATTCCTACGTTGAAAACAAAAGATCAGTTTCTCAAAAACTATATACTTGGTCTATCTTCCACTTTCTCTTCCCTCAGAGCTGAAGACCGCCTTTTAGTACAGCTGCCACCCCTGGAGCTCCCAGCACACCTGCGTCAACCTGGAAATCACGTTCTGATTAAGAGCTGGAGAGAAGGAAAACTCGAACCGGCTTAGGAAGGACCCTACCTAGTGCTTCCAACTACTGAGACCACAGTATGAACAGCAGAAAGAGGGTGGACTCACCATACTTGAGTCAAGAAAGTGCCACCATCTTTAGAGTCATAGACCATTGTTCTAGGATCAAGTCCCAACAAACTAAAGCTAAGGAAAGTCTCACCCTCTTATATCTCTTTTATTGTCTCTGCTTCTTCCCTCACTCCACTGTCAGCGCCCCCCACCAAAACTATTGTGTTTGATGCTTAGCCATACCCTGTGGAGACCTACAAAGTCAAAGGCAACCAGCCTCTTCAGAAAAGTATCTTTGCCCTTAGTACTCACCCCACTCTCAACATAATCCTTGTAAAATTCCTTATCATTGGCTACCTTGCTATTCCCGGTATGATATTCTCTGGACCACTCAGTCCCAGGGCTAGGCTTCCTCAGAAGGCTGTACCTCCCTAAAACCTTACCTTCATTTTACTAAAGGAACTACACCTGTTATTCCTATAACTAATGAGAAAACCAAGGTGTCCATTATAAAAGTAAAAGATCTAAAACAAACCCTAGCAATGGAGACAGGATACCGAAGTACAAATGCCTGGCTGGAATGGATTAAATATTCCATCCGCACCCTAAGCAAAAGCGACTGTTACACTTGTGTGCACGGTAGACCAGAGGCCCAGATCATCCCCTTTCAACTTAGTCTCCCCACTGACCAGGCACGAGCTGTAAGGTAGCTCTTTTTCAAGACCCCCACAGCCTGGGAAGACAAATCGGGCCAAGCTCTTTCTCTGCTGTTCCCAGAAGTTTCGACATCCTGTGGGTCAGGCCCCAGAGGCCATCCAGCCTCCGCCTTCCAATGCCAAGTTTACCTCATGTCTCTGATGACAGGGAAGAAACGTAGCATTCCTTGGAGACTTAAAGGGATGCAAAGAGCTTAGGCCCTTCCAATAGCTTACCCATCAGTTTGCCCTTAGCCATCCCCAAGCGGATATATGGTGGTATTGTGGTGGACCCCTGCTGGACGCTCTGCCAAGCAAATGGAGCGAAACTTGTACTCTAATTCTATTGGCTATCTCTTTCACCCTTGTATTTCATCAACCTGAGAAAGTAAAAGCAAAGGTCTGTAAGCCGAGAGAGACCCCTTGTGAGTCTTTTGATCCTCAGGTTTATATAAATGCCATCGAGTTTCCATGAGGAGCACCAAATAAATTTAAAGCTCAAAACCAGTTAGTTGCAGAGTTTGAATTGCATTGTTCTGGTGGGTAACTATTAATAAAAATGTAAATTAGATAAATTACATTGACTACAACCAGCAACGATTTGTTAACTATACCAAAGATGCCATTAAAGGAATAGCTGAACAATTAGGATTCACCAGTCAAATGGCCTGGGAAAATAGGATGGCATTAGCCATGATACTATCAGAGAAAGGTGACGTTTGTGTCGTGATTGGAACCCAGTATTGTACTTTCATCCCTAAAAACACAGCCCCCAGTGGACAATCACAAAGGCCGTGTAGGGCCTTGCCTCTCTGTCAGATGAATTGGCTAAAAACTCCAGAATAGATGATCCCTTTACAAGCCTCAGGGGAAAGTGGTTCGGTGGGTGGAAAAAGCTAGTAACTTCAATAGTTACCTCCCTGGTAATTGTTGTAAGTGTACTAATTCTTGTTGGATGTTGCCTCAGATCCTGTGCTCAAGGATGAATACAAAAACTCATTGAGACAACCCTCACTTTCCTCAATTCTCCCCCACTTTATTCAGATAAGCTCTTTCTTTCAGAAGATCAAGCAGAACAACAAAGTTAAAACATGTTAGAAAGGTTTGAAGAGGAAAGATTATAAAAATCAAAAGGGGTGAAATTGTTAAATACAGTTAAGTTCTCTCTTTAAACAGCTTATCCAAATACCCCCTTGCCTTTGCTATACCCCAACTTGTCTGTACATGCCTAGGCATGCCTGAACTTGCTACAACCCCAGTCCACATTCCTTTCCTTATTAGGTAATAGGTTACCTTCCTAGTCCCCCTGTAAGTGACCCCCCTTCTCTCTCTTCTCACCCCTCTTACTTGCCTACCTTATATAAGAAAGTTTAACTGTTTAGCCAATAGGGACTAGTTTAGACTGTGGGTTCCAACCCTAGCCAACAGAGGAAAGACATAGAAGCAGAGGCTGTGTTAGAGATAATAAAAACCCATGGTTTCCTTTGTTCTGGGTACTCTCGCCATTGCTCCATTCACGAGATGCACCTTCCTATAGGAGCAAATTGCCTTGCTGAGAAATCCTTTGTCTCAGTGCTGGTTCTTCTTTGCAGCACTGAGCATTTTTTTTCCAACATGTTTATAAACATCTTGTTACTGCTGGATGACAATTTTTATTTATTTATTTATTTTTATTTTTTTTGAGACAGAGTCTCGTTCTGTCACCCAGGCTGGAGTGCAGTGGCATGATCTTGGCTCACTGCAAGCTCTGCCTCCCAGATTTGCACCACTCTCCTGCCTCAGCCTCCCAAGTAGCTGGGACTAGAGGCGCCACCACCATACCTGGCTAATTTTTTGTATTTTTTTAGTAGAGATGGGATTTCACTGTGTTAGCCAGGATGGTCTCGATCTCCTGACCTCGTGATCCACCCACCTCGGCCTCCCAAAGTGCTGGGATTACAGGCCTGAGCCACTACACCCAGCCAACAATTTTTATTTTTATTTTTTATTTTTATTTTTCAGATGGAGTCTCACTCTGTCGCCGAGGCTGGAGTGCAGTGGTGCGATGTTGGCTCACTGCAACCTCCACCTCCCAGGTTCAAGTGATTCTCCTGCCTCAGCCTCTCAAGTAGCTGAGATGACAGGTGCCCACCACCACACCTGGCTAATTTTTGTATTTTTAGTAGTGACAGGGTTTTGCCATGTTAGCCAGGCTGGTCTTGAACTCCTGGCCTCAGGTGATCCGACCCCTTTGGCCTCCCAAAGTGCTGGAATTACAGGCATGAGCCACCACACCTGGCTGGATGACAATTTTTAAGCTTAATGTTTCTCGCTCTGTAGAATTCACTGGATATGCACAGTGATATGGAGGAGAAATCCTGGCTTTCCAAAATGTACGATAAAAATGATCTTTCATGTTGGAATGTGGGTGCCTTTGAATATGCTCAGAATGTTAGGTGATGAGACCTTTGGGAGTCAGAGTACCCAAGCCTTGGAAAGTCAGGGGACACACTGAGGCCCGAAAAATCTCAGGAAAGAGCTGTAGATGCAGCACAGACCCCGTTTGTGCCCTCTGCAGACTCAGTTTCCCAGAGAGGAGGGATGGGAATGCCTGCAGGGTGCCTGGTCAGCTCCAGACCTAAACTCCAGAGCCTGTAGCTATTAGCAGAGGGCGGCTTTGAGGGGATCCCATACGCAGTTTCTAGCATCTCTGGTTGCCTCACCAGAGACTGAGGCTCTGGCTTTGTACTTTAAAATTTTTCAGTTCAGAGTCACAAACCTTTACAAAGTGCCTACTCGGTGCCCGGTTTTATGGTAGACACCAGAGATTGGGAGCTCATGGGTTGAGGGAATGCTGCATGCCAGTACAAATGATAAGTGCTGGGATGGAGCCTGGAATGGAACTGGCCGAGTCAACACCTGCAGCAAACCCCTGGTGGTGTTCTGGGAGTTAGAAGACCACACAACGTCAGGACACATTTGCACTTTAGGTGAATTAATCCAGCCATGCCTGCGGGAGATGCATTTATGAGACTGCAGGCAGGGTGGCCTGTTAAGAAGATAGTGGAATTGTCAACGTAAGACGCCAAACCAAGGACTTGCAGAAAGGATCGTGGATTAGCTTCCTGGGTGGTCATAAAAATCACAGGCATACTTTGGCGATATTCATGGCAATAAAGTGAATATTGCAATAAAGTGAGCCACACAAATTGTGGGGTTCCACAGTGCATATTAAATGTTATGTTTATACTATCATGTAGTCTATTAAGGGTGCAATAGCCTTATGCCTAAAGAAAAACAATGCATAGTTTGGGCCTGGTGGCACACACCTGTAATCCCAGTACTTTGGGAGGCAGAGGAAGGATCACTTGAGGCCGGGAGTTTGAGACCAGCCTGAGCAACATAGGGAGATAGGGAAATTCTGTCGCTACAAAAAATTTAAAAATTACTTGGATATAGTGGTGAGTGCCTATAGTCCTAGCTACTCAGGAGGCTGAGGTGGGAGGATTGCTTGAGCCAGGGACTTGAGGCTGTGGTGAGCTATGATTGCACCATTGCCTGGGTGACAGTGAAACCCTGTCTCTAAAAAACCGCAGAAACCAAAAATTATATGCATACATTAATTTAAAAATATCTTATTGCTAAAAAAAATGCTCACAATCATCTGGGTCTTTTTTTTTTTTTTTTTTTTTTTTTTGAGGCAGAGTCTTGCTCTGTCTCCCAGGCTGGAGTGCAGTGGCGTGATCTCGGCTCACTGCTCTCTCAACCTCCTGGGCCAAGCAATTCTTCTGCCTCTGCCTCTTGAGTAGCTGAGATTACAGGTGCTCACCACCACGCCCAGCTAATTTTTTTGTATTTTTACTAGAGATGGGGTTTCACCATCTTGGCCAGGCTGGTCTTGAACTCCTGACCTTGTGATCCACCTGCCTCGGCCTCCCAAAATGTTGGGATTACAGGCGTGAGCCACCCCTCCCGGCCTTATCTGGGTCTTTAGTGAGTCACAATCTTTTCACTGGTGAAGGGTCTTGCCTTGATGTAGCTGGCTGCTGATGGATCAGGGTGGTGGTTGCTGAAGGTTAGGGTGGCTGTGGCAATTTCTTAAGATAAGATGGAAATGAAGTTTGCCTCATTGATTGACTGTTTCTTTCACAAAAGATTTCTCTGTAACCTGTGATGCTATTTGGTAGCATTTTGCCCAGAGTAGAACTTCTTCCAAAGTTGGAGCCAGGGCTCACAAACTCTGCCGCTGCTTAATCAACTCAGTTTATGGAATATTCTAAATCCTTTGTTGCCATTTCAACAGTGTTCACAGCATCTTCACCAGGAGCGAATTCCATCTTAAGAGACCCCTTTCTCTGCTCATCCATAAGAAGCAACTCCTCATCTGTTCACGTTTGATCATGAGATTGTAGCAATTCAGTCCCATCGGCAGGCTCCACTTCTAATTCTAGTTCTCTTGCTATTTCTACCACATCTGCAGTTCCTTCCTCCACTGAAGCCTTGAAACCCTCAAACTCATCCATGAGGGTTGGAATCCACTTCTTCCACACTCCTGTTCATGTTGATATTTTGACCTCCTCCCATGAATCCATGAATTCACAAATGTTCTTTTTTTTTGGACAGAGTCTTGCTCTGTCACCAGGCTGGAGTGCAGTGGCACAATCTTAGCTCACTGCAACCTCTGCCTCACGGGTTCAAGCAATTCTCCTGCCTCAGCCTCCCGAGTAGCTGGGACTACAGGCGAGTGCCACCACGCCCAGCCAATTTTTGTACTTTTAGTAGAGACGGTGTTTCACCATGTTGGCCAGGATGGTCTGGATCGCTTGACCTCGTGATCTGCCCGCCTCGGCCTCCCAAAGTGCTGGGATTACAGGCGTGAGCCACCACACCCAGCCCCCACAAATGTTAATGGCATCTAGAATGGTGAATACTTTCCAGAAAGGTGCTTTCATTTTCTTTGCCCAGATCTATTCAAGGAATCATTATCTGTGGCAGCTATAGCCTTATGATATGTATTCCTTAAATAGTAAGACTTGAAAGTTGAAATTACTCCGAGATCCACGGGCTGCAAAATGGATGTGTTAGCAGGCATGAAAACGACATTCAACTCTTTGTACATCTTCATCAGAGCTCTTGGGTTACCAAGTGCATTGTCAGTGGGCAATAGTATTTTTAAGGGAATCTTCTTTTCTGAGCAGTAGTTCTCAATAGGAGGCTTGAAGTGTTCAGTAAACCATGCTGTAAACAGATGTGCTGCCTTCCAGGCTTCTTTGTTCCATTTCTACAGCACAGGCAGAGTAGATTTAGCATCACTCTGAAGGACCCTAGAATTTGCAGCATGGTAAATGAGCACTGGCTTCAACTTGGAGTCACCAGCTGCATTAGCCCCCTGCTAGACAGTCAGACAGTCCTTTGAAGCTTTGAAGCCAGGCGTTGATTTCTTCTCTTTGTTTATGAAAGTTCTAGATGACATCATGTTCTAATCTCAAGCTGTTTTGTCTATATTGAAAATCTGTTGTTGAGTGTATCCACGTTCATCCATGAGTACAGCTAGAGCCTCTGGATAACTTGCTGCAGCTTCTCCATCAGCTCCCCCTTACACTTTTATGTGATGGAGACAGCTTCTTTCCTTAAACCTCATGAGCCAAGCTCTGCTAGCTTCAGACTTTTCTTCTACAGCTTCCTCGCCTCTTTCAGCCTTCCTAGAATTGAAGAGAATGAGGGACTTGCTCTGGATTGGATCTTGGTTCAGGGAATGTTGCGGCTGGTTTGATCTTCTATCCATACCACTAAAACTTTCTCCACACCAACAATACAGCTGCTTCACTTTCTTATTCATGTGTTTGCTGCAGTAGCAGTTTTAATTTCTTTCAAGAACTTTCCTTTGCAATTGCAACTTGTTTATCTGTTTGGTGCAAGAGGCCTGGCTTTCAGCTTGTCTTGACTTTTGGCCTGCCTTCCTCACTAAGCAGAATCATTTCTAGCTTTTGATGTGAAGTGGGAGATGTGTGACTCTTCCTTTCACTTGAACACTTTGATTAAACAAACAAACAAACAAACTTCAGCCGTATTAAATTTAAAGGTGTTCAATTGAGCAATGAACGATTTGTGAATTGGGCAGCCCCCAGAATCACAGCTGATTCACAGAGGCTGTAGCATAGCCACGTGGTGAAAGAAGATTTATAGAAAAAAAAAAAAGTACAGACATTGGCAACGAGGTACGGAAACAGCTGGATTGGTTACAGGTTGGCGTTTGCCTTATTTGAACACAGTGTGAACACTTAGCAGTCTACGAGTGGTTGAAGTATGGCTGCAGGGATTGGCCAAGACTCAGTTATTGTTACAGGTGCCAACTCCTGAATTAGGTTTCCCATCTCGCCTGACTATTAAGATAGGTTAGAGTTCATCCATAAGGACTCCAATATAGAAGTACGGAGTCCTTCTAGGGCCATATTTAGTTTGCTTTAACAACTTGGAGGACATTGTAAAGTTATTAGTTGGCCTAATTTCAATATTGCTGTGTCCCTGGGAATGGGGAGGCCCAAAGAAAGAGAGAGATGGGGAGCAGCTGGTCAGAGGAGCAGTCAGAACACGCATCAGTTCATTTCTCTACCTTGTAGGGTTTGTACTGCTCCAAAACAACTGCAACAGTAACATCTAAGATCACTCATCACAGATCACCATAACACATATAATCATAATGAAAAAGTTTGAAATACTGTGATGGTTACCAAAACGTGACCCAGAGATATGAAGTGAGCATGTGCTGTTGAAAAAACAGTGCCTAGAGCGTTGCTTGAGGCGGGATTGCCACAAACCTGCCATTCGTAAGGACAGTATATGCGAAGCTCAGTAAAGCCAAGTGCAATGACACGATCTGTGCTTGTACCACACAGTGGGTGGCTTGAAACAACAGACATGTGTTCTCTCACAGTCCTGGAGGTTAGAAGTCCAAAATCCAGGGGTCAGCAGGGCCCTGCTCTGTCTGTGACTCTAGGAGAATCCTTCTCTGCCTCTTCTGGGCTCCTGCTTGTGGCCAGCAATCTCTGTTACTCTGGCTGGTAGCTGTGTCACTCCAGTCCTGCCTGGGTTGCCAGATGGAGCTCTCCCTGTGTGCTTCTCTGTTTCTCTATTATAGGGACACTAGTCATATTGGAATAGAGGCCCATCCTGCTCTGGTGTGATCTCAACTTTCATTTATTTATTTATTTGCTTGTTTCTTTTCTTTTTTTTTTTTTGAGACGGAATTTCATTCCTGTTGCCCAGGCTGGAGTGCAATGGTGCCATCTCAGCTCACTGCAACCTCCACCTCTCGAGTTCAAGCGATTCTCCTGCCTCAGCCTCTCAAGTAGCTGGGACTATAGGGGCACGCTACCACACCTGGCTAATTTTTATATTTGAGTAGAGATGGGGTTTCGCCATGTTGGCCAGGCTGGTTTTGAACTCCTGACCTCAGGTGATCTGCTCGCCTCGCCCTCCCAAAGTGTTGGGATTACAGGTGTGAACCACCGTGCCCGGCCAGTTTCTTTGTTTTTGAGATAGGGTCTCACTCTGTCACCCAGGCTGGAGTGCAGTGGCACAATCATAGCTCATTGCAGCTTCAAACTCTTGGAGTCAGGCGATCCTCCTGCCTTGGCCTCTCCAGTAGCTGGGACTATGGGCATAAGCCACAATGCCCAGATAATTTTTTTTTTTTTTTTTTTTTTTGTAGAGGTGTGTCTTGCTATGTCGCCCAGGTTGGTCTTGAATTCCCGACTTCAAGCAATTGTCCTGCCTCTGCCTCCCAAAACACTGGGATTACAGGCATGAGTTGATTTACATCTTAATTACATCTGCAAAGTCTCTATTTCCAAATACTGTGTCAGTTACAGGTATGAAGACTTAGAATTTCAACTTGTCTTTTTGGAGGGCATGATTCAACCCACAGCAGATCACGAGGGGAAGGGGAGTCAGTGTGACTCTGCAGAAGATAGTGGTGTCAGCCCTTGAGGTCAGGAGTACACAGGGAGCCGGCTAGGGGGAAATGATGGGTTCCAGGTGGGGCATGTTGAGTCTGAGCTGCCGGTCCATGGAGCTTCTAGGGACAGAAGTCTAGGAGGTGGTCAGATGCATGGTCTAGAGTTCAGGGGAAAGTCAGGCTGGAGGTGTATGTTCCAAGTTCTTTGCATCTGGGTGGGTGGTAGTTAAAAATCAAAGGTGAGAAGCAGCCAGTGTAGCTGGGGAGTGCAGGAGGTCTCGAGGAGACAGAAAAACATCCCGGGGGCTGGGGGCAGCACCTGTAATCCCAGTAGTTTGTGAGGCGGAGGTGGGAGGATCGCTTGAGGGCAGGAGTTTGAAACCAGCCTGGCAACATAGCGAGACCCCGTCTCTACAAAAAAATTTTAAAAATAGCTGGGCGTGGTGGCACATAACTGTGGTCCCACCCACTTGGGAGGTTGGGGCAGGAGGATCGCTTGAGCCCAGGAGTTTCAGGCTGCAGTGAGCCATAATTGCACCACTGCCCTCCAGCCCAGGGCACAGAGTGAGACTCTGACTCAAAAACAAAACAACAGAAAACCCATAAAATTGTCCTGGAGGGAATCGCTAAGAACACCTGGAGAAAAACTGAACTCTGGCCACCAGGGGGCGCTCTGCACCAGCCCATTGGAACAATTTCCATAGGCAGCAGGTGGATAAACTTGATCAGTGAATTTAAGTTTTCTCTGTGCTCTTTTCCTGCAGCAATAGGCTTCTATGTACAAAAAGTACAATTGCAGGATTGGGTTACTGACTTGAGTGTATTTACAGAGTTATAGAAAAAGGCTGCTCAAATCTCTTTGAGGAGAATCAGTGATCTTGAGATTAGAATGGTTAAGAAAAGTTGGTTGTGGAGTTGGGAAGAGGAGATATATTTAGGCTACTCCAGGAAGAAACTCTTAGGGGGCGTATGAGCAGACAGATGACTGTTTCACTTCTCTGGAGAAATGTAAGACTCTAGATGCATTTTTTGGATTTCTAACAAGATGGTGAATGAACACAGACAACTGTCTTCCTCCAACATTTGGAGAAGTCACAGAAGGAAGAAGTGTTTTATGGATTTCAGAGTCTAATATAAAAAGAGGAGTCAGAGGAGTCAGAGGGTGGTTGGGCCCCACAGGGGAGGGAAAGGCAGCCACAGAGATTAGGGTGGGGGCCAGGGCTATTGGCCCCCCTACAGGTTAGCTAAAAAATTACTGTCACAAGGCTGATTGAGTTATCGGAGAAAGGCATACAAATTTATTTAATGTGTATACACGAGAGCCTTCAGTATGAAGATCCAGCTTCCCAATAGGTGGCAGAAGCTAATCTGCCATCTTGAAATTACAGAAAGAATCCAGACTCAGAATATGTCCAAAATAGGTTTTAGTGGCAAGACAGTTTATGGGAAGAAGAAAGGAAGAGGCTTGGCTCCAAAGGTGGCCTTGTTATGTAGATGAAGTCTCCCTCAGAGTGACTAGATAGTAAGTTTCTTTTCAAAGGTTTAAAGGTGTCAGATTCTCAATCACTCCTAGATCTAAAAAAGGCATAGAAAGGGGGACATGTGGCTATGTTAATGAAGATTCTCTACAGATGCAAATTTTCCCCACAAAGACAGCTTTGCAAGGCCAACTCTATTTGCTGGCTCTGCAGCAGCTATTTCAAGTTATGCCAAAGAAATATATTTTGGGGTAAAATATTTTTATTTTCTTCATTAGGTTGGGGTTGAGATCTTTGCTCATTTCCTTTCTCTTCCCATATTGCTTTCAGCATATTGCTCACCTCCTAGGAACTACCGCAGGGTAGAAAACAGCAGGGCCAGCCATCCCCTCATGACAACTAGAATGACAACTACAAGGATGAAGATGGTGGGGCCATGTCAACCTGTGACTCAGCCTGTGAGCCATCAACAGAGAATAAAACCCCCAACCTTATTCCCTGTTGATGGCTCGGAACTATGGTGGACTGCTGTGTGAGAGAGAAATAAGCTTCTATTGTGTTAAGTCACTTAATACATGTTTGAGTCTATCTGTTACACAGCTCAGCCTGTGCTAACCAATGCAAAACTCTAAGTTGTAAATCAAAATTAAGAATTTCTATTTAACGAAGAACTTACAGGCAGAGTTAACAGATTAAAAAATATATTTTTAACATTAAAAACAAACAAGGGATTAATAGTTATTCTAGGTAAGAAATTCCTTTCTAAATGGCATTTTTTTGTCAGAAAAAAAAGAATTTTACATAAGGTTGGAAAGAAATCCAACTAAAGCCTCCTAGAAATCCATTTGAGAAGTGGGCAAATGATAAGAATTCATTGAGGCAGAAATGCAAATGGCTAATGTGAACATGAAGAACTGCTCAACATCCCTAGTGATCACAGAATTTATAACATGAGTGAGATACTATTCACACCAATCAGATTTGGCAGATTTAGAAAGGTAGATAAAGCCAAGTGTTGGTGAGGATAGAGGAACTGGCAATTGATATGTATCCACTGTTGATGGGAGGATATCTTGATGCAGTGTTCAGGGGAGCACCCTGGTAGGAGTTACTGGAATTAAGAATGGGTAGACTGCATGCCCATCAACCCCACTGTATCTCTACAAGGGAGATCCATGTAACAATGTCATCATGGCATTGGTAGTTGAAGTGGGGAGGTAGAGAGAGCCAAATCCCCCTGTTATTAGAAAGGGGTCCTGATCCAGACCCCAAGAGAGGGTTGTTGGATCTTGCACAAGAAGGAAATCAAGGTGAATCCATACAGTAAAATGAAAGCAAGTTTATTAAGAAAGTAAAGGGATAAAGAATGGCTACTCCATAGGCAGAGCAGCCCCAAGGGCTGCTGGTTAACTATATTTAATGTTATCATTCTTTCTTGATTATACGCTAAACAAGGGGTGGTTTATTCATGAGTTTTCCTGGAAAGGGGTGGGCAGTTCCTGTAACTGAGGGTTCCTTCCCTTTTTAGACCATATAGGGTAACTTCTTGGTGTTGCCATGGCATTTGCAAACAGTCATGGCACTGCTGGGACTGTCTTTTGCGTGCTCATGCATTTTAATTAGCATATAATGAGCAATGAGGACAATCAGAGGTGACCTTAGTCGCCATGTTGGTTTTGACAGGATTTGGCTGGCTTCTTTACTGCAACTGTTTTATCAACAAGGTCTTTGCGACCTGTATCGTGTGCTGACCTCCCATCTCATCCTGTGACTTAGAATGCCTTAATTTCCCTGGAATGCAGCCCAGTAAGCTTCAGTCTTATTTACCCAGCTCTTATTCAAGATGGAGTAGCTCTGTTTCAAACAGCTCTGACACTCCTGACACAGGATTAATATATAGCACAGAACAATAAACCACGCTAAACGACAAGCAGCATTGAGTGAAACAGCACAACAAACAGAAGGAGATACTTACATAAACTGAAGATAAATGCATACACAAAACAGCAACACACACACACACACACACACACACACACACACACACACACACACACACAGAGGAACATATATCCAAAGATACATTAAACCCATCAGGATGGATGCTTCTGGTGGTGGGGTCTGGAGAGTGGGAGGGGAGTGAAGAGAGGCCACTGTCAGGCCTCTGAGCCCAAGCTAAGCCATCATATCCCCTGTGACCTGCACGTCTACATCCAGATCTCCTAAAGCAACTGAAGATCCACAAAAGAAGTGAAAATAGCCTTAACTGATGACATTCCACCATTGTGATTTGTTTCTTCCCCACCCTAACTGATCAATATACTTTGTAATCTCCCCCACCCTTAAGAAGGTTCTTTGTAATTCTCCCCACCCTTGAGAATGTACTTTGTGAGATCCATCCCCTGCCCGCAAAACATTGCTCCTAACTCCACTGCCTGTCCCAAAACCTATAAGAAGTAATGATAACCCACCACCCTTTGCTGACTCTCTTTTCGGACTCAGCCAGCCTGCACCCAGGTGAAATAAACAGCCTTGTTGCTCACACAAAGCCTGTTTGGTGATCTCTTCACACGGACTCGTGAGACAGCTACTATGTTACGTCAGAATGATTGCAAGCTGAGTGTTAGGATTGGCTTAACTTTCTGCACCCAATATCCTAAGGGAGGAAAAAACCGGACCCTCTAAGGGGAAATATTATCTGTAGGGCCTGATCCCATCATTGGACCCTTCACCCAACGCTGCTGAGTGAGTAGAGGGTTTATTTCATCCTTCCAATTTAGTGATTCAGTAGAGATTTCAAGACTCAAAGCTTAATTAACTCCATTTTAATTGAAGTCATCTTCTCAGTCATGGTGTCTGCACGCAGGACAATTCAGCTTGGCCTCCAAGTGCTTCAGTACAAGGCCCAATTTCTGGCTCAGCCATTAACCAGCCCCAAGTCAGGATAATCAGACAAGTCTTCAATTTGTGGGGATTTTATGGTTGGAATCAGGGTACTTTGACCTCTGGAAGGACAGACCTCTGAGGTGCAAGGATGTTTAATGGTTGCACAGAGAAGACAATCCTACAGAAAAGGCAGTAGTTGGGGCAGTGATTAGGACTCATTTTGGGGTGAGGGTGACAAGCACAGCGATCAACTAGCCTCACAGTCAGCTGTCTGCCTTTCCCGGATGGGTAACTGTCCCTTAATGGGAACTTCTTGTCTTCCAAGGAAGGCTAAGATAGGCAACTTGCTACAGTTTGCCTTAACATCAAAGCATGTCAAAAGGAGAACAATCCCAGTTTAAGAATCAGCCTGGGAGAAGGCAAGGAAGAATTTATAGTTTAGGACAAATTCAAGGACTGTAAATCATCTAATGTGAATATAGCACAGGGAGGTAGTTGGAGACAAGCTTGTCAAATAGGCTGAAGCCAGATTAGACAGGATTTTGGACTTTTTTTCTAGTAGTAGAGAGCCATGCTACTGAACTCTTTCTGAGAGAGGGATATTAGCTCACATGCTTTGGAAGGACAACTGACCACTCCAATCCTGGCTTCCCTTTGTTGTCATGGACTACAGGCCAGAATTCTATTTGGGAGTTGTGGCAGATTGTATTTTCCATAAATAGCTGCACCAATGCTTCCTGTCCATATGTTCTTCTCATTTTGATATTCCTCCTATCAAGAGTTGGGGTCTCCATTCTCTGTCCTTGAATCTGGACACTCTTATGACTATGGCAGAACTGATGCTATGTGACTTCCAAGGCTAGGTGGTAAAAGGTGATACAGATACACCCAGCTGCCATGATGTGAGGAAGCCCAAGCAAACACGAGGAGAGGCCACATATAGTTTTTCCAACTGATATCTCAACAAGGCCTCAGTCAACAGGCATCATCAGCTGCCAGAAATGTGGGTGAACAAGCCCTCATATGATTCCAGTCCCCTTCCACTGGGTCACCCTTAATCTTCAAGCTGAAGTCTCAGACGACATGGAGTAGAGACAAGACAGTCCCACTGTGCCCTGTCCAAAGTCCTGCCCCACAGAGTATGGGAGCAGAATAAAATAGTTGTTGTTTAATGCCACTAAATTTGGAGTTGATTGTTATGCAGGAATAGATAGCGAGAAGCCTGGGCATGGTGGCTCACACCTGTAATCCCAGCACTTTGGGAGGCTGAGGCAGGAGGATCCCTTGAGCTCAGGAGTTCGAGACCAGCCTGGGCAACATGGTGAAACCCTGTCTCTATCCAAAAATACAGAAAAAATAGCCAGGTGTGGTAGTGCACACCTGTAGTCCCAGCTACTTGGGAGGCTGAGCTGGGAGCATTGCTTGAGCTGGGGAGGTTGAGGTGGCAGTGAGCCAAGATTGCGTCAATGTTCTCCAAGCTGTGTGACAGAGTGAGACTCTGTCTCAAAATAAATAAATAAATAAATAAAAATAAAAACTAAAAGAAGAGATAGCTAGAACAGAAGCCTATTGCAATAACAAAAGTAGACAAAAAAGGCACAGATAGTCTTGAGGAAAAGCAGGATACTGAGACCTTGTTGGAGTAAATCTGACTAATTGGAGATGGGGAAGGGGTTTCTAAGATGAACAAATGACTGGCACAAGTGATCTGCCATTGATTGAAATAAAAAACTGGAAAGGGGAGCAGAAAAGAGAGTCCTTTTGCATTTGAATATGTTGATTGTAAATTGGCTGGATATTTCTATGGGCAGATAGGGAGGTTTGGGAAATGATGGAGTTTGGAGGCTCTTCAGCCTCTCAGTGTCTTTAGAGCCCTGGAAAAGACTAGCTCACCCAGAGGAGGAGCATCAAAGTTTGGAAAAAGAGAAGAGAATTCAGAAGAGGTCTTTGGGGAGAGTGACCACACCAACAACTCTATCTATTAGAGTTGGTTTTCTTTGGTTATCCATTCCTGCAAAACAATCAACTCCAAATTTCAATAATAATAATTTATTTTGCTCCCAGGCTCTGTGGGGTAGGACTTTGGGCAGGGCACAGTGAGATTGGCTTGTCTCTGCTCCATGGTATCTGAGACTTCAGCCTAAAGACTAAGGGTGACCTAATGGCAGAGGACTGGAATCATCTGAGGGCTTGTTTACCCACATGACTGGCAGTTGATGATACTTGTTGATTGAAATCTTTTTGAGCTATCAGTTGGAAAAACTATATGTGGCCTTTCCTCATGTTCACTCGGGCTTCCTCACATCATGGCAGCTGGGTGCCAGGAGCAAGCATTCCAAGTGAACCAGGTAGAACTGTATCACCTTTTATCACCTAGCCTTGGAAGTCACATAGCATCACTTCTGCCATAGTCATAAGAGTCTCTAGATTCAAGGAGAGAGAATACAGATACCAACTCTTGATAGGAGGAATGTCAAAGTGAGAAGAACATATGGATGGGAAACATTGGTGCAGCTATTTATGGAAAATACAATCTGCCACAATTCCCAAATAGAATTCCAGCCTGTAGTCTCTGACAGCAAAGGGAAACCAGAATTGGAGTGGTCAGTTGTCCTCCTGAAGTATATGAGCTAATGTCCTTCTCTCAGAAAGAGTTCAGAGTTCAGGGAGCAGGGAGAAGAGAAGGAGGAACCAGTAAAATAATGAGAGTAGGTCGATGGAAAACCAAGAGAGCATCCACAGTGTCTATGATGCACAGAGAGCTGGTGGGGGAAAGTAGGAAGAAGCAGTAGACAACAGAGCATCAGTTTGGCTTCAAGTTATTCAACATCCTCTCAGATTTAAATCATAAAAATTGATTGCTTGCTGGGCATGGTGGCATGTGCCTGTAATCCCAGTTACTTGGGAGGCTTAGGGGAGAGGATGGCTTGATGCCAGGAGTTCAAGACCAGCCTGGGCAACCTAGCAAGACCCCGTCCCTAAAAAGATAATAATAAAATAAATGGATTTCTGCCATTATCATTGTTTAGTACCAGCTGTATGCTAGAGACTGGGCTAAGTGTGCTACATGTGTTATTCTGCATACTCTTTATTCTTCTAACATATTTTGCATATTTTATGTTATCCTCATAACAGCCCTGTGAGGCTGGGGGTTCTGACTGGTGAGGAATCCAAGGTCCCAAGGTTACATACCAAGTTAGTGCTGGAGCTGGGATTTGAACCTGGCTCTAGTTGGCACCAAAGCTCTTCTATGTCTCTCTTCTCGTCTACTTATATTTCTCTCTTCTTGCTACAGATATTTACTTCTGTATTCTTCTAAGAGGTTTATGGTTTCCCCTTATAAATCTAGTTCTTTCATCTATTTGGAGTTAATTCCTGTGAATGATGTGAGATAGGGGTCTAGCTTCATTCTTTTGTTTGTGGACATCCAGTTGTCCCAGCTTCATTTATTTGTATTAAGGCTTTTAATCTTCTCATCCACTTCCCTCCCTCCCCACTCCAGCCCTTGGCAACCACGAATCCGCTTTCTGTCTCCATGGATTTTTCCATTTTGGACATTTTATATAAATGAAATCCCACAATATGTGCTCTTTTGTGACTGGCTTCTTTCACTTGGCATGATGTTTTTGAGGTTCGTTCAGGTTGTTGCATGGGTCCGTACTTTATTCCTTTTCATGGCTGAATAATATTCCATTATGTGGATAGTCTATTATACATTTTGTTTATCCACTTAACTGTTGATGGGCATTTGGGTTGTCTCCACTTTTTGGCTATTGTGAGTGGTGGTGCTGTGAACATTTGTGTACAAGTTTTGGTGTGAACATCTCTTTCAATTTTCTTGGGTACCTAGGAGTGAGATTGCTGGGTCATATGGTAAACTCTATGGTTAACTGTTTGAGAACTGCCAAGCTGTTTTTCCAAAGCAGCTGCATCATTTAACATTCCCTCAAGCCATGTAGGAGGGTTTGAATTTATCTGCATCCTTGCCAATGCATCTTATTGTCTGTCTTTTTTATTAGAATCATCCTGGTGGATATAAAGTGTATCACTGTGGTTTGATTTGCATTTCCCTAATGACTAATGATGCTGAGCATCTTTTCATGTACTTATTGGCCATTTGTATATATTCTTTGGAAAAATATCTATTCAGATCTTTTGCTTATTTTAAAATTGGGTTAATTGTCTTTTTATTGTCAAGTTGTAAAAATTCATTATATACCAGATGCAAACCTCTTATCAGACATATGATTTGCAATTATTTTCTTCTATTCTGTGGGTCATCTTTGCATTTTCTTGATGGTATCATTTGAAGCACAATATTTTAAAATTTCAGTAAAGTCCAATTTGTCTGTTTTTTCATTTGTCACTTGTACTTGTGTAGACACATCTAAGGAGGTTTTGCTTAACTCGAGGTCATGAAGATTTGCTTCTGTATCCTTCTAAAAGTTTTATGGCTTCCATTCTTAAATTGAGCTCTTTCATCCACTTGGAGTCAATTTCTGTGAATGGTGTGAGGTAGGATCCAACTTCATTCTTTTGTTTGTGGACATCCAATTGTCCCAGTATCATTTGTTTGTATTAATGCTTTTCATCTTCATATCCATTTTATGTAGAGGTGCATTATTATCCCATTATATAGATGGGTAAACAGAGATGCATAGCAGTTAAACAACTTCTGCAGTATCATCCCAGCTGGTCAGTGGCAGAGACTGGATTTGAGTCAGGCAGTTTGTATCTGAGCCTGTGTTATATGGCCTCACAACATGCCTCCTTATCTTTTGTTAATTTTTTTTTTTTATGTTTTAGTTTTAGAGACAGGGTCTTGCTCTTTCACTCAGGCTGGAGTGCAGTGGCACAATTATAGCTTACTGTGCCTCAAATCCCTGGGCTCAAGCGATCCTCCAGCCTCAGCCTCCTGAGTAGTTGGGACTATAAGCACGTGTCACAACATCTGGGTAATTTAAAATATTTTTTTGTAGAAATGAGTTCTTGGTATGTTGCCTGGGATGGTCTCAAACTGCTGGGCTCAAATAATCCTCCTACCCTAACCTCCCAAGTAGCTAGGGCTACAGGTGTGCACCACCACCTCCAGCTAGTTTTTTAATTTTTTGTAGAGATAGGGTCTTGCTATGTTGCCCAGGCCTCAATCTTGAATTCTGGCCTCAGGTGAGCCTTACCACTTGGCCTTCCAAAGTGCTGGGATTACAGGCATGAGCCTCCACATCTGGCCCAACATGCCTTTTTGAATACAGGTACTGGAGGTTGAAAGTAGAGAAGGTGATCTTGTGCCATCCTGCATTGCTGTAGGACTGCAGAAGTGATGGCTACAGCTTCATCCTTTGAGACCTGGAGTGCCAGGACACCCAGGCTCCCTGCAGCAACAGTGTGTGAGAAATGGCCACAGCCTGACACCCGAGGCCATTGGTGTAGGAGGCATGTCCACCATGAAAGTATTGGGCTGGTTTCTGCTCACAAGCAGCTCTGCAGCTTGAGGGGTGAGGGGACAAAGTGGCTGTATTAGGGCCTGGGGTTGCTTTGGAGGCCCAGGGCCCCATGGAATATCCCCAAACATGGGGAGAAAGGAGACACTCCCCAGAAACAAGGTGCCCAGACAGTGAGGGGAGCAAATGAGGAGTGGTGTCATTTAGAGCAAAGGAAGAGATAAAATAAATGCACCCTGTGCCTTCATCTGTTTGTCAGCCCTAGCAGAATCCCTTAGACTGGGTAGTTTATAAACTATAGATACTTATTGCTCATGGTTCTGGAGGCTGGGAAGTCCAAGATCAAGTCCAGATCATGCCCAAGATCAAGGTGCTTGCAGATTCTGTGTCTGGTGAGGGCCCACTTTGCAGTTCTGAGATGATGCTTTCTTGCTGTGTCCTTACATGGTGGAAGGGACACAAGCTCCCTCAGGCCTCTTTTACTTTTCAAAAATTTTTATTTAGGTTGGTGCAAATGTGATTGCAGTGTTTGCAATTACTTTTAATGGCAAAAACCACAATTACATGTGCAGCAACCTAATAATTTTAATTTTTATAGGTACATAGATGGTGTATATATTTATGGCATACATGAGATATTTTGATTCAGGCACACAATGTGAACTAATCATATCAGAGTAAATGGTGTATCCCTTACCTCAAGCATTTAGCATTCTTTTTGTTACAGATGTTTGAATTATATTCATAGTTATTCTAAAATGTAAAATAAATTATTGTTGTCTGTAGTCACCCTGTTGTGCTATCAAATACTAGATTTTTTTTTCTTTTTTAAGATGGTATCTCTCTCTGTTGACCAGACTGGAGTGCAGTGGCACGATTTCAGCTCACTGCAACCTCTGCATCCTGGGTTCAAGTGATTCTCCTTCCTTAGCCTCCAGAGTAGCTGGGATTACAGCGACCCACCACCATGGCCTGGCTAATTTTTGTATTTTTAGTAGAGACAGGGTTTTGCCATGTTGACCAGGCTGCCAGGCTGGTCTTGATCTCCTGACCTTAGGAGATTCACCTGCCGCAGCCTCCCAAACTGCTGGGATTACAGGTATGAGCCACTGTGCCCGGCCAAGATCTTATTTATTCTATCTAACCATATTTTTATAACCATTTACCATTCCCCTCCGGACTACCCTTCCCAGCCTCTGGTAGCCATCATTCTACTCTCTATCTCCATGAGTTCAATTGTTCTAATTTTTAGCTTCCACAAATAAGTGAGAACATGTGACATTTGTCTTTCTGTGCCTGGCTCATTTTACTTAACACAAAGTCCTCCCGTTCCACCCATGTTGTTGCAAATGACAGGATCTCATTATTTTTTGGGCTGAATAATACTCCATTGTGTTTAAGCACCACGTTTTCTTTATCCATTCGTCTGTTGATGGACACTTGGATTGCTTCCAAATCTCGGCTACTGTGAACAGTGCTGCAACAGACATGGGAGTGCAGATGTCTCTTTCATATAGTGATTTCCTCTGGTAGGTATACACCCAGGAGTGGGATTGCTGGATCACATGGAGGTTCTGTTATTTTCAGTTTTCTGAGGAACCTCCATTCTGTTCCCCATCGTGGTTGTACTAATTCACATTCTCACCAACAGTGTACCAGGGTTCCCTCTTCTCCTCATCCTCGCCAGCATTCATTATTGCCTGCCTTTGGGAGCTTGGGTCTCTTTTAGAATGGCACTAATCCCATGCACAAGGGTTCCACTTTCATCAACTAATCATCTCCTAAAGACTCAATTTTTTTTTTTTTTTTTGAGACAGATTCTCACTCTGTAACCCAGGCTGGAGTGCGATGGTGCAATCTCAGCTCACTGCAACCTCTGCCTCCCGAGTTCAAACGATTCTCCTGCCTCAGCCTACCAAGTAGCTGGGATCACAGGTGCGTGCCACCACACCCAGCTAATTTTTGTATTTTTAGTGGAGACAGGGGGTCACCATGTTGGCCAGGCTGGTCTTGAACACCTGACCTCAGGTGATCTGCCTGCCTCGTCCTCCCAAAGTGCTGGGATTACATATGTGAGCCACTGCACTTGGCCAAGACTCTACCTCTGATAGGGATAAGGTTTGAACATACAAATCTGGGGAGATGCAAACATCCAGGCCATGACACCCTGTGGTTCAGGAGATGGAGACCTGGGCAGTGGCCCCAGCAGAGGCACTTGGCTTGACCCTCCCTGGCTTTGCTGTCCTTATTAGGCTGTTACAAAACTGTTTCCAGGGGGCAGGAGAAGGATGGGTTATGTGGGTCCACTTCATGTGCACCTGCTTGGGTGATGTTTTCCTCCCATCTTTTGTCATCAATAACCAGCTGGAGTAGAGCGCTGTGGGCTGCAAGCTGTCACTGGCTGTGGGCTGGAGGCTAACAGAATGCCATTTCCCGGTGAGCAGACCCCTGGTGTTTGGTGCCCCAGGGCAGCCAGAGGCCAGTGCACGAAGGAAAGGGCAAGGGGTCCTAGGAGCCTCACCCCTCCTGGCAAGGGTTCAATGCTGTGGCTTCCCTAGAATATCTGGCCCTGGACACTTGCTCCACCCTTTACCAGCTTTGCACCCCGCTTTGTGCCTCTGTTTCGTTACTTCTTCTGCAAAATGGGAAAAATAATTGTAAAAAATAAAAATATTGTACCATGTAGTATTGTTGTTTGGATTAAATTAGGTAATACACACAAAGCTCTCGAAAAAGTGCTGGACATGGTGCACCTGTGCAATACGTGTTAGCTGTTATTGCTGATATAATTTTTTTTTTTTTTTTTTGAGACAGGATCTCACTCTGTCACCCAGGCTGGAGCGCAGTGATACAATCTCTGCTCACTGCAACCTCTGCTCCCCTTGACCCCAGGTCTCAAGTGATCCTCCCACCTCAGCCTTCTGAGTAGCTGGGACCACAGGCATGCGCCACCATGCTTGGCTAATTGTTTTGTGTTTTTACAATACAAAAATAAAATTTAGCGACAGGTTTTGCCATGTTGACCATGCTGGTCTTGAATTCCTGAGCTCAAGTGATCCGCCCTGCCTCAGCCTCCCAAAGTGCTGGGATTACAGACACGAGCCACTGCACCCGGCCACTGATATAATTCATAATAATAGGCTTCTTAGCCCAGGCATGAAGGGGCTTGAAGATGACCAGCTCAGCATTCCTGCTGGAAAATTCCAAACTCTTGCTGCCCGCCTAGTCTCGGGAGCACCAAGCAATCTCATCTTCCACATGCAGATGGTTTGCTGTTTTCCAAATTTGTCCACAGATTTCTTCCCCTGTGGAGTTCTCAGCCCTATTTGGCGTGGGAATGTAGTTGCCCAGTGGATTTTGCAGGCACCAGGCCCTGCACAGTGGCTGCAGGGAATCTAATGACCTGAACTCTCAGGTGTCCTAGCCTGGCTCAGTGAGCTGTCTGCTCTTGCAGTCCCATATCTGTGGCTTTGACAGGAGAAACTTATATGAAGATTCCTCATCCAGTCTCAAGACTGGACCTAAAGTAGTCCAAGAGATCTCCAAAATACCCCTCCCAGCTCCTTCCCAGGACCCTTGGAGGCTCTCACCTGGTGCATTTCATTTTTTTTCTTTTTTGGAGACAAAGTTTCACTCTTGCCCAGGCTGTGTGGTGGTGTGATCTTGGCTCACTGCAACCTCTGCCTCCCGGCTCCAAGTGATTCCCCTGCCTCAGCCTCCTGAGTAGCTGGGACCACAGACACATGCCACCACACACAGCTAATTTTTTTTTTTTTAATTTTTAGTAGAGATGGGCTCTCGCCATGTTCGCCAGGCTGGTCTTGAACTCCTGGCCCCAAATGATCCACCCACCTCAACCTCCCAAAGTGCTGGGATTACAGGTGTGAGCCACCACACCTGGCCTGTACTACATTTCTTCTCATGGCCATTTCAATTAAAATTGAGCCTTTACAATTTCCCATCTGTTTCGGGTTGATTTTACGAAACACACCTTATTCGTTTCTAGCTTTCTTGCATTGTTGTCAGAGAAAGAAGCCTGCACCATTGTTTTTTTTTTCCCTCTCTCCAACTTTTATTTTAAGTTCTGGGGTTCACGTGCAGGATGTGCAGGTTTGTTACATAGGTAAACATGGGCCATGGTTGTTTGCTGCACAGATCATCTCACCAACTAGGAATTCAGCTCAGCATCCATTAGCTATTCTTCCTGATGCTCTCCCTCCTCCCACCAGCGCCCTCCGACAGGTCCCAGTGTGTGTTGTAACCTCCCTGTGTCCGTGCATTCTCATCATTCAGCTCCCACTTGTAAGTGAGAACATGTGGTGTTTGGTTTTCTGTTCCTGCATTAGTTTGCTGAGGATAACGGCTTCCACCTCCTTGTGTTGAGATGATCACAGGGAAATCATCCTGCCGTCTAGGCCACTCCTCCTCCCCAGATGCTTCCCAGTGGTGCAGTGGCCTCATCAGCCTTCTCTAGCTCCCTCCCCTCCATCCATCCAGGAAGTCACATAGAAATTGAGAAGCAGGGTCAGGCATGGGTGCCGTGGCTCACGCCTGTAATCCCAGCACTTTGGGAGGCCAAGGCGGGCAGACCACTTAAGGTCAGGAGTTCAAGACCAGCCTGTTCAACATAGTGAAACCCCGTCTCTACTAAAAATACAAAACTCAGCCGGGAGTGGTGGCGGGCGCCTGTAATCCCAGCTACTCGGGAGGCTGAGGCAGGAGAACCGCTTGAACTTGGGAGGTGGAGGTTGCAGTGAGCCAAGATTGTGCCACTGCACTGCAGCCTGGGAGACACAGCAAGACTTCGTCTCAAAAAAAAAAAAAAAAAAAAAGAAAAAGACATTGAGAAGCAGGATAGCAGTGAAGGTGGCTGATGGGAAGTCAGGAAGACTGAGCCTTGGCTTGGCTAAGCACTTTCGGATTGGAAAGCTCTAGATGCAAATCCCAGGTCTCACACCACTCACTGTGTGACTCTGGGCACCCCACACCACTTCTCTGAGCCTGTTTTCCCATCTGTACAATGAAGGTAATACTGCATGCCCTAGAGGCTCATGTAGGTATACAATGACAAGGGCTCAGTGTCTGACACATAGCATGTGCCCGGGTACTGCGAGCTGCCAGGTAATAGGATGCTGTTATTAGTTTTTTTTTAAAATGTAAAAAAACACCCCAAAACACTATAACACCTACTGTGCTCAATGAGTTAAACAGAATTATCGTGTGACCCAGCAATCACTCCTCTGGGTATAGACTTTCCCTAAAATTGAAAGTTGGTAATTGGGCTGGGTGCAGTGGCTCACGCTTGTAATCCCAGCACTTTGGGAGGCTGAGGTGGAAGGATTGCTTCAGCCCAGGAGTTCAAGCACAGCCTGGGCAACATAGCGAGACCCCATTTCTGCAAACAATTAAACAATTAGCTAACTGTCATTGTGTCTACCTGTAATCCCTCCTACAGGTACTGGGAGCTCAGGAGGTCAAGGCTGCCAGGAGCTATGATTGTGCCACTGCACTCCAGCCTGGGCAACAGAGTGAGACCCTGTCTCAAAAAAGAAAGAGAGAGAGAGAGAGAGGTGGGGGGGAGGGAGGGAGGGAGAGAGAGAGAGGGGTGGGAGAGAGAGAGAAAGAGAGAGAAAGAAAGAAAGAAGGAAGGAAGGAAGGAAGGAAAGAAAGGAAGGAAGGAAGAAAGAAAGAGAAAAAGAAAAAGAAAAGAGAAAATTCCAGGCCCCGTTCTAGAGCTATGATTGTGTCACTGTCCTTTAACCTCGGCAATAGAGAGTGAGACCCTGTCAAAGAAAGAAGGAAGGAAGGAAGCAAGGGCGGAAAGAAGGAAGGAGGGAATAAAAGAAGGAAGGAAGGAAAGAAAGGAGGGAGGGAGGAAGGGAGGGAGGAAGGGAGGAAGGGAGGGAGGGAGGGAGGAAGGGAGGGAGGAAGGGAGGGAGGGAGGAAGGGAAGGGAGGGAGGGTGGAAGGGAAGGAAGGAAGGGAGGGAGGGAGGAAGGAGGGAGGGAGGAAGGGAGGGAGGGAGGAAGGAAGGAAGGGAGGGAGGAAGGGAGGGAGGGAGGGAGGGAGGGAGGGAAGAAGGAAAAAAAATCCTAGGCCCCATTTCAGAGCTACAGTATCAGTACAACTTTACATTTGACAACTTTACATCTGAAAGGCACTAACCTAGAACAACTTCACTGAAAATCTCCCTAAAATGCAGTTTCTACTAGTGAATGCATTGTGGAATCTCAACTGTCCCCTTCAAGGGTGACCGAGGGCAGCCGATTTTATGCACCTTAACCCCAATATAAACCTCAGAAATGATACAGTCCCAGGTCTCCCAGGTTTGTCTTCCCATAAAAGAACCCTGATTGGGATTGGATGTCTTGGTTTTTTTCTACAATAATAATAATAATGTTTAGATATCTAAATCTCCCTTTTTACAGCTGGAAAATAAAGTTTTGACCCACACCTGCGGAGTGTTTTGAGATGATATAGCAAGAAATGTTGCCCAAAACAATGAAAACTCAACCTCAAATGATTTTATGTGTTTAATTTGTACTACCTCATTTCCCACCAGTGTTCTCACATCTGAAGGCTATTTTCTGGGCTTTGAAAGATGAAAAGTATGGTTAATGAACAGCAAATGTAGTCAAGTGATACCAATGACTTCTAAAATCTCTCAGCTGCCAGGGCAGTCTGGTTTCCAAAGCACTTCCACATATAAAATCCCCGGGAGTCAGAGGCAGCCTCAATTAGCACATTCATTTTCACAGACAAGAGTCTTAGCGTGTTTCAGATTTTGAGAGAGATTATATAGAGGACACAAAGCTGGCAAGTGTCAAAAGTCGTTGGGAGCCCAGAGCTGTCTGACACCAAATTGGATTAAAAAACATGTATCACTTTTGGAGGTCAAGGTGAGAGGATCACTTGAGCCCAGGAATTGAAGGTTACAGGGAGCTATGTCTGCACCATTGTACTCCAGCCTGGGTGACAGAGTGAGACGCTGTCTCAAAAAAAAAAAAAAAAAAAAAAAAAGGGCCAGGCAAGGTGACTCACGCCTGTAATCTCAGCACTTTGGGAGCCTAGGTAGGCAGATCACTGGAGGCCAGAAGTTCGAGACCAGCCTGGGCAACATGGTAAAACCCCATCTCTACTAAAAAAACAAAAATTAGCCAGGTGTGGTGGCGGGCACCTGTAATCCCAGATACTCGGGAGGCTGAGGCATGAGAATCGCTTGTACCTGGAAGTAGAGGCTGCAGTGAGCTGAGATTGTGCCACTGCACTCCAGCCTGGGAGAAGAGAGAGACTCTGTCTCAAACAAAACAAAACAAATCCAAAAAACAAAAAACCAAACAACCAAACCACACCCCAGGTGTTTGAAACAAACAAACAAAAAAAACAAGTAGAAACAACCCAGTCATCCATCAGTGAATGAGTGGATAAACAAAATGTAATACATCCATACAATGGAATAGTATTTATTCTTAAAGGGGAACAAAGTTCTGAGCCATGCTTCAACTCAGAATGAACCTCAGAAACATACTCAGTGGAAGATGCCACACACAAAAGCCACATATATTACAGGATTCCTTTTCTTACTATGAAATGTCCAGAATAGGCAAATCCATGGAGACAGAAAGTGGATTCATGGTTGGCAAGGGTTGGGGGAGAGGGCGTGGCGAGTGTCCACTTATGGGAAGGGGCTTTCCTCTGGGGTTAATGGAAATGTTCTAGAACTAGAGAGTGGTGATTCATAGTGCACGACACTGTGAATATGCTCAATGTCAGTAATGACATATTTTATGAGTATTTTAATATAATTTAAATTTTTATTTTTTATAGAGATGGGGTCTTGCTATATTGTCCTGTCCAGTCTTGTCTGGAACTCCTGGCCTCAAGCAATTCTCCTGCCTCAAACTTCCCAAAGTGCTGGGTTTAAGGTGTAAGGCATCATGCCCAGCCTACCATAATTAAAAAAAGAAAAAGAAATGAGAAACAAAAAGTGTGGGGTCAGAAGGGGTCTCATCCCCCATGCTGATCTGGGCTCTGGCTTTGTTGTAGCCCTGGCCTCCCCTGTATGGGACGAAGGCCTCTCCTCAGCATCTCAGTTACTGGGTGGGGGGATCTGAGTGTGATATTGAGGAAAGACCAGATGAGACACCTCCTAGGCTGAGGGTTCCTGCCACCATCCCAGTGCTCCCAGCACAGAGCCTTTTCTTTGCATTTTCAGGCCCTCCCCTTTGAAATGACAGGAGCTCTGATACATGAGGAAGCTGGAAGCCTGGACTTCACACGAGGCTGCCGAGGGTGGTGGTCAGACGGCTGGAGGTGGTGTCTGGAAGGTGGACTGACTCCTGGATGCAGCTCAAAACTGCATTTTAAATTATTTGTTTATTTATTTATTTAAGACAGGATCTCACTCTGTTACTCAAGCTGGAGTATAGTGGTGTGATTGTAGCTCACCGCAGCCTCGAACTCCTGGCCTCAAGGGATCCTCATGCCCCAGCCTCCCAAAGTGCTGGGATCACAGGTATGAGCCACCACGCCCAGCCAAATTTTATTCTTTATTCAAATTTTGTTCAAATTTTATTCTTAATTCTGATTTATTTTTGTTCATTGTTTTCCTCTTGGTCTTCTGTGTGTAGAAGATCCATTGTTGGGACAATCACAGCCAAAATTACCCCTTGGACTTGTGTCCCTGGTTTGAAGAGAACGTCCTTCATTTGCTAATTCGTTCACCTTGTACCTCTCATGGGGGGCACCTGCCAGGCTCTGGGGCTGCAAGGCAGAGACAAACTACACTTAGCTCCTGCCCTCAGGGCATACAGTCTTGTAAATAAAGTTTTCAGTGGAACTAATAATAATGATGCTATTGCTTGACATCTTCTATGTACCTGGCATTGTGGTAAGCACTTTATGTTCATCAATTTTTTTATGTTAATTAATTTAATCGTTGAACAGCCATCTCAAGTATGTACTATTTTTAATCCCCATTTTACAGATGGGGAAACTGAGGACCAGAGTGTTGCAGTAATGTTCTCGAGTTTATACCACAGGTCGTAAGTGGCAGAGCTGGACTTTGTAGAACTGGAATGCAGGACCTTTTCTTTTTTCTTTTTTCTTTTTTTTTTTTCTATTTTTGAGACGGAGTCTTGCTCTGTCACCTAGGCTGGAGTGCAGTGGCGCAATCTTGGCTTACTGCTGCCTCTGCCTCCCGGGTTAAGTGATTCTCCTGCCTCAGCTTCCTGAGCAGCAGGGATTACAGGCACCCACCACCACACAAGGTAATTTCTGTATTTTTAGTAGAGAAGAGGGTTTTGCCCTATTGGCCAGGCTGGTCTTGAACTCCTGACCTCAGGTGATCTACCTGCCTCGGCCTCCCAAAATGCCGAGATTACAGGAGTGAGCCACCATGCCGGGCCAGAATCCAGGATCTTAATCGCTGCGTTAGACCACCCCACAAAGGGACATTTCTAGCTCTCTGCAGTGAGCACTGGACCTAACAGCGCATCAAGGTATCAGCGCATCAAGACGTAGGTTTCTTCCTATAATACGTGAGGACATTAGCTGACATTCCTACAAGAGCAGGTCCACCATACTCCTGTCTGGTGTTCACCACGTTCCCAAAAGGCTTTCTCTCTCTCTCTGTATTTTTTTTTTTTTTTGACACGGAGTCTCGCTCTGTCGCCCAGGCTGGAGCGCAGTGGCACCATCTCGGCTCACTGTAAGCTCTGCCTCCCGGGTTCACGCCATTCTCCTGCCTCAGCATCCGGAGTAGCTGGGACCACACGCGCCCGCCACCACGCCCGGCTAATTTTTTGTATTTTTAGTAGAGATGGGGTCTCACCATGTTAGCCAGGATGGTCTCGATCTCCTGACATTGTGATCCACCTGCCTCGGCCTCCCAAAGTGCTGGGATTACAGGTGTGAGCCACCGCGCCCGGCCTCTGTCTCTTTTTTAACTACAGAGTTTCTTTTTTTTTTTTTAAACATTTATTTTAAGTTCAGGGGTACAAGTGCAGGTTTGTTATGTTGGTAAACTCCTATCACAGGGGTGTGTTGTACAGATTACTTCATCACCCAGGTATTAAGCCTAGTACCCATTAGTTATTTTTTCTGACACTCTCCTCCCACCCTCCACCCTTTGACAGACCCCAGTGTATGTTGTTCCCCTCTATGTGTCTGCGTGTTCTCATCATTTAGCTCCCACTTATAAGTGAGAATATATGGTATTTGGTTTTCTGTTTCTGTGTTAGTTTGCTAAGGATAATGGCCTCCAGCTCCATCCATGTCCCTGCAAATGACATGATCTCATTCTTTTTTATGGCTGCATAGTATTCCATGGTGTATATGTACCACATTTTCTTCATCCAGTCTACCATTGATGGGCATTTAGGTTGATTCCTTGTGTTTGCTATTGTGAAAGCAAAAACTGACAAATGGGATCTAATTAAACTAAAGAGCTTCTGCACAGGAAAAGAAACTATCAACAAGAGTAAATAGATAACCTACAGAATGGGAGAAAATTTTTGCAAACTATGCATCTGACAAAGGTCTAACGTCCAGGAACTTAAACAAATTTATAAGCAAAACACAAAGGACTCCATAAAAAAGCTGGCAAAGGACATGAACAGAAACTTTTCCAAAGGATACTTACATGGAGCCAACAATCATATGAAAATAAGCTCAACATCAATGAGCATTAGAGAAATGCAAATTAAAACCACCACGGATACGATCTCACACCAGTCAGAATGGCTGTTATTAAAACGTCAAAAAATAACAAATACTGGCAAGGTTGTGAAGTAGAAGGGACATTTATACTCCATTGGTGAAAGTATGAATTAGTTCGACGATTGTGGAAGACAGTGTGGAGATTCCTCAAAGACCTAAAGACAGAAATACTATTTGATCCAGCAGTCCCATTATTGGGTATATACCCAAATGAATATAAATCATTCTATTATAAAGACACATGCACATGTATGGGGGTTTTCTTTTTTTTCTATTTTCATTATTTATTTGTGCCAACTTTTTTTTTTGTTCCTATTTTTATAATTATCTCCAGGGGGGTGAAGACTTGTAGAAGAGTTTCTGAGAAGAAACCACATGACTACTTCATACTGACACACCTTCCAGCGACTTCAGCTTTGTCTTCATGTAATCTTGTCATCTTGGAAGATGAGTATTGATTGGATATATCTGGCAAAGAATTCTGAAAACGTTTCTGGGCAGGGTGTCTTGGCTGATTACAAAATCATCTCATCCCAAATCCCTTCATGCTTCTAGCCTTGGGGAGACCACTGTACCTTCTGCATTAGAAGCTGGACATGTTGGGGTCCATATTTGGAATTTGGATCCCGTGATAATAATAGTGACTGTTACGCACTCTTGGGAATTCAGTAATGATGCCTTTTTTTTTTCCTTTTTTTTCTTAAAGACAGGTTCTTGCCCTATTGCCCAGGCTGGAGTGCAGTGGCACAATCACAGTTCACCGCAGCCTCCAACTCCTGGGCTCAAGTGATCCTCTTACCTCAGCCTCCCGAGTACCTAGGACTACAGGTGGGTGCCACCATGCCCAGCCAATTTGTTTTTAGTTTTTGTAGAGACGGGGTCTCGCTATGTTGCTCAGGCTGGTCTCAAACTCTTGGCTTCAAACAATCTTTTTGCTTTAGCCTCCCAAGGTGACCCACTTTTTTTTTTTTAAATCTAATTTGGTGTCAGACAGCTCTTGGCTCCCAACTAGTTTTGACACTTGCCAGCTTTGTGTCCTTTATATAATCTCTCTAAAAATCTGAAACACTCTAAAACTCTTGTCTGTGAAAATGCATGTGCTAATTGAGGCTACCTCTGACTCTTAGGGATTTTATAAATGCAACTGCTTTGGAAACCAGACTGCTGGAGGCTGAGAGATTTTAGAAGTCGTTGCTGGTATCACACGACTGTGTCTGCTATTCATTAACCATATTTTTCACCTTTCAAAGCCCAGAAACTAGCCTTGAGATGTGAGAACACTGGTAGGAAATGAGAAAATACAAACTAAAAACATAAAATCATTTTGGGTTGAATTTTCATTGTTTGGGGCAATATTTCTTGCTGTGTCATCTTAAAATACTCCACAAGTATGGGTCAAATTGGTTTTTTTTCTTCAGTTCTAAAAAGGGAGATTTAGATGATATCTAAATTTATTATTTTTGTAAAATAAAAAAGCCACCCAACCCCAGCGTTCTTTTGTGAGAAGACAGAATTAGGACATATAAAACTATATATTTCTGAGGTTTATATTGGAGGTAAGATGCACAAAATTTGCTGCCCCGGGTCATCCATGAAGGGGACAGATGATATTCCATGACGGATTCACTAGTAGAAACTGCATTTTGGGGAGCTTTTTCAGTGAAGCTGCTCTAGGTTAGTGCCTTTCAGACGTAATGTTGTCAAATATAAAGTTGTGCATGAATCACCTGGAGATCTTACTGAAAGGCAGATTCTGATCCTGTATTGAGACAGCATCTCTCTCTTTCACCAAGGCTGGAGTGCAGTGGTGCAATCATGGCTCACTACAACCTCGAGCTCCTGGTCTCAAGCTATCCTCCAGCCTCTGCCCCGCTGAATAACTGGGACTGCGGTCATGCACCACCAAACCTGGCTAATTTTTAAATTTTTTGTAGAGACAAGGTCTTGCTATGTTGCCCAGGCTGGTCTTGAACTCCTGGCCTCAATCGATGCTCGCACCGAAATCTCCCAAAGAGCTGGGACTACAGGTGTGAGCCACCACACTGGATTCTGCATTTCTAATAAACTCCCCAGTGATGCTGAGGCTGCAGGTTCTCAGCCCAGATTTTGAGTAGCAAGATGATAGAATTGCTTGTACTGAACAATTACAGGTGGTGTTCCATATTGTGAAAATTGTGTTGAGCACATGCTGAGGTTGGGATTGGCCAAAATGTTAAAGAAAGCAGTTACTCCTATTGAATTGTCTTTAAGAGATACCTTCAGGGAAGACCCAAAGTAAAGTAGAAAATCCTGTTGGAAACAAGGTGGGCTTGTCAACTGATGTCTGTCTGTCCAAGTGTGCATGGCTGAAAAAATCTAATCCTGCTGTATTAGTCCATTTTCATGCTGCTGATAAAGACATACCCGAGACTGGGAAGAAAAAGAAGTTTAATGGACTCACAGTTCCACATGGCTGGGGAGGCTTCACAATCATGGCAGAAGACAAGGAGAAAGTCATGTCTTACATGGATGGCGGCCGGCAAAGAGAGAGAGAGCTTGTGCAGGGGAACTCCTCTTCATAAAACCGTCAGCTCTCATGAGACTTATTCACTATCAAGAGAACAGCACAGGAAAGACCTGTCTTCCATGATTCAATTACCTCCCACTAGGTCCCTCCCACAACACATGAGAATTGTGGGAGCTACAATTGAAGATGAGATTTGGGTGGGAACACAGCCAAACCATGTCACCTGCCTAGGAATTGGGCATACAGGTAGGGATCCCAGTGTCGGAGGCATTTAACAAGAGGAACTCCATCTTGAATAGGGGCTGTGTAAAATAAGGCTGAGACCTACTGGGCTGCATTCCCAGGAGGTGAAGGCATTTAAGGCATTCTTAGTCAAAGGATGAGATAGGAGGCCAGCACAAAATACAGGTAGTAAAGACCTTGCTGATAAAACAAGATGTGGTAAAGAAGCCAGCCAAAACCCAGCAAAACCAAGATGGTGATGAGAGTGACCTCTGATGGTCCTCACTGCTCATTATATGCTAATTATAATAAATTAGCATGCTAAAGACACTCCCCTCAGCACCATGACAGTTTACAGGTGCCATGGCCACATTAGGAAGTTACCCTATATGGTCTAAAAAGGGGAAGAACCCTCAGTTCTGGGAATTGCTCACCCTTTCCTGGAAAACTCATGAATAATCCACCTCCTTGTTTAGCATATAATCAAGAAATAACCATAAAAATTGGCCACCAGGGGCCCATGCCACTGCTCTGCCTATGGCATAGCCATTTTTTATTTATTTGCTAATAAACTTGCTTTTACTTTATGGATTTGCCTCAAATTCTTTCTTGTGCAAGATCCAAGAATCCTCTCTTGGGGTCTGGATTGGGACCCCTTTCCAGAAACACCAACAATACATGGGGTGGCTGGCCTCGTTAGGAAGGGCATGTCCCCAACATCACACTCAGATCCCCCTCCCGCACCCAACAACTGTCTCCCCGATGTGACTTTGTGTTGTTCTCTCACCCCCACCTCCAGCCCACCCCATCCCTGAACCAAGACTGTCCTTTCATGCTTTGCCTTCAACATCCAATTACAGAATCATTGATCCTGCACTGGCTGTCCTCTATCTCAAGCCATCCATCACTTAGGCATTTGTCAGGGACAGAAGATGGGCCTGGCTGGATGCTGGACCCGCCGATGTTATTGGAAAACTATGCTTGCTGATTTAAAACAAAATTCTGTTTGTGCTTTTTAATTGCATCTAGCCCAAATGTTGCTGAGATGGATTCCCTGGTCTCTTTTAACAAATAAGTAAGCATTAATTGATTAATTCATTCTACAAGTATTTGTGGAGTCTCTGCTAGGTGCTAGGGACTTTACCAGGTGCTGGAAACAGAGCAGGGAATGCAGTGCCTATACCTCTGAAGACTGTCATGTAATGTGACAAGCAGATGATAAACAAACATTTGCACAAAGAAGTATGTAATTGTAATGATGCTAAGTGCTATGAAGGAAGAGGACAGAAGGTCTGACAGAGGGGCAGAGCAAGGCCTGATGAGGGAGACCACAGGATAAAGCAACATTAAGCTTGGCTTATGGGGTGCGGCGGAGGGTGTCAACCTTAAATAACAAGGTTCAGGCTGGGCACAGTGGCTTATGCCTGTAATCCCAGCACTTTGGGAGGCCAAGGCAGGAGGATTGCTTGGGCACAGGAGCTTGAGACCAGCCTGGGCAACATGGTGAGACCCTGTCTCTACAAAAAATAATAATAATAAAAAAATAGCAGGGCATGATGGCATGCATCTGTGGTCCCAGCTACTTGGGAGGATGATGTGGCAGGATCGCTGGAACCCAGGAGACTGAGGCTGCAGTGAGCTATGATTGCACCACTGCACTCCAGCCTGAGTGACAAAGCAAGACCCTGTCTCATTGGAAAAAAAAAAAAAGTTGAAAAAAATATGATTAAGTGTCAAGCTTGAGGATGGCCACCCCAGAAACTGTGACTCCAAACGAATGGAGTTAGCATTTCCAAAGTAGAGAGGTGGTGGTTTCAATGATATAGGCAGAGACTGGGATGTTTCAGCAGGATTACAACATTTTCCACAGAAGACCAGGCACATACACCATAGCGATTTGATCAGTTAAAGGTGGCTAAATGCCAAGGAAGATTACTACTGGGAGGCAGGGCAGTGATCTGAACGGGGGAGGTCCCATCTCTGGCGGCTCTTCGTCTTCTTAATGGTTTACAGGAAAAAAGGAGGCAGGACTTGCAGCTGCATGCCACGTGACTCAGGCTGCAGAGCCACACTCCTTTCAAGGCTCAGGATAATTTAAAGTTGTAACAGCTTTAAGTTTGAATTATTATTATTTTGAGACAGGATCTCACTCTGTCGCCCAGGCTGGAGTGCAGTTGTGCCATCATGGCTCACTGCAGCCTTGACCTCCTGGGCTCAAGCGATCTTCCCACCTCAGCCTCCCACCTAAGCCTCCTGTGTAGCTGAGACCACAGATGGTACATGCCACCACACCTGGCTAATTTAAAAAAATTTTTTTTTTTTTTTGTAGAGATGGGATCTCACTATGTTGCCCAGGCAGGTCTGGAACTGCTGGGCTCAAGTGATGCTCTCACATCAGCTTCCCAGAGCACTGGGATCACAGGCATGAGTCACTATGCCCAGCCCCAAGTTTGAATTATTTAATTTTACAGGGGTTAGTTAGGGAGTTCGAGCCCTACCTTTATTCCTTCAGCCACTGTTGTACACTGTGTCCCTCCAAAATTCATCTGCTGAAGTCCTAACTTCAGTGGGTCTACTTGTGGAATAGGGCTTTTAAAGACAAAATTAAGGTTGAATGGGGTCATAAGGGTGGGTCTTAATCCAATAGAACTAGTATCTTTATAAGAAGAAAAAAACTTGAGAACAGACATTCCTGTGCACAAAGGAAAGGCCATGTGAGGACAGAGCAAGAAGGCGGCTGTCTGCAAGCCAAGGAGAGAGGCCTTAGCAGGAACCAACCCTGCCAACACCTTGATCTTGGACTTCCAGACTCCAGAACTGGGAGAATATAAATTTCTGTTGTTTAAGCCATCCGGTCTGTGCTATTATCTTACGGCAACTAGAACAGACTAATACAGTTCTTCAGAGCCAACAGGACTCTCAGCTTGAGGGGCACCAAGAACACATGTTTGGGACAGACGTGCTCTTGCACAATGGCAATGGCTCCACTAAATATCAGTAGAGGTCACTTATCCCACCAGTTTAGAGGCCACAGTTCTCAACACTGCACTAAATCACTGTACGAACTTATTTTTAAAATTTTTTAATATTTATTTATTTATTTTGAGACAGGGTCTCACTCTGTTCCCCAGGCTGGAGTACAATGGTGAGATTGTGGCTCATTGCAACCTCTGCCTCCCAAGTTCAAATGATTCTCCTGCCTTGGCCTCCAGAGTAGCAGAGATTACAGGCAGCCACCACTATGCCTGGCTAATTGTATGAACTTAGAAAAGTAACTTAAACTTCTTAGAAACCAAGAACTAAAGAAGTTGCAGGCTGAGTGTGGTGGCTCATGCCTGTAATTTCAGCACTTCAAGAGGCCGAGGTGGGTGGGCCACTTGAGGTCTGGAGTTCGAGAGCAGCCTGGCCAACATGGTGAAACCCTGTCTTGACCAAAAATACAAAAAGTAGCTAGGTGTGGTGATGTATGCCTGTAATCCCAGCTATTCGGGAGGCTGAGGCAAAATAATCGCTTGAACCTGGGAGGTGGAGGTTGCAGATAGCCATGATTACATAATCACTGCACTCCAGCCTGGGTGACAAAGTGAGACTATATCTAAAAAAAAAAAAAAAAAAAGGAAGTTGCAAGGATAGGGTCAGAGGTACGGTTGAAAAAAAAATAACAGAGGTCATCTGCACCCTGAAACAGTGGTTCTCATTCTTCCAAGCCCTGTCACCTGGAAGACTTGTTAAACGCACATCACTGGGCCCTACCTCCAGAGTTTCTGATTGAGTAGATCTGAGTTGGGGCCTGAAAATGAGCATTTCTTTTTTTTCAAAAAGAACGTATTTTTTATAGATTCAGGGAGTACATGTGTAGGCTTGTTCACATGCACATATTGCATGGGGGTGGTGTTTGGGCTTCTGGTGAACCCATCATCCGAATAGTGCACACTGTCCTCAGTAAGTAATTTTTCTTCCCTCTCCTCCCTCCCAGTCTCCTCCCCTTTGGAGTCTCCAACATGTGTTATTCCCCCCCTGTATGTCCATGTGTATTCATTATTTAGCTCCCACTTATAAGTGAGAACATACAGTATTTGCTTTTCTGTTTCTGAGTTATTTCACTTAGAATAATGCCCTTCAGCTCCATCCATGTAGCTGCAAATGACAGGATTTCATTCTTTTTTATGGCTGCATAGTATTCCATGGCATATGTGTACCACATTTTCTTTGCAGAACCCACCACCGATGGACATTTAGGTTGATTCCAGGACTTTGCTATTGTGAATAGCACGGTGATAAACATGAGTGCAAGTGTCTTTTTGTGAAAACAGGCATTTCTAACAAGTTTCCAGGTGATGCTGAGGTCACAGGTCCTGGGGCCACACTTTCAGAACCACCATGTGGCCTTGGGTCCATAGTCATTTGAAACTTCCATTAAGATGGCCCCAGGCCCAGAATGGGGGAGGGAAAAATGGAGAGCTTATGCTGCAGAGCAACATGACAGAGACAGCCCTGAGCCATGGAGAATGGAATGACTCAGTTATCCTGGCAAATTCAGATAAGGCTGCACAGGGAGGGCATATACTTGACCTCCTGCAACTGTCCAAGGTTCATTGCCTGATGCACAGCAAGTCAATATACTGAGACACTGAATTGCAGCAGAGAAAGACGTTTGATCGTAAGGCAGACAAACGAGGAAACAGGAGCAAGCCTCAAATCTGTATCCTTGAGGAGTTCTAGCTAGGGATTTCAAAGGGCTTGATGAAGTAATGGGCTGAGGTGTGGGGATTGTTGATAGGTTGGGGAGTGTATGGTGGAGGAGTACATGGACAGGGAGATGAAGAAGCTGTATTCTCATGCAGATTCTGTTCCTCTGTGGGGGTTTTTGAACTGGCTGGCATCAGCCATGCTGCTGGAATTCAGGATCTGAAAAACATCTTAAGCAATCCTTAAAGAAAAGCATTCTGATTATAACATCAGAGATCAATGGAACAATGGGGATGTAAATGGTCAGTATCCAGTACTAGGTGATTTTTGGTTAGCAAGCAGCTACAAAAAAAGTGGGCCAAAGGACAACCTAATTAATGCTTAATTATTATTATATTTCTTTCCAGAACTTGGCATGACTTTCTTGTTAACCCCGAGAAGATGATTTTACTCTCTTTTCTGGGGAGGATGGGGTGAGAGGGCAGTCATCTCAGGACTGTTTACAAGACTGGGGGAACCTGAATCTCCCCCATCCTACTCCATTGTGGGGTCTTCTCAGAAGACTATTTGCTGCTGGGGCAGAGAGGAAGGAGCTGGAGAGAGGGAAGGCAGAGCTGAGGAAGAGAGGTGACCAGGTGGGTGCTACCTGCATTCCCCTCTTGGGCTTGGCCCGGAGTTTATGTTGTGTAGAAAGGACATTGCAGAAGGTTTTATTGTGTTGTCAGAGGCATTTGAATCAGCAACTCCATCTTGAATAGGGGCCGGGTGAAATAAGGCTAAGACTTGCTGGGCTGTATTCCCAGTAAATAAAGGTATTCTAAGATACAAGGTGAGATAGGAGGTTGGCACAAGATACAGATCATAAAGACCTTGCTGCTAAAACAGGCTACAGTAAAGAAGCCGGCTAAAACCCACCAAAACCAAGATGGCAACGAGAGTGACCTCTGGTTGTCCTCACTGCTACACTCCCACCAGCGCCATGACAGTTTACAAATGCCATGGCAACGTCAGGAAGGTACCCCATATGGCCTCAAAAGGGGAGGCATGAATAACAGCATATAATCTTGTTTATGTTTAGCATATAATCAAGAAATAAAAATGGGCATCTGCCTTTGGAATAACTATTCTTTATTCCTTTACTTTCTTAATAAACTTGCTTTCACTCTGCTCTGTGGACTTTCCCTGAATTCTTTCTTGTGCAATATCTAAGAACCATCTCTTGGGGTCTGGATTGGGACCCCTTTCTGGTAACAGTGTGAACCTCAAATGTCTGAGCCAGGTCTCAGTCAATTTAGGAAGTTTATTTTGCCAAAGTGAAGGACATGTGTCCATGACACAACCTCAGGAGGTCCTGATGACATGTGCCCAAGGTGGTCAGGGCACAGCTTGTTTTTACATGTTTTAGAGAGACATGAGCCCTCAATCAATATATATAAGATATACATTGGTTCTATGTGGAAAGGTGGGATAAATCGAAGCTAGGAGGGGGCTTCCAGGTCATAGGGTAGGTTAGAGACAAACGTTTGCATTCTTTTGAGTCTCTGATTAGCCTTTCCAAAGGAGGCAAGCAGATATGCATTTACCTCAGTGAGCAGAGGAATGATTTTGAGTTCTGTCTATCCTTTTTCCACAAGGAAATTCCTTGTGAGGGAGGTATGTAGCTTTAAAAAAAAATTTTAGTAGCTACCTTTATTAGGACTAGAATGGGAAGCAGGTTTGCCCTAAGCAGTTCCTAGCCTTGACTTTTCTTTTCGGCTTAGTGATTTTGGGGTCCCAAGATTTATTTTCCTTTCACCATTGGTAACTAGTCTCCCCCATATACTACTACCACTGGCTCAGTCTGTCTCTGCTGCTTAACAAAATATCTGAGACTGGGTAATTTACAAGGACTAGAAAATTGATTTCTCAGTGATGGTGGAAAAATTTAAATTTTGCCAGAATATGTTTAAGGTGATTTATTCTGAGCCAATGCGAGTGACTGCAGCCTGGGTTACACAACCTCAAGAGGTCCTGAGAAAGTGTGTCTGAGGCTGTTGACACTGAAGATTACAGTTTGGTTTTATAAACTTTAGGCAGACAGCAATTGCAGGTAAAAATCATAAATCTATTGAAGAAAGTATACACTCGTTTAGCCTGAAAAAGCAGGACATCTTGAAGGTGGGTCTTACAAGTCAAAGGTGTGTTTTAGAAATTCTTTTTTTTTAACTTTTCATTTATTTATTATTTATATGTTTTTCATGTAGTTAATAGAGACAGGGTCTCACTATGTTGCCCAGGCTAGTCTCAAACTCCTGGGCTCAAACAATCCCCTGGCCTCAGCCTCCCAAAGTGCTAGGATTGCAGCCAGGAGGCACTGGGGCCTGCCAGGAAATCTTTAGTTGACAATTGGTTGAGAGAGTTAAGCTATTGTCTGAAGTCTTGAAATCAGTAGAAAGGAATGCGTGAGTTAAGATAAGGGGGTTGTGAAGATCAAGGTTCTTATTTTGCAGATGAAGCCTCATAGATAGCAGCCTTCAGATAAATCTCAGGGATGGTAAATGTCAGTTTTCAGACATTAAAGGTTTCAGGCTCTCAGGTAATCTCTCCTAGATCTGGGAGCATCTTGGGAGGGGAGAGACCCAGCTATATTAATGGAGATTCTCTAAAGATGCAAATTTCTCTCACAAAAGATGGCTTTCCACGGCTGTTTCAATCTGTTGGCTCTGTGGAAGCCATTTCAAAATATGTCAAAGAAATATATTTTGGGGTAAAATCTTTAGATTTTTCTTAAAGGTCTGCTGTCATGTTGTGTTTTACTAGAGTCAGGTTGGAAAGTAAGCCACTCACATAGGGTTAATGGAAACCTGTCTGATGAGATTTTATGGTGTGCCAGGCATGATTCCCCAGTCCCCTTACATAGGAATCTGGGCAAGAGAGAAAAGATCAACATTTAGTCCTCATCACAGTTTGGAGGCTGCAGTCCAAGATCAAGATCAAGGTGCTGGCAGGACTGGTGTCTGAGGAGGACCTATTGTCTGTTTTCAAGACAGCACCTTGTGCTGCATCCTCTGGAAACAAATGCTGTGTCCTCACATGGGGAGGGATGCAAGGGCAAAAAGGAATGAACGGCTCCCTTCTACCTCTCTTATAAGATAGTAAATCCCATTTGTGAAGGTGGAGCCCTCATGCTGAATCATCTCCTAAAGGCCCCACCTCTTAATACTATCACACTGGGCTTAGGTTCCAAAGTATGAATTTTGGGGGGACACATACATTCAAACCACAACAACTACCAAAGTGCCAGCTGTGGGGAGAGGTGAACACAGGGATGAGAAGCTGGAGGTGACTCTGGGGTGACAGACAGAGGCTGAGAGAGAGAATAGAGAGAGAGGGGAGAGAAAGAGAGGAGGAGGAGGAGGAGGAGAGAAGTGGGGGAAGGGAGGAAAGGAGAGAGAAAGAGGGAGGAGAAAGAAAGGGGGATGGAAGGAGAGAAGGAGGGAGAGAAGAAGGGAGTGAGGAAAAGAGAGGGAGGGAAGGAGAAAGAGAAGAAGGTAGAGGGAAGGAGGGGGTGGGGAAGAGAGAGAGAAGGAGGGTGGAGGGAGGAAGAGAGGGAATGAGAGGGAGGGTGGAGGGACAGATTGGGAAAGGAAAAGGGAGGGATAGAGAGATGGGGAAAGGAGAGAGAAGGAGGAGGAAAGAGAAAAAGAGAGAGGAAGGGGAGGGAGAGAGAGAAAGAGAGAGGAAGGGGAAGGAAGGGAAAGAGAGAAGGAGGGAGAGAGAAGGGGGTGAGGGAGACAGGGAGAAGAAGGGAGGGAGAGACAGGAAAAGGGAGAATGAGAGGGGGTGAGGGAAGGAGAGAAGGAGAGAAAGAGAGGGAGGAGGAAAAGAGAGAGAGAGGAAAAGGAGGGAAAGAGAGGGAGAAAGAGGGAGGAGGAAAAGAGAGAGAGGGAGAGGAAAAGGAGGGAAAGAGAGGGAGAAAGAGGGAGGAGGAAAAGAGAGAGAGGGAGAGGAAAAGGAGGGGAAGAGAGGGAGAAAGAAAGAGAGAAGGAGGAGGATAGAGATAGAGAGAGGAAGGGGGAGGGGGAAGAGATGAAGAGTGGGGAGAAGGGAGAAAGGGAGGGAGGAGAGAGGGAGGGAGAGAGAGAAAAAGGATCCTCAGCAAGGTGGGGACACAGAGGCTCCTTGGGCACAGTTCTCTGCATAGCCAGTGTCTTAATCCCTTTTGTGCTGCTATAACAATACCACAAGCTAGGTAATTTATAAAAAAATGAAAGTTTATTTGGATCATGGTTCTGGAGGTTGGGAAGTCCAAGACTGAGGGGCTGCACCTGGTGAGGGATTTCTTGCTACATCATAACATGGAGGAAAGCATCCACAGTGAAAGAGAATGCACGTGCAAGATGGAAGGCTACACTGGCTTTTATAACAAATCCCCTCTTGTGATAACAAGCCCACTCCCATGATAACAACATTAACCCATTTATGAAGGCTCTGCCTCTTAACAGTCTCACCTCTTGATACTGTTGTGTTGGGGATTAAGTTCCTAACATACGAACTTTGGAGGACAGGTTCAAACCATAGCAGCCAGAGAGCCAGTAAGGGGAGTGGTGACATTCAAATTAGAGGACAGGGTGTCTGTCCTCCTTCCCATGCCTCCCCTGACAGCAGGCAGCAAGAGCAATGGAGCAGAGAGAATGGTGGGGGACAAGACACATAGTTGCTAGATCCGGAGCTGGAGATGGGAAGCACAGTTCAGGCTTTTGCATAGAATATGAAATTGCAATCCTAAAATGAACAAGACCAAGTCTTATAAACTGAAATGAAGCTCTTTCAGTAACCCAAATAACTTATAGGATCAAGCTGTCACTAAGGGACTGTGGCATATAAAGGGAGTCACCTGAGCACAGTTATTAGGAAATGAAACCTACCTAACCTGCCCCCATCCAACCTCAATTCCCCTAACTATAAAAGAGTGGAGACTTCTTACTGCACTTCCCCCACTCACATTGACCACATTACCTGGGGTCTTGTTTCTGTTGAACCACCCAAGGTGGGGACTCAGCTCCTCTGAAGCAGATGCACGTGCAGGTTGAAAGATTCCCTAGTCCTGCTCACTGCATTGTTAATCCTTTAATATTCTTCCGTCACTGGACAATCCTGGGCTGTCCTGACCATGGAATTCCACTCTTCTAGAATCCGGTCCACTTTTTAAAATCCCTTAACATTAAAATCAGTTATGCAGTCTACCTACTATTAAATGCAAGAACTTGTGTTTTCCTGAGAAAATGAAATTTGCAGTATCCATGGGAACGATTATCATCAAATACTTAAATGGCTTTACAAAAAGAAAATGTCACCAAACATGTACATAGAAGCAAGCACAGTATTAAATTAGCTAACAAGTGGGCTTTGGCTTCAAGTAGATCCAACAAGACATTCACTCAGCAGTAACACTATCTAGATGGCTTTACTAATCAGAAGTTTTATTTCAGTCCTCAACTGTTTTCTGGGCAAGGCCGAAATGATATAAAAGCACATTCACATGAAAGTTTATTCCATAAAGCAATTATTAGGAGCTATCTTGGTGTGCAACCAAATTTATTTCTTGTTTTACACTTGTAAATAAAATTACTGGGGGACAATTATTATGGTGTGGAAAGAACAGTCTCCTTGGGTGGAGACCTGAGCTCTGGTCTTCATTCTGAATTGAGACATGATTGTGGCCAATGTCTACCTAACCCACCCCCATCCAACTTCAATTCCCCTAACTATAAAATAAGGGGAATGGAGCAGGTGGTCTTTAAGGCATCTTTTCATACAACATTCTATAATTTTAAGATGCCAGGTACAAGGTTAAAAATGATAAATAACCTCTTGGAGAATTGGCTTATTCTAGGACCACGCATGAAACATAAAAGTTGAGTCTGGGGCATCTTATAGTATCAGAAAGTAAGTGATAGTGACAGGAGGCAGCCAAATGCCTAGGCAAACAGGGGTGGGTCCCCAGTGAAACCCCAAATTCAAGCCAAAAACAGCCTGAAGGCTGAAATACTGGGCTGCTAGTCCTGGATGAAATCCAAAACCCAGAGTGAAAACTTCTTTTCCTGTTTGCCTGCATCTCCCCTATTCTGAGCCCATAAAAAGCCCTAGGGCTCAGCCACATGGAAGGGACTTTCCTGTCTTTGGGTAGGGGAACCACCACTGTGTCCCCTCTCTGCTGAAAGCTGTTTTCATCACTCAATAAAACTCACTGCCTTGTTCACTCTTCAATTGTCAGCACATCCTCATTTTTCTTGGGCATGGGACAAGCACTCGGGGAGTGGTACACAAACCAGACTAAGCCAGGATGGGCCAAGTAGGGTGGCCATCTCCTGCAGCAGATAGCATGGCCGAGTGAGGCCCAAGCCAGGTGTCACCGGCTGGAAGTCCCCAGCTTGCAAAATTACTGAGAAGAAAATCCTGCATCATAAGGAAGTACTAAAACCAAACAAACACAAAATCCATAATAATGGGGTTTGTCAAAGGAACACAAGAGCTGCTGAAAGAACTCCCAATCAATATCTCAGAACTTAGAAATGTACCTTACCTATTCAATTTCCCCTTCCCTCCAGCTCCTGACAGCCATCATAATTTGGAGATGATTTTGCCCAGTTTTAAAGACACGCACAAAATCATTCATTTTTATGCCTGATAAATCTCTATTTTCCCTGAGGACACGAATGCTACTTGCTCTCATTCCAACCCCCTAAAGCTGAAACAGTGCTTCACTCAGCCAACGTTAAGGGCTTGATGCATTCTGGTTCCAGTCTGGGGAGGTGGGAGGATGGAGAGAAGAATAAAACTCTGAGAAAGGAAGAAAAAAGCTGCAGAGATTGAGATAATGGGCTGGAGTTAGAGATGACCACTGCTACAATTGAGGCATTTATTGGAGGTTGGTTTAGTAGTCAATGTTTTGGTCAGCACCTCCACAATTTTTTTTTTTATTTTTTAAGAGAAAGGGTCTCACTCTGTAACAATCATAGCTCCCTGCAGCTTTGAACTTCTGGATTCAAGTGATCCTCCCACTTTGAAACTGCCATTGCAAAATTATGACTGAGATAATGAAAGAGATGTAACCTAACTGACTCCATTTTGCTTCTAACCTCCAAGCTGTCCTTGTTCATTCTTGAGCGTAAGCTGAACTACCTTTGGGAGGAACTTATAGTTTATAGTTTAAAACAAAGATGATAACAGCCCTTTCCCAAAACAAACCTCCTTCTTGCCTGGGGACTAGACTGCCCTTATAGGACTAAGAAATTAGCCACAAGATTAGAAATTATGGTTTGGGTCTGGGCATGGTGGCTTATGCCTATAATCCCAGCACTGTGGGAGGCCAAGGAAGGTGGATCACTTGAGGTCAGGAGATAGAGACCAGCCTGGCCAACGTGGTGAAACCTTGTCTCTACTAAAAATACACAAATTAACCAGGTGTGGTGGTGTGTGCCTGTAATCTCAGCTACTCAGGCGGCTGAGGCAGGATAATCGCTTTAACCCAGGAGGCGGAGGTTGCAGTGAGCCAAGATCGCACCACTGCACTCCAGCCTGGGTGACACAGAGACTCGGTTTCAAAAAAAATCAAAAAGAAAAAGAAAAGAAATTATGGTTTGGGAGTCATGCAGCTGGAGGCTATGACATTCTGACCCTCCCTGAACTTCTCCTAAGATCGGCACTTGAGATATTGTGCAGACCATGGACTTGATGGATCAGCTGGTACCACCCAGATCAAGAAACTGGTTCATCTGATCTTGTAGCCCCCACCTGGGAACTGACTCAACACTAGAAGACAACTTTGACTCCCTAAGGTTTTATCTCTGACTCAACCAATCAGCACTCCTGGCTCACTGGCTTCCCTCAACCCACATGAGTTGTCCTTAAAAACTCTGATCCTTGAATGCTCATGGAGACTGATTTGAGTAATAATAAATCTCCGGTCTCCGGCACAGCTGTCTACGTATGAATTACTCTTTCTCTATGTTCCCTATCTTGATAAATCAGCTCTGTCTAGGCAGTGGGGCAAGGTGAACCCATTGGGTGGTTACAACCTCAGCCTCCTGAGTAGCTGGGACTCACAGGCATGTACCACCACACTTGGCTAATTTTATTATTTATTTATTTATTTATTTATTTATTTATTTATTGAGACAGAGTCTCACTCTGTCACCCAGGCTGGAGTGCAGTGGTGTGATCTCGGTTCACTGCAAGCTCTGCCTCCTGGGTTCATGCCATTCTCCTGCCTCAGCCTCCCAAGTAGCTGGGACCACAGGTGCCCACCACCACGCCTGGATAATTTTTTGTATTTTTAGTAGAGATGGGGTTTCACCATGTTAGCCAGGATGGTCTTGATCTCCTGGCCTCGTGATCTACTCACCTCAGCCTCCGAAAGTGCTGGGATTACAGGTGTGAGCCACCCTACCTGGCCTATTTTTTATTTTGTAGAGATGGGGTCTTGCTGTGTTGCCCAGGCTGGTTTCAAACTCCTGGCCTCAAGCAATCCTCCCACCTTGGCCTCCCAAAGGGCTGAGATTATGTGCACCTCCACAATTCTATAACAAGGAAACCCCTCTGGAGTCAACCTGAGCTTCAGCTGAGGAAGCCGCTAAGCACTGGGAAGTCTGGGGTCCTGCCCGAAAAATGAGTTTGGGTGCTGAGGGGAGTGTCTGAGCCACCTCCCTTCTCTCCCTTGGCTAGCACAGTCAATCCACTGCCATCCTGGCCTGGGCTCTTCTCTGCCTGCTGCAGGAGTTGGCAGGTGCAGAGGTTGGCCCAGAGTAGCCCAGCCCGTGAACCTCAGGGGATAGGGGCAGCCCCCAACTCCCAAAAGCCAACTGGACTGTCCAGTTGAGAGAACCTGAGCTGCAAGGTCCTGGCATGTCTTGGAGATAAAAATGAAGCAGCATCGTTGTCTGGGGTAATACCTGAGGTTTGTCTTCTCACGCCAAGGAAATCGAGTGCACGGATACAAGAAGTGAGTTTAGGAGCAGAGGTTTATAGGCAAAAGAAAGATAAAGGAGGATGGCTGTGTCTCTTGCGAGAGAGAGAGGCACCTGAATGGGGCTTCCGTCCTGCGGCAGCGTGCACTGGATTTTATAGACAGGCTTGAGGAGGTGATGTCTGATTTACATAGGGCCCACAGATTGGTTGGACCAGGTGTGACGTTTACATAGTGCGGGGAAGCTGGTCGCCCCACCCTAATCTTATTATGCAAATGGAGTCTTTGCCTGGCTGGCTCCATGTTGTCTTCTCCTTACCATACACATGGTTCGGCAAAGAGAAGAGAAGATGAGCGGCCATTTTGAACATGCCTAGTCCCAGGTAGCCTTTTCCTATTGGCACAGCTACCAGCATTCACCGGTGCAAGCTTGTAGCTTGCTTGTCTCTGTCTGCAGCTTGATTTTACAGGCTGTTTTTTGTTAGAAAAGAAAATGATTTGGGGCCTGCTTTTCATTAAAAGGAAAACCTTACCGAGGACTTCTTTGCCTTCACTATCTGCCTAAATAATTTCTTCTTAACTCCTATATCAAAAACATGGTGCCAAGAGCCACGGTGGCCACTGGTCCATGAGAAGAGAGAGGAAGAGGGTGGCATTTCTACACTCTGTTGCCTCTGTGACCTTGTCCTTATAAGTTGAGGGTCACAAGTCAGCCTTCTCTTTGGTTTGGTTCATTGGTCCAGAGGGGACAAAACAGATGTCTGGGACCTTCAGGTTAGTTGCAGAGAAGAGCTCCCAGGCTCTGTCAGTGACACTTTTTGGGGTGCAGCTATCAGGTGGCCCTGCCAGAATCTGCCTGTTCTGAATATACCCCAGTGACTTCTGGCCTCTTCTCTGTCCCGAAGTCCACGGAAGTGGCTGGGACCAGTTGGGGATTTCTAATTCCAGTTTCTGCCTTGGGAATGAAGAGGAATGTTTCCAGCTGAGTTTAAACACATTAATTCCCAAATTGAGTTTGGCTCTCATGCTATTTAAAAACCCTATTTGGTAAGCACTTCACAGAGCAATAGCTCTGAAAGAGAAAGATTACTTTCCATTAGCCTGGCTCAGTAGCATGCATTGTTATTCACAAGGCAGTCAAAGAGAATTTAAGTGGAATGTGGGTTTCAAAGTCCAGGTGAGAGGCAGTCTTCCAGAAGTCTGGGCTCTTCCACTGCTAGGGAAGAGAGGACCTGGTGGATGCTGGCTCACTTTTGTTTTTGCTTTGTTTTCTGAGACAGAGTCTCACTCTGTTGCCCAGGTTGGAGGGCTCCATCATGGTGTACTTCAGCCTCGACCTCCCGGGCTGAAGCTATCCTGCCACCTCAGCCTTCCAAGTAGCTGGTACTACAGGTATGAGCCACCACACCCAGCTACTTTTTATGATTTTTTTCTAGAAACGGAGTTTTGCCATGTTGTCCAGTCTGGTCTCAAACTCCTGAGCTCAAGCCATCTGCCCGTCTCGGCCTCCCAAAGTGTGAGGATTACAGGCATGAGCCGTAGTGCATGGCCACTGGCTCACTTTTGAAAGCACTTTGCAAACCTCTGTCACCCTCAAACAGCCCAGCAAACAGGGAATTGCCAATGCAAAGAAGCCGGGTGCAGGCTGCCTGCCTTGCCTTGGGACCAGAGTGGCCTGGCGGTGGAACATGAGAGGAGAGCAGCTGACCCTGGCCTTTAGGGGCTGGAACCAGGTGAGACTGACCCACCTGAGTCCCACTTGTGCTCCGGTCACAGCAGTAGGAGCCCTCTGTGGGGTGTTCTGCCCCTAGCTAGGGCCAGCTCATCTTCACCCCTCACTTCTTAAAATTCTTAAGATTCCATTTAAGAATTTTGTGGGTCACTCAGCTCTGCCTGAAACAGCCTCACTGTAACTGACCAGCGGGTTCTCCTTGCCTGCTGCCTGGACAGAGCCGATTTATCAAGACAGGGAAAGTGCAATAGAGAAAGAGTTTAATTCACATGGAGCGGGCTGTATGGGAGACCAGGGTTTTCTTATTACTCAAATGTCTCCCTGAAAACTTGGGAATCGAGGTTTTTAAGGATAATTTGGTGAGTAGGGGGTTGGAAAGTGGGGAGTGCTGATTGGTCAGGTTGGAAATGAAATCATAGGGAGTCAAAGTTGTCCTCTTGCACTGAGTCAGTTCCTGGGTAGGGGCCACAAGACCAGATGAGCCAGTTTATCGATCTGGGTGGTGCCTGCTGATCCATCAAGTGCAGGGTCTGCAAAATATCTCCAGCACTGATCTTAGCTTTTACAATAGTGATGTTATCCCCAGGATAGCAATTTGGGGAGGTTCAGAGTCTTGTAACCTCCAGCTGCTTGATTTCCAAACTGTAATTTCTAATCTTGTGGCTAATTTGTTAGTCCTGGAAAGGCAGTCTAGTCCCCAGGCAGGAAGGGGGTTTGTTTTGGGAAAGGGCTGTTATTGTCTTTGTTTCAAAGTTGAACTATAAACTAAATTCCTCCCAAAGTTAGTTCAGCCTACGCCCAGGAATGAACAAGGACAGCTTGGAGGTTAGAAGCAAGATGGAATCAGGTCAGATCTCTTTCCCTGTCATCATTTTCTCAGTTACACTTTTTCCAAAAGCAGTTCCATCATTGCTGCAACTTCTGGAGAAGTACCCTAGCCTGCCCCCTCCCTACTCATCGCTGCATCAAATCTGCCACCATTCAGTTTGGACAGGACCTGAATTTAAATGAAGAATGAGAGGAGTCTTTTGTTCTGCCGCATTTTTTTGCTTTTGGTTTGAGGAGGTAGGGGGTGGTCGGAAGAGGAGACTTAGACATGCTAGTGACAAGTTTTAATATTCCATCTTTTTAAAAATTTGAAATTTTTTTATACTGACATAGAGCAAATAGCACCGTGCCATGTTTCATAATTTATGTGGAGGATCTATCATGTGCTTTTGACAGGTCTAGCATATTTACAGCGGCTACAGGCTTCTCTGTCTAGGAAGATGCCTTCTCTTGACTGCCTCAGTGATGTTGCTTTCTGACCATCTGCCCCACCTTGTCTGCAGCGTCCCAGGCAGTTTGAAGTCATCCGTCCACCTGCTTCTTACCTTAATCTGCTTTCTTTTGCTCCCAGCACCATGTCTATTTGTCGTTTTCTAGGAATAGTGACCTTGACTGGCAGGCAAACTCTTCCCTCTCTTCTTTCCCCTTTTTATTTAACCTTGATTGAGGCTTGAGTCCTGTGCTGGGTCAGGCACTGACATAAAAGTGGATTTCTGTCCTCAGGGCTCACAGCTTACTGGGGCCAACGTGATACATAGCAGCATATGACCACACACAGAAAGTGAACCAAACCCAGGCTGGAGGGAGGATGGGTCAGTGGAGACTTTTTCTATTGTTTTGTTGTTTTGAGACAAGGTCTCACTCTGTTGCCTAGGCTGGAGTGCAGTGGTGACTTTTTGTATGTTTTTTGGTTTTTGAGACAAGGACTGATTCTGTCACCCATGCTGGAGAGCAGTAGTGCATTGCAGTCTTTTGTTTTTTTTTTTGGGACAGAGTCTCGCTCTGTTGCCTAGGCTGCAGTGCAGTGGTGCGATCTCGGCTCACTGCAAGCTCTGCCTCCCAGGTTCACGCCATTCTCCTGCCTCAGTCTCCCGAGTAGCAGGGACTGCAGGCGACCGCCACCACGCCCAGCTAATTTTGTTTTTGTAGTTTTAGAAGAGACGGGGTTTCACCATGTTAGCCAAGATGGTCTCGATCTCCTGACCTCGTGATCCGCCTGCCTTGGCCTCCCAAAGTGCTGAGATTACAGGCATGAGCCACCACGCCTGGCCAGTTGCAGTTTTATCAGTACTGTTCACAGCCAGCTGTGCAAGCTGAGGGCTCTTGGCTTAGTGGTGCTGCCATCCCAAGGGGCGTTCTGGACCTTGACTTTAGACCTCATCTTGACCTTGGAACCTCCAGGTCTGGTTCTTCAATACTGGACAACATGTGAGCTCTCCATTATCATTCGTTTATTTATTTTTAGAGACAAGATCTTGCTCCATTGCCCAGGCTAAAGTGCAGTGGCACAATCATAGCTCTCTGCAGTCCTGAACTCCTGGGCTCAGTAGATCCTCCTGTCTCAGCCCAATGAGTAGCTGGGACTATAGGTGTGTGCCACCATACCTGGCTAATTTTTAAAAACATATTTTATAGAGATGGGGTCTCACAATGTTGCCCAGGCTGATCTCAAACTCCTGGACTCAAGCAGTCCTCCTGCCTTGGCCTCCCAATCTGTTGGAATTACATGTGTGAGCCACCACACCTGGCCTTTTATTTATTATTGTTATTATTACTTTATTTTGAGATGGAGTCTCACTCTGTTGCCCAGACTGGAGTGCAGTAGCACAATCTTGGCTTGCTGCAACCTCCACCTCCTGGGTTCAAGTGATTCTCCCACCTCAGTCTCCCGAGGAGCTGGGACTACAGGCATGTGCCACCACACCTGGGTAATTTTTTTTTTTTTTTTGTATTTTTAGTAGAGACAGCGTTTCACCCTGTTGTCCAGGCTGGTCTTGGACTCCTGACCTCAAGTGATCTACCCCCCTCAGCCTCCTAAAGTGCTGGAATTATAGGTGTGAGTCACTGTGCCCAGCCTGGCCTTTCATTTTTAGATGAAACTTTTTATTTTGGGGAAATGGTAGATTTACATGCATTGGTAAAAAAAAAAAAAAAAAAAAAAAATGGCGATCTTGTGCACTCTTTATCAGTTCCCCCAAAGGTAATACCTTGAAATACTACTACAATGTCATCACCAGGATACTGACATTAAGACAGTCAAGAGCCATCACATTTCCATCACTGCAAGGTTGCCTCCTGTTGTCTTTCTATAGCCGTATCCATGTTGGTCCTGCCCCCTCCCCTTCTTGACCATTGGTAACTATAAATCTGTTCTCCATTTCTGTAATTTTGTCATTTCAAAAACGCTATATAAATGTAATAATGTGGGCTGGGTGAGGTGGCTGACATCTGTAATCCCAGCACTTTGGGAGGCCGAGGTGGGCAGATCACCTGAGGTCAGGAGTTCGAGACCAGCTTGGTCAACATAGTGAAACCCTGTCTCTACCAAAAATACAAAAATTAGCTGGGTGTGGTGGTGCCCACCTGTAGTCCCAGCTACTTGGGAGGCTGAGGCCTGAGAATCACTTAAACCTGGGAAGCAGAGGTTGCAGAGAGCTGAGATTGCACCACTGTACTCAGCCTGGGTGACAGTGTGAGACCCTATCTAAAAAAAAAAAAAAAAGAATATATATATATATACACACACACACAGACACACACATATATATACACACACATATATATACATATATAAAATTGTGTGGTATGTATCATTTTGGGATTGACTTTTTTCACTCATCCATGTTGTTATTGTCTCAATAGTTTATTCCTTATTATTTCTGAGTTGTATTTTGTGGTGTGGATATACCACAGTTGTTTTTTAACCATTCATCCATTCAATCAGAGAGGAGATCAAGAAAGATCAACAAAAAACAACACTATAGATCAACTGGGCCTAACAGGCATTTACATAGTACTCCACCCAACAGCAACAGAATACACATTCTTCCCAAGCACACACGAGATATTTACCAGGATAGATCACCCATGAAGGTACAAAACAAGTCTTAACCAACTGGGTTGTTTCCAGTTTTGGAGTCACACAGAAAGCTGCTATGAATGTTTGTGTATAAGTTTTTTTGTGTGTATGTATAAGTCTCCATACTCCTGAGATAAATACCCAAGTGTGCAATTGCTCAATGGTAGTTGCATGTTTTGTTTCTAAGAACGTACAAACTATTTTTCTGAGTGGCTCTACCATTTTGTATTCCCACCAGTGTTGTATGAGTGACCCAATTTCTCCTTATCCTCATCAGAATTAGGTGTTGTCACTATTTTTTATTTTGATAACTTTTCATATGTGTGGAGAGATATCTTACTGGGATTTAAATTTGTATTTCCCTGGTTGCTAATTATACCAAACAACTTTTCATATGATTATTAGCCATCTCTAAATACTCTTTGATAAAATAGCTGTCCATGTCTTTTACCTATTTCTAATTGGATTGTTTGATGTTTTTGCTGTTGAGAGTTCTTTATATATTTGTGATGCTAGTCCTTTGTCAGCTATGTGGTTTGGAAATATTTGTTTCCAGACTGTAGCATGTCTTTTCAATTTCTTTTTCACAGAACAAAACTTTAAAATTTTGATGAGGTCCAGCTTATCAAAGGTGTGTCTTCTGCACCCTCCCAGGGTGAATGAGTAGGTCTTAAATGATAAATCTACACTAATATTTCTTTTCTTTCTTTCTTTCTTTTTTTTTTTTGAGATGGAGTTTCACTCTTTTTGCCCAGGCTGGAGTGCAATGGCGTGATCTCAGCTCACTGCAACCTCCACCTCCCGGGTTCAAGTGATTCTCTGGCCTCAGCCTCCCAAGTAGCTGGGATTACAGGCATGCGCCACCATGCCTGGCTAATTTTGTAGTTTCAGAAGAGACCACCATGCTGCTCAGGCTTGTCTCGAACTCCTGACCTCAGGCGATCTACCCGCCTTGGCCTCCCGAAGTGCTGGGATTATAGGTGTGAGCCACCGCACCAGACCCACACTAATATTTCAGTCTCCCTAAGTCTCTACATTAAACCAAGAAAGGTTGGAATTTTCCAACTTGCTCACTCTGGGCCACCATCTTGGTCTGTGTTTCAGCCAAGCAACCAAATTGTTAGAGCCCTTTCTAACTCCCCAAGGTGCAACATTAAATGCAGAGCATATCAAGGCTGAATGCTTGACCATGGGCCACCAATTTAGCATGTGACCTGAGTGGCCCATGATCCAGGCAAGTTGACACATAAAATCAATTTTCAGTCTAGCTAAGTGTTTATCTATTTTGTTGATCTTCTTAATAAATAGCTTAATTTATTTGACTTTTGTATCGTGTTTCTCCTCTTTATTTTGTTTATTTCTGCTCTCATCTTTATTTTTTCCTTCTTTCTGCTAACTTTGGGTGTAGTTTTTCTTCGTTTTCTAGTTCTTTGAGGTGTTAAGTTAGGTTCTTGATTTGAGATTTCTTCTTTTTTTAAATGTAGGCATTTACCACTCTAAACTAAACTTACCTCTTAGTACCCCTTTTGCTGCATCCTATAAATTCTGGCAAGTTGTGTTTTTGTTTTAATTGTCTTACAGTATTTTCTAATTTTGTTTGTGGTCTCTTCTTTGACCCATTAGTTGTTCAAGATGCTGTTATTTGATGTCCACATATTTAAAATTTTTTCATTTTCTCTACTACTATTGATTTCTAATTTCATTCCATTGTGGTCAGAAAAGAGTAAATATGATTGCAGTCTTAAATTTGTTAAGACTTATTTTGTCACTTAGCATGTGATCTATTCACGTGTGCTTGAGAAGAATGTGTATTCTGCTGCTTTTGGGTGGAGTGTTATGTATATATCTGTTAGGTCCAGTTGGTTTATAGTGTTCAACTCCTCTGCTTTTTTTACTGATTTTCTATCTGGTTGTTTCATTCATTATCAAAAGTAGGATATTAGAATTTCATATTATTACTGTGTTATTCTCTATTTCTCCCTTTTATTCTGTCAGTTGGCTTCATATATTTGGGTGCCGTGATGTTAGATGCATATAAATTTATAAGTGTTATATATCCTTCCGGTGTATTGAACCTTTTATCATTATATAATAATGTCTCTTTTTTGTCTCTTGTGACTTTTTTTTTAACTTAAAGTCTATTTTGTGATATTGGTATGGCCATCCATACTTTATTTTAGTTACTATTTGCTTGGAATACCTTTTTCCATCCTTTCACTTTCAGCCTATGTGTTTTTAAATCTAAAATGGGTTTCTTGTATACAGCATATGGTTATATCTTGGTTAAAAAAATCATTCAGCCACTCTATGTCTTTTGATTGGAAAGTTTAATACATTTACATTGAAAGTAGTTACTGACAGAAAAGGACTTATTATTGCCATTTTGTTAATTGTTTTGTGTCTGTCTTTTAGCTACTGTGTCCCTTTTTTACTCTCTTTATGACCTCCTTTGTGTTTTATTAATTTTTTTGTATGACATACTTTGATTCTTTCTCATTTTCTTTTGTTTATCTTCTATAGGTATTTTCTTTGCGGTTACTATGAGACTACATAAGATACTTTATATTCATTTGAAGGTGATAACAACTTCACTTCAATCATATAAAAAATTCTGCTCTTTTACATCTCCTCAGCCTCACTTTTTTATTGATGAACAAATTCCATCTTTCTATATTGAATATCCATTAACATAGTTTTATAATTATCTTTATTTTTAAAGCTTTTGTCTTTTAAATTTTATACCAGAGTTAAAAGTGCTTTATGAGGCTGGGTCCCGTGGCTCATGCCTGTAATTCCAGCACTTTGGGAGGCCAGGGCAGGAGGACTACTTGAGGTCAGGAGTTTGATACCAGCCTGGTCGACATGGTGAAACCCTATCTCTACAAAAATACAAAAAAAAAAAAAAATTAGCTGGATGTGGTGGTGGGCGCCTGTAATCCCAGCTGCTCGGGAGGCTGAGGCAGCAGAATCACTTGAACCTGAGAGGCAGAGGTTGCAGTGAGCTGAGATTGCGCCACTGCACCCTAGTATGGGTGACACAGCGAGACTCCATCTCAAAAAAAAAAAGTGCTTTATGCACCATTACAATATCCTATATCCTATATTTGTCTATATATTTACCTTTACCAGTCAGCGTTATATTTGTATATGCTTTGTGTTGTTGTCTATTGTCCTTTTGTTTTAATTTCCAGGACTCCCCTTAGCATTTTTTGTAAGGCAGATCTGGTGGTAACAAAGTCCCTCAGCTTTTGGTTATCTGGGAAATCTTTTTTCTTTTTCATTTTTGACAAGCAATTTTGCCAGATACAGTATTGTTGGTTGACAGTTGTTTTCTTTCAGTACTTTGAATATATCATTCTACTTTCTTCTGGCTTGAAAGGTTTCTCCTGAGAAATCCACTGCTGATTTATGGGAGCTCCCTTCTACATGATAAGTTGCTTTCCTCTTGCTATTTTCAAGATTCTCTCTTTTTCTTTGAATTTGACAGTTTGATCATAATGTGTTTCAGCATGAACTTCTTTGGATTCATCCTAGTTGGAGGCTTTTGAGCTTTTTTTTTTTTTTTTTTTTTTTTTTAGACAGGTTCTTGCTCTGTCACCCAGGCTGGAGTGCAATGGCATGATCTTGCCTCACTGCAACCTCTGCCCCCTTGGGCTCAAGTGACCCTCCCACTTCAACCTTGTGAGTAGCTGGGACAACAGGTGCACACCACCATGCCTGGCTATTTTTTTTTGGTATTTTTGGTAGAGACAGGATCTTGCTGTGTTGCCCAGGCTGGTCTTGAACTCCTGAGCTCAAGTGATCCACTTGCCTCAGCCTTCTAAAGTGTTGGGATTACAGGCAGGAGCCACCATGCCCAGCCTTTTTTGAGCTTCTTGAATTTGATGTTCATTGCCTTCCTCAGATTTGGAAGTTTTTGGCCATTATTTTTTTCAAAAAAGTGCTGTATTAATTTTCCTTCTCATCTCCTTCTGGGATATTTTTGATGCATTTATCGGTTGGCTTGATGGTGTCCCATAAGTCCTTTCAGCTTTGTTCACTCTTCTTCATTCTTTTTTCTTTTTTTCCCCTCTGACTTCATAATTTTAAATGACCTGTCTTTAAGTTCACTGATCGTTTCTTCTGCTTGATGAAGTCTGCTGTTGAGTTTGTCTAGTGACTTTTTCAATTCAGTTATTGTATTCTTCAGACCAGAATTTCTGTTTGGTTCAATTTTATGGTTTCTATCTTTTTCTGATATCCTCATTTTTTTTTTCATGCATTTTCCCTCTGGTTTCATTTCACTGCCTGTCTGTGTTCTACTGTAACACATTGAGCTTCTTAATATGATTATTTTGGATTATCTTTCAGGTAATTCATAGATTCCCCTTAGTTTGGGCTTAATTTCCAGAGTATTTTTTTCTTCTTCAATTGAGCCATGTTTTTCTTTTTCTTTATGTACCTTGTGATTTTATTTATTTATTTATTTATTTATTTATTTATTTATTGAGACTGAGTCTAGCTCTGTCGCCCAGGCTGGAGTGCAATGGCGCGATCTCGGTTCACTGCAAGCTCCGCCTCCCGGGTTCACACCATTCTCTTGCCTCAGCCTCCCGAGTCGCTGGGACTACAGGCACCCGCCACCATGCCCAGCTAATTTTTTGTATTTTTAGTAGAGACGGGGTTTCACCGTGTTAGCCAGGATGGTCTCGAATTTCTGACCTCGTGATCCGCCTGCCTCAGCCTTCCAAAGTGCTGGGATTATAGGCTTGAGCCACCACGCCTGGCCTTATTTATTTTTTGCTAAGTTTTAAGCATTTGAACAAATAGACACCTCACCCAATAATTACAGGCTGCCTTTGTACGCAGGAAGATCTTCATCACTTAGCACTGCTAGAGATTCCGGGTGCTTTTGAAACCTTTTTTGAGGAATGCAACTTCTCTGGGCTTATACATATAACTTCCCAATTAGAGAACTTCTTCAGTTTCTTTTTGGGGAGCTCATACTCTCTTTCTCTGGTGTCTGTCTGTGGTACTGAAGGTTCTCTGGCGTTGCCGCAGGAAACTACTCAACTCTCCTTTGTTCTCAGTGACCCCAGGCATCCAAGGTCGCTAGCTTCCCAGCAGTTCCCTGAGTCAAGTAAGACAGATACCAGTCCCTCGAGTAGCCCTCCAAAAACAGGAACACTGAGTGCCTGTTTCATTCCTCTCTTCCCCACTCAGAGGGAGATGTTATGAACCAGGGTGTTCTCTCTTGGTGCTGGGTTGTGCTGGGTTGGGGGTGGAGTGATCATACAGGAAGTGAAACAGCTATTCTTATCTGATTCAATATGGCTGTTCTTGGTTTCATACTCACCATGGCTACTGCAATATCTTTTCTGGTTTTTAGGGTCCTCATATGTTTATTTTGTTCTATATATTGTTGTTGAGTCTGTTTCTGAAGGGATGAGGACTGTTATCTCTTATTCTACCATTTTGCTGTCTCTCTCCCCCATTATCTTTTTTTGTTTTGTTTTGTTTGTTTGTTTGTTTGTTTGTTTTTGAGACAGAGTCTCGCTCTGTTGCTCAGGCTGGAGTGCAGTGGTGCAATCTTGGCTCACCGCAACCTCCGCCTCCCGGGTTCAAGTGATTCTCCTGCCTAAGCCTCCAGAGTAGCTGGGACTACAGGTGCACACTGCCATGCCCGGCTAATTTTTTTATTTTTAGTAGAGATGGGGTTTTGCCATGTTGGCCAGGCTGGTCTCAAACTCCTGACTTCAGGTGATTCACCTGTCTAGGCCTCCCAGAGTGCTGGGATTACAGACATGGGCCACTGCACCCAGCCCCCCTTATCTTTTAATTATTTTTCTTCTGCAATAAGCCAGAGTTTGTCTCTGTGGCTTGACTTCAGGTTCTTTTTTGGGGCCAATGTATTCCATGCAGGCAACACTACATGGAAAGGCGCACAGATGAGAAGGAGTATGACTTGTCTGGGAACTGTGAATAGTTATTGGATAGCCTGCAATGCTCACATAACCCTGGCCAAAGGAGCCTCTGCTGACTGGTTCTCTGTCTCCATAGAATGTTTCTGGAAGTTGTAAGAACAGACCTGACTCCTGAGCATGGTCTGACATGGTGTGTTATAGACCTTTGCTACTCAAAGTGTGGTCCATCACCTAGGAGCTTGTTAGAAATGCAGAACCTCATGCTCCTCCCTTGATTTAGCATCAGAATCTTCATTTTAACAAGAATCTGGGTGATTCTTCTTGCACTGAAGCCTGGGAAGCATGGATAGAGCTGGCCCTAGGATCTGGATACCTGTAGGAGCTTCTGAGTTGACCAAGCAGTGCATGGGGAGTGAGGTATCATCTGGGACCTGAGCTGGTAACCCATCCACTGCTTAAAATGTTCTATAACATGCTTTGTTTGCATTTTTCTCCAACCTAAACCCTCAGTTAGTTAAACCTCCCCAGAGCTTCCATATTAAATGGTTCTCTTCTTGAGAAAGGTTCAATATTTGCTCATTCAAATTAACTCAGCTCTAGCCTTCTGTCAAAGCATTGTGCCAAATGTAACAGCATCATTACTTTCCTTAATCTAGTTTAAAAATAGACTATAAACATATTCCTTTTTTTTTCTGCACAACCATGTAGGAGAATTTATCTTTCTTTACCTGAAAACTTTTAATTACTTGCATTTGGGATTCCAAGGCTGTCTCAGTAATACAATTAATTTTAATGAGGAGTCTAAGTTTATCATTCAATCCAATTATTCTAAATTAAGTGATCGTGTAGTTCACTTCATTGTCAATTGATTGTGATTACCTATTATCAAGTAAACTCAATATATTTATGATAATTTTATTAATCAGGCAATGCCTGCTGTCCAAAAGCCATGGTTTTTTTATTCTGTGGCTCATATATGGGCACCTTGAAATACCGTGACATACTGTGAAATCAATGCAAACCACAGATGTTTATTAAACTCCTGCATAGGTAGCACTCTACTGGGACTATTAGAATAAAGGAAAATGTTTAGGACAATTGCTGCTCTTAAGAGCCTTATATGTAGCTGAGTTGGGCTGAGTGTGTGGGTGAGTATGATAACTTGTCAGAAGGGTGATGCAAAACAAAAGGTGCTGGTGGGTAGAGAAGGCCCAGCCGAGAAGGCTTCAGGGTGGAAGCAGGACTTGGGTCTCCAGGAGGCTGTGAAGCATAGACCCTATTAGGTGAATGCCTTACAAGTACTGACATTGGGAAGATCTGGGATGCTTATTAGACATATATATCCATGGGCCCCACCCCAGAACTATAGAATCAGGATCTCTGGGGCATGGATCTAGGAATCTGATTTTCAATTAATTAATTAACTTTTTTTGAGTCAGTATCTCATTCTATTGTCCAGGCTGGAGTGTGGTGGTATGATCATAGCTCATTGCAGCCTCAAACTCCTAGGCTCAAGCGATCTTCCCACCTCAGTAGCTCCTGAATAACTGTGACTACAGGCATGCACCACCACACCCATATGGCTGTTAAATTTTTTTTAGAGATGGGGTCTTGCTATGTTGCCCAGGCTAGTCTCAAACTCCTGGTCACAAGCAATTCTCCCACCTTGCCATCCAAAGACACTGGGATTATAGACATGAGCCACTATACCTGGCCAGGAATCTGATGTTTCATAGAAGATTAATCTAAGAAGGTGACTCGTAGGCACAGGAAGTATGATAACCACTGTCATAGTGGTGACGAGAAAGGTGTCTGTATCCAAAGCTTGATGTGACATTCCCAGCCCCCGCTCACTACCTTTATGATCTCAGGCCTGATGAGTCCCATGTTCACACCTATCTGACACCATATGCAATTCAGTTTTGAATTCTGCCTCCCACCAGGGCCCCTGCCTAACTCTAAACTCCCCTCTTCAACCCTCTGTCCACCTCTGTACTCTCCTCCACACTGGAGCCATCGTGATTTCTTCCTCACTCTCACCAACCTGCTGCTTCCTGGTCTGCATAGACCCCTCCTCACCTTCATCCCCACTGCACATAAACTTATCTTTCAAGACTCAGCATACACATCACCTCCTCCGCAAATTGAAACTGCCTTTGCAAAATTATGACTGAGACAGTGAAAGAGATCTAACTTAACTGACTCTATCTTGCCTCTAACCTCCAAGCTGTCCTTGTTCATTCCTGGGCGTAGGCTAAACTAACTTTGGGAGAAACTTAGTTTATAGTTTAAACAAAGGTAATAACAGCCCTTTCCCAAAGCAGACCTCCTTTTTGCCTGGGGACTAGATTACCTTTGTAGGACTAACATTAGCCACAACATTAGAAATTATGGTTTAGGAGTCATGCAGCTGGAGGTTACAAGATTCTGACCCTCCCTAAACCACTTCCTAAGATCAGTGCTTGAGATATTTTGCAGACCCTGCACTTGATGGATCAGCTGGTGCCACCCAGATTGATGAACTGGCTCATCCAATCTTGTTGCCCCCACGCAGGAACTGACTCAGCGCAAGAGTCAGCTTCGACTCCCTATGATTTCATCCCTGATCAATCAGCACCCCTGGCTCACTGGCTTCCCCCACCCATCAAGTTATCCTTAAAAACTCTGCTCCCTGATTTGAGTAATGATAAAACTCTGGTCTCCTGCACAGCCAGGTTTGCATGAATTCCTCTTTCTCTACTGTAATTCCCCTGTCTTGATGAATCGGCTCTATCTAGGCAGCAGGCAAAGTGAACCCTTTGGACAGTTACAGATTCTTCTCTGGGCTTCTAAGGATAGGTTCCAGCCTCCTGCCATGTTCTTGCATAGTGGGGAAGAAGTTCTATTGTTTGGGGAAGCCCAGCCCCTTCTAATTCCTCCTTTGTCAGAGCCCTACCCTTTCCAATGGGAAAGTGCACCCTACTCCTCTCCTCTCCAGCCAAGTGATTCGGGAGGGAACATTCACAGGTATAGTGCTCTGCTCACCTGGCCAGTCAGAGCCAGTCCTGGTATTTTTATACTGAGGCAAGGAGAGAGAGCATAGGCATGTTCCATGAGGGAAAAGATCCCCTGTTGCAGAGACAAATGAGGCAGACACTTGCAGAGAAGCAGAGCTGGAGAGGGAATGAGAGAATCCCAAGGGCATCATTAACATCCTTGGGCTCAGTTCTGCCTGATGCTATCATCACCCCTGCCTTTCCAAGTATGTGAGTCTGTGGCAGGCCAGGTCTCACTAATGCGAGGTCCATCACAACTGTTTCAGCACTGACTCTGTAGTTAAATTAAACATTAAAAACCAAAAAGGCCAGTGCCCTTATATGAAGGCTGAAATGTAACAAAAGCCCATCAAGAGTTTTGCCTAGGCCTTTCCTGGGCCTCAAAGCATGACAAAATAATGAAGGAATTCTTAACAGGACCCATTTAGGATTAAACAAGCTTTATTGGGGGTCTGAAGAAACTCCCCAGGGCCTCCACAAATAAAGTTTATTGGAAGTCTGAAGGAACACCCCAAAACTCTGTGATTTAGCAGGAGACAAGATAAGGGTATTCACCGCAGCACCTACACCCATTTAGATTAAGTAAATTTACTGAGACTCCAGAGGAAGTTCTTTAGGACTCAGACCTTAGTTATAGATGAAAAGAAGTTAATCACAAATCTTTAGATGAATGCACACTTGCACATAGACATATAGCTTAGTATATAAGCTCTGAAAAACCTTGTAATTTTGAGTCGGTCTGGTGATAATTTCCAGGCCTTCTTCCTGTAACTGGTTACAGAAATAAAAAGTCTCTTCCTCCCCAGTTCATCTGCATCTCGTTGTTAGGCCACAAGAAATAGCAGCCCGACCCTCAGTTTGGTTTGGAAGCAAGTCCGTAAATCCCCCTGTTGATTTAAACTAGGTTGAGTGTTTTGGTCACTTATAACAGAAACAAGTTCTCATGATGCTAGTGGACATCACTCTTTTCCTCATCTGTCCTCCCAGCCAGGATGGGAGTTTCTGGAGGTTCAGCCCTGGAGCACACAGGCACTCAATAAATGTTTGTTGAAGGAATGAATAAAATGAGGAACTACACTTGAGTTTGTCTCACGCAGCTTGGACTTGCACTCTTTGAATTAATGGATTGACAGTCAATATAAATATTTGAAGAGATTTATTCTGAGCCAAATATGAGTGACCATGGCCTGTGACACAGCCCTCAGGGGGTCCTGAGAACATGTGCCCAAGCTGGGTGGTCGGGGTGCAGCTTGGTTTTATACATTTTAGGGAGGTATGAGACATCAAATACATTTAAGAAATACATTGGTTTGGTCCAGAAAGGTGGGACAACTCAAAGCGGGGTGTGGGGGAAGGAGTGGGGGCTTCCAGGCTACAGGTAAATTTAAACATTTTCTGGTTGACAATTGGTTGAGTTTATCTCAAGACATGGGATCATAAAAAAGAAATGTTCAGGTTAAGATAAAAGATTGTGGAGACCAAGGTTCTTCTGAAGTCTTATAGTGGCTGCGACCAATGTTTCCTATTCAGACCTTTAAAAGGTGCTAGACTCTTAGTTAATCTCTTTAGGGTTGGGAGGGCCTGGAAAAAAAGATCTAGCTGTGTGAATAGAGATTCTTCACAGATGCAAAATTTCCCCCACAAAGGACAGCTTTGCAGGGCCATTTCAAAATATGGCAAGGAAACATGTTTTGGGGTAAAAATATTTTGATTTTCTTCCTTGTCTTGTCATGTTATGCCAGAGTCAGGTTGGAAAGTAAGTCACAATATATAGGGTTAAACAAGACCCATCTGATGAGAATTCATGATTTACAGGACATGACTCCCCAGACCCTTTAGGAATTTGGGAAATATAAAAATCAGAGTTTAGTCCTCAACTTTCTTCCTGGGCTAGTCTAGCCCCATTGTTTCTGTTAGCTTGCTGCAGCCTCTGACTTAGCCCCCAGCTCGCAGGAGTTCTCAGTGAACTCCACAGTCAAGGCTGAACTATTTATAACAATATATCATCCTGTACTGTTTATGCTTCTAAGCGCTGGGGAAAGGCATGAAAATCAAAATTAAAAGTAATTTAACCACTTGGTGCATGCTCATGGCTTCTCCATGATAGGAGAAGCTTCAAAGCACACTAAGGGCTTGCACACTTTGAGTGATGGGGAGCTCACTACCTCCTAAGGTGGTTCTTTCTATCTTAGGGAGGTTTCTTGCCAATAAACAGCTCATCCTTTTACTGAGCTGAAAACAGCCTCTCATAACTAATTTCTCTACTTTGGTCCTAGTTCTCACTTCTGGCTTCTCCATATTGAAAAGGCAGGACCTTGGTTGGTTTTCTAACCTAAATATTCCCAGGCTGAAACCAGGATTCATGGGAGCTTTCCCAAGTATTCACGAGATCTTCCTAAGGCTGAATATGCTTTTCTTTGTCTACATCTCTCTTAAAATGAAGCCCACTTTTGCCACTGCTCCCATCCCAACTCAAGCCACCACTGTCTCACAGTGGAATATAATTTTGTTATAGCCTTCTTCCCCCAACCCCTGGGGTACTTTCTTTAATACTGTGACCCTTTCCCACAAACACAGCTAGACCTGAGGCCTCCATGATTTCTTTTCTTTTTTTGAGACATAGTTTCAATCTTGTTGCCCAGGCTGGAGTGCAGTGGCGCCATCTTGGCTCACTGCAACCTCTGCCTCCTGGGCTCAAGCGATTCTCCTGCCTCAGCCTCCTGAGTAGCTGGGAATACAGGCACCCGCCACCATGCCTGGCTAAGTTTTTGTATTTTTAGTAGAGATGGGGTTTCACCATGTTGGCCAGGCTGGTCTCAAACTCCTGACTTCAGGTGATCCACCCACCTGGGCTTCCCAAAGTGCTGGGATTACAAGTGTGAGCCACTGTACCCAGTGACCTCCATGATTTCAAGGGAAGATTGTCACAGGGAACAGAATTCATTACATGACTCTGCATGAGGAATAAAATATGCAGACGACAGTAGGACTCTCACCTCCTTCATTCTAGAATCTATGTTTCTGTTAATGCAGCTGTCTCAGGTAGCTTCATTTTTGCCTTCTTTTCTCCACTTATGGAGACCTCATCCTATGTGAAGGAGTAGATGGAGGACAAAAAAGAGACAAAGAAAGAGAAGAGAAGCTTGTGCTATAGAAAAAGGAGAGATGGAAGAGGGGACCTGTCATAGATGCATCTTTTGAAGTGGACACAAAGCAGGCTTTTTGGAGTGTTTCTGGGAGCCCAACACACAGCCCTCTACATGCGATGTTTGTGAATGTTTTCTTCATGTGAGCCTGGATTTTCTAACACATACTGACAGGCTTCTTAGTGGCAGCTTATGGCAATGAATTGGGTAACAGGAATTTGACAGCAAGCAGATAGCCCAGACTGAGACTTAATTTCTAGTGACAGGCTGAGAATCACTGGAGACAACCTTTAGGAGGGGAAATAAATGAGGGACAAAGCCTTTCATCTGCCTTCCAATGAGGTTCCCAGGGATTGGGCCAATTCATCTCACTACAGGTGACCTCCTGGGACTCTTCTTTTCCCCTTATCTCCAAGTCCTGCCCCCTCTCTCTCTTTGTTTTTTTTTTTTTTTTGAGACAGAGTCTCACTCTGTCACCCAGGCTGGAGTGCAGTGGTGTGATCTCAGCTCACTGCAACCTCCACCTTCCAGGTTCAAGCAATTGTCCTGCCTCAGCCTCCCAAGTAGCTGGGAGTACAGGTGCGCACCACCATGACCGACTAATTTTTGCATTTTTATTAGAGATAGGGTTTCACTATGTTGGCCGTGAACTTTTGGCCTCAAGTGATCTGCCCGTCTTGGCTTCCCAAAGTGCTGGGATTACAGGTTTGAGCCACCGTGCCCAGACTCCTCTCTCTTTTTTAAAAGACTTCATCTCCTCATTTCCTCTTTCCCAGGGCCAGGCCACCATCATCTTGTTGTGGGACCTTGTCTTGTGAATGGTATTATCCTGTGACCCCACTATCTAGGGCAGCTAGACAAGAGGCTTCTATTGCCCCAACAGAAAAGAAAAGAAAAAAAGAGGCCAGGTGCAGTGGCTCACACGTGCAATCCCAACACTTTGAGAGGCTGAAGTGGGAGGATCGCTTGAGCCTAGAAGTTCAAGACCAGCCTGGACAACAGGGTGAAACCTTGTCTCTACAAAAGATAAAAAACTTAGCCAGGAGAGGTGGCATGCACCTGTAGTCTCAACTACTTGGGAGGCTGAGGTGGGAGGATTGCTTGAGCACGGGAGGCAGAGGTTGCAATGAGCCAAGGTTATACCACTGCATTCCAGCCTGGCCAACAGCAGGGCCCTGTCTCAACAAAAGAAAAAGAAAAGAGTAAAGACCATGGTTTAGGGCCTGATGTGAGATAGATTTAGAAGAATTCATGAGCTAATTTTCCTCTAGGACAGAAGAAAGAGAAAGAATGAGGGAAGAGATGGGGGTGTGACAATGGGGAGGAGATGGTGGCTTCAGGACAAGAGGACAGGATCAGAGACAACCCTGCCTCTGCAAGGACGTGGGAGCCAATCCCCATTTGAGGGATGCAGTTTTTCAAAGACAGCCCAGACTGGTGCCCTGTGCATTAGGATCCATGATGACCAGCCTGTCACCTGTGGATAGTCAAAAGAACTAGCTACAAGAACCGCTCTTCTCGCTGCCGAACCAGCTCCCTCTGCCCTGTGAGCCTCGAGGTAGAGAGTGGACTCATGGGCATTAGAGAGGTGGTGGGGGGCATATGGAAAGAAAGACTGCTCATTTCAGTTCCAAATCTTCTTTTCAAGGCGTGGTGGCTCATGTCTGTGGTCCCAATGCTTTAGGAGGCCGAGGCGGGAAGATCGCTTGAGCCCAGGAGTTCAAGACCAGCCTGGGCAACACAGCAAGACCCTGCCTCTTAAAAAAAATTAAAAAGTTAGTCGGGTGTGGTGGTGCACACCTGTACTCCCAGTTACTTGGGAGTGAGCCACACTGATCGTGGCACCCTGTCTCTTTAAAAAAAGAAAATCCTCTCCTTAGCCGGGACAGTGGAAACCCAAATTCTTTATTCTCTCTTGCTGGGGGACCACTAGTTGTCTAATTATGGCTATTTACACACAAACACTGGTTTTGTTTCTTGTTCATTCTTTCAGGATCATTTGAGCCTGGGGAGGTTGAGGCTGCAGTGAGCTGTGATTGTGACACTGCGCTCCAGCCTGGGTGACAGAGTGACCCTGTCCCCCACCACCAAAAAAAAAGTGGGATGAGAAATAATGTCATCATCTTGGAAAAATAAAATCTCCTATTCCTCTCTCTATGTTCTGTGAGTCATACTCAGCCCCAGGTTTCAGCTTAAACATCTCTTTCTCAGGAAGGCCAGTGGTCACCTAGACAGGTAACCGTGTTACCTGATATCTATTACTCGGCACACTCAGAACAATTGTTTAACGTCTGTCTTCTCCAGTAGAGCGTCCATACAAGCTAGCACCATTGACTCCCTTTCCCCTCACTGCTTGTGAAAGTCCAGTCATTAGACATCTACATGCGCCATGCTTCATGCTAAGTTCTTCCCTTCTTTCTTTTCTTTTCTTTTTCCTTTCCTCTCCTCTCCTCTTCCTTCCTTCCTTTCCTTCCTTTCCTTCTTTCCTCTCTCTTTCTCTCTCTTTCTTTCTTTCTCTGTCTCTTTCTCTCTCTCTCTCTCTCTTTCTCTCTTTCTTTTTAGAGGCAGGGTCTTGCTCCATCACCGAGGCTGAAGTGCAGTGGTGCAAATCACGGTTCACTGCAACCTTGACCTCCTGGACTCAGTCCATCTTCCTGTCCTCAGCCTCACAAGTACTTGGGACCACAGATGGGCACCACCCCACCCAGGTAGTTTCTAAATTATGTGTAGAGACACGGTTTTCCTATGTTGCCCAGGCTCAAGCGATCCTCCTGTGCTGGCCTTCCAAAATGCTGGGATTAAGGCGTGAGCCACCGCCCAAGGCCCTGTGCTAAATTCCTTGATATATTATGTCTACTGCTTGTAACAACCCTCCAAGGTGTTAATTACTTCCATTATTGTAGACATGAGCAGAAACTGGAAGGTTAAAGAGAATTATCAAAAGCATACCCAGCTAGTAAGTTTTCAGAGCTAGAATTAAACCCAGGTCAACTAGTCATGAAGGCTTCGAACAGTTCCATTCTGTCTTCTTGCCTCTCTGTGTTTTATTGTACCGTTTGTGGGGATTACTACCTGAGGTTGAATATTTTCCTGTATGTTTCCAGATAGTTATATTTCTTTTCATGTGAATTCTTGGCGTTTGTCTTCTCCTTCTCCCCCTCCCCTTCCCCCTCCCCCTCCCCTTCCCCCTCCCCCTCCCTTCCCTTTCCCCTCCCCTTTCCTCTCCCGTCCTCCCTCCCCTCCCCTCTTTTCTTTTCTTTTCTTCTCTCTTTTTTTTCTTTTTTTCTTCTTTTTGAGATGGAGTCTCTATCTGTCACCCAGGCTGGAGTGCAGTGGTGCCATCTCGGCTCACTGCAACCTCTGCCTCCCAGGTTCAAGCGATTCTCCTGCCTCAGCCTCCTGAGTAGCTGGCATTACAGGCATGCACCGCCAGCTCCGGCTAACTTTTGTATTTTAGTAGAGGTGGTGTTTCGCCATGTTGGCCAGGCTGGTCTTGAACTCCTGACCTCAGGTGATCAGCCCACCTTGGCCTCACAAAGTGCTGGGATTACAGGCGTGAGCCCCTGCACCTAGCCTTGGTGTATGTCTTCTATCCATTTACCTTTTTCTTATTTATTGGTAAGAGTTCCACATAGAGTCAATTATTTTCACGGATGTCTTTTAACTTTGGGTTTTTTGCAGTTTTAGACAGTTGAAAGTTTTAGAGTAATGTTTTCATGTGGTCAAATACAAATCTTTCCTTTTGTGATTTCTTTAATCACTTCTCAAAGGTTTTATTATTCTTTTTTTCTTTTGAGAGACAGGGGCTCACTCTGTCACCCAGGTTGAAGTGCAATGGCACAATCATAACTCACTGTAGCCTTGAACTCCTGGGCTCAAATGATTCTTCCACCTTGGTCTCCCAAGTAGCTGGGGCTACAGGTGTGCACCACCATGCCCAGCTAATTTTTGTATTATTATTTTTTTTTGTAGAGATGAGGTCTCACTCTGTTGCTTAGGTTAGTCCTGAAATCCTGGTCTCAAGCGATCTTCCTACCACAGCCTCCCAAAGTGCTGGGATAACAGGTGTGTGCCACTGTGCCTGGTTTCTTTTTCTTTTATGATGATAAAAGTGTTATGTGCTTATTATAGAAAATTCAAAAAATGCAAACAAGTATAAAGATAAAAATACAGTCCCCTATTAACTTTCCACCTACTTTAAGATGACTCAGCAGCATTATATGCCTTTCTTTTTAAAAAATGTATCATATATGAAAGAGTAAGTTGAAATGTATGCATACAGTTAAAGGAATATCAATAAGCCAGGTGTGGCTCAGGCCTGTCATTGCAGCACTTTGGGAGGCCAAGGCAGGAGGATCACTTGAGGCCAGGAGTTCAAGACCAGCCTGGGCAACGTGGCAAGACCTTATCTCTATAAAAAATTTTGAAAATTAGCCAGACGTGGTGATGCATGCCTGTAGTCCCAGCTACTCGGAAGGCTGAAGCTATAGGATCACTTGAGCTCAGGAAATAGAGGCTGCAGTGAGCTATGATCGTGCCACTGCACTCCAGCCTCTAGGTGACATAGCAAGACCTTGTCTCACACACACACACACACACACAGAGATAGAGAAAGATTATCAGTAAAACAAACACCTATGCATTATGAACAATGCTATTAGCTTTCTTATATATATATCTCCTGATGCACGTATATAAAAGTATCCTTCAGGAGTGTGTACCCACCACTCAGCTTAGGAAGTGAAATATTACCAGCTCCTTAGAAAGCCCCAGGTTGCCATGGACTTCCAATATTATCCCCCCATCTCCAGAAACATCCCCTGTTTTCTAGAGGCAACCACAATCCTAAATCTATCTTAATCACTCTCTTGGTTTTCTTCATAGTTTTACTATCTAGCTGTCTACCATTAAACAATATAATGCTTAGTTTAGGCTTTTTTTTTTTTTTTTGAGACAGAGTCTCACTCTGTCGCCCAGGCTGGAGTACAGTGGAATGATATTGGCGCACTGCAACCTCTGCCTCCTGCGTTCAAGCGATTCTTCTGCCTCAGCCTCCCAAGTAGCTGGGGCTACATGTGCGTGCCACCATGCCCAGCTAATTTTTGTATTTTTAGCAGAGACAGGGTTTCACTGTGTTGGCCAGGCTGGTCTCGAACTCCTGACCTCAGGTGATCCTTCTGCCTTGGCCTCCCAAAGTGCTGGGATTACGGGCATTAGGCTATTTTTGAACATTATTTCTGACATTTGCTTCTTTCCCTTGATGTTATTGTGTTTTCAAGGTTGGGTTGTGTAAACTGAGAAGGAAAGGACAGTTCATTCATGTTGTTGTTGTAGAGTGTTGGAGTGTGTGCATATACCATGGGTTATCCATTCTGCTTTTGATGGACATTTGGATTGCTTCCAGCTTTGAGCTATTACGAACAACAATGCTATCAACTTTCTTACACATGTCTCCTGACACACGTATATAAAAGCATCCTAAAGTGGGCATACCTAGGATTGTCACTGCTGGGTTATATGCACATGTTCAGCTTTCTAACACCTCATTCTTTCCCAAAGAGGCTGTAGCAATTTACACTCCCACCATACATTCACTCATTCATTCATCAAACACCTTCCAACCCCAGTAGCATGTCAGGTGCAAATGCCCCAAAAGCCAACATGCCTTTTACCGGGCGCGATGGCTCATGCCTGTAATCCCAGCAAGTAAATAACTGGCAGTAAATAATTCATCATTGGTGCACATTCACTTGGCATTATTCTACTTGAAATTTCTTGCAGGTTGCTTGGTATGAAGTAATAAGTTAATCATAAAAAATGCTAAAATGGTTCTCATTTTTGATGTATTACAGGTATTTTATCAACTGCTGAGAGAATCGGGGTAAAATACTTCCCTGTGATGGTAGAGTTTGTCAATCAATTTCTCCTTATAGAGCTTTTCTTTTTTTTCCGGCTTTCAGTGTTTTGAGGCTATTAGGTACATGAAAGTCTAAAATTGCTACACCTTCTTGATGTATTGAACCTTTTATCATTATGTAATGACCCCTTTATTAAGGCATTTTGCTTCAATCCTGTTTTAAATAATATGAACATGGCTACTTTAGCTTTCCTTTGGTTAGTATTTGGCTGATATATCCCTTTTTTAATCTTTCAATTTTTCTTCTGTGTCCTTATGTGTGTGTGTGTGTGTGTGTGTGTGTGTGTGTGTGTGTGTGTATGTTTTTTTTTTTTTTGAGATGGAGTCTCGCTCTGTTGACCGAGCTGGAGTGCAGTGGCGCGATCTTGATTCACTGCGACCTCCGCCTCCTGGGTTCAAGTGATTCTCCTGCCTCAGCCTCCCACATAACTGGGACTATAGGTGTGCGCCACCACATCCAGCTAATTTTTGTATTTTTAGTGGAGACAGGGTTTCACCATGTTAGTTGGCCAGGATGGTCTCGATCTCTTGACCTTGTGATCCGCCCGCCTTGGCCTGTGTCCTTATGTTTTAAGCATGTTTCCTAAAAACAGTATTGTCTTAGCCAACCTCCAATATCCAGTTCACACCTTGTGTAGCCTTCTCTGACATAGTACGATGGCAGGAGACACACACACACATGCACACATACACACACATATGTATAAATGTATATGTGTGTATATTTTTATAATATATGTATATTTTATATATGTATAAATATATGTGTATATTTATGTATGTATAAATATATGTGTGTGTGTATTTTATTTAGAGTTGGAGTCTTGCTCTGTTGCCTAGGCTGGAGCACAGTGGTGCGATCACAGCTTGCTGTGGTCTTGAAGTCCTGAGCGCAAATGATCCTCTGTCCTCAGCCTCTCTAGTAGCTGAGACTGCAGGCATGTGCTACCACACCCAGTTATTATTATTTTTTAATTTAATTTTTTGTAGAGACAGGCTCTTGCTCTGTTGCCCAGGCTAGTCTTGAACTCCTGGGCTCAAGTGATTCTCCCACCTTGGCCTTTTGAGTATCTGGGACTATAGGTGTGTGCCATCACACTGGCTAATTTATTTATTATTTTTTATATGTAGAGATGGGTCTCACTACATGGACCAGGCCGGTCCCAAATTCTTGGCCTCAAGATATTCCCCCACCTCAGCCTCCTGAGTCATTAGATTACAGGCGTGAGCCACTGTGTCCAGCAGAAGACATGTTGGCTTTTGGGTTCCTTGTGCCTGACATGCTACTGGGGCTGGAAGGTGTTTGATGAATGAATGAGTGAATGTATGGTGCATATTAAGCAGTATAGATAAGTGGAGGATGGAAAAGTATTCCCTTTCTGATAATGGTGTTTCATTGTAACATGAGTTACTTTTTTCCAAAGCAAATTGATATACAGAATTTTCTTTAAAATAAATATATTTTTATTTATCATACCTCCAGCTTCAAAGACACAAAATGAGACACCTGCTTTTCTACGATGGCACCAGTGACAGAATGGGCTTTTGCACTAGTGGGGGCAATGGCAGCCATGCTCTCCTTCCCGCCATGCTCTCCTTCCCACCATGGTAGCCAGCATCTGTTCTTGCAAGTGCCCGGATTCTTTTATCTGTTTGCATCTGAGCCTGGGGGGGCTTAGTGCCTTTGTCAGGCATATTTGAGGCAAGGAGAAGGAACTGGGGCTATCAAGGAGGACTGCTGGCTAGGCGCGGTAGCCCACTCCTATATTCCCAGCACTTGGGGAAGCCAAAGCGGGAGGTTCCCTTGAGCCTAGGAGTTCAAGACCAGCCTGGGCAATATAGTGAGACTCTTTCTCTGTATATTTAAAAAAAAAAAAAAAAAAGATCTTCACAAACCTAATAAGCCCGGCATGATGGCTCAAACCTTGATATGGTTTATGGCTTTGTGTCCCCACTGAAATCTCATCTTAAATTGTAATCCTCACGTGTTGAGGGAGGGACCTGGTAGGAGGTGGTTGGATCACGGGGGTGGTTTCTCCCATGCTGTTCTGATAGTGGGGGAGTTCTCACAAGATCTGATGGTTTTAAAAGTGGCAGTTTCCCCTGCGTGCTCTCTCTCTCCTGCCGCCTTGTGAAGAAGGTGCTTGCTTCCCCTTCACCTTCTGCCACGATTGCAAGTTTCCTGAGGCCTCCCCAGCCATGAGGAACTGTGAGTCCATTAAACCTCTTTTGTTCATAAATTACCCAGTCTCAGGTAGTATCTTATAGCAGTGTGAAAATGGACAAATACATGCCTGTAATCCCAGCACTTAGGGGGACAGAGGCAGAGGCCAGAGGATAGCTTAAGCCCAGGAGTTCAAGACCTGCCTGGGCAATGCAGCAAGATCCCATTCTCCACAAAAAGGAAAAAAAAAAAAGACCCACCCCCTCCCCCCACAAAAAGAAAGGAGAAAGTTTGAAGGGGTCTGCAGCTTGGTGGCAAAGTCATGGGAGTGGGAGGAGCTTACTCATAGCAGCCTTCCCCGTGGGCTCTGAGAATTGAAGAGAGCCAGGAGAAGGAGGACTCAGGCCTCCAGAGCCTGCCAGTTACTCTGGGATACCCTCAGGAGAGTCATTTCCCCTCTCTGGGCCTCTGGGAAATGAGAAGGTGGGACTTGCTGCTTTCCAGGCACTTGGGGTTTCAGGGTGTGGCTCAGCTGATAAGAACAGAGAAAACAGCCATGGTGCCTGTCTGTTCTCGGCTGAATGTTCCTTGTAGCAGGTTAAACAAAGCCCTGTAGAGAGAAGCTTGACCACCGGTCTGGGAAGGGCTTCATTCTGCTCACCCGGTACCTGTGAATCACCTGCTGTGATGGTGTGGCTCAAACTTCCTCCTCTGCCCTGTGGGAGGGTTGAGGACTTTAGTGACCTCTGCTTTTCCCCAGAGTCACTTCCCCTTCCAAAGGGCTCAGGCTTTTCTGTCCCATCCCCCCAAGTAGAGGTCTGCTGCTGACCATCACTAACAGAGAGGAAATATTTCTCTTGTGTGAAAGCACTTTCTATCTTACTTTTTTTTGGAGACAGGGTCTTGCTCTGTTGTCCAGGGTGGTGTGCAGTGGCACAATCATAGCTCACTGTGGCCTTGACCTCCTGAGCTCAACGGATCCTCCCAAGAGGCTGGGATTACAGATGTGAGTCACCATGCCCAGCAAATCTTAAAAATTTTTAATAGAGACCAGATCTTGCTATTCTGCCCAGGCTGGTCTCAAACTCCTGGCCTCAAGTAACCCTCCTGTCTTGGCCTCCCAAAGTGCTGGGATTACAGGTGTGAGTGACCACACCTGGCCCCTCTTACATTTAAAAATTAAGGCTGGGGCCGGGCACAGTGGCTCACGCCTGTAATCCCAGCACTTTGGGAGGCCGAGGTGGGTGGATCACGAGGTCAGGAGATCAAGACCATCCTGGCTAACATGGTGAAACCCCGTCTCTACTAAAAATACGGTCGTGGTGGTGGGCTCCTGTAGTCCCAGCTACTCGGGAGGCTGAGGCAGGAGAATGGCGTGAACCCAGGAGGCAGAGCTTGCAGTGAGCTGAGACCACTCCACTGCACTCCAGCCTGGGCAACAGAGCGAGACTTCGTGTCAAAAAAAAAAAAAAAAAATTAAGGCTGGGTGCAGTGGCTCATGCCTGTAATCCTAGCACTTTGGGGGGCAAAGGCAGGCGCATCACTTGAGATCAGGAGCTCGAGACCAGCCTGGCCAACATGGCAAAACACCATCTCTACTAAAACAATACACACACACACACACACATACACACACACACTCACAATTAGCTGGGAGTTGTGATGTGTGCCTGTAGTCCCAGCTACTTGGGAGGCCGAGGCAGGAGAATCGCTTGAACCCAGAGGTGGAGGTTGCAGTTAGCTGAAATCACACCACTGCACTCCAGCCTGGTTGACAGGCTCAAAAAATAAAATAAAATAAATAAAAAATAAAAATAAAAATTAAGCTACTAGAGCACTTTGAGGGTTAGCCAAGACAAAATGCTATTACTTGACCTCAATTTCCTGTTGACCCCTCAAAGCAGTTTAGCTGCTGAGCTCAGCACATTCCTTAAGTCAAAGACCATCTGGCTTTTCTCACCTCTCTGCCTGGTAGCCTGATGCACATGCCTAGTGCAGAAGGAGGCCCCATGGTGCAGTTGAATCTATAACTTCAGTTTCCCTGAAGGATTGGGGTGGGCGAGAGGGGCCCTCAAGTAGAGAAAAGAATTGCAAAGCCAGCTCAATTGTCCAACTTCAAATTCTTCTTCCTCTTTTCTCTTTTCTTTTCTCCTCTTCTCTTTTTTTTTCTTTTTTTCTTTTCTTTGAGAGGGAGTCTCACTCTGTCACCCAGGCTAGAGTGCAGTGGTGTGATCTTAGCTCACTGCAACCTCTGCCTCCCGGGTTCAAGGATTCTCCTGCTTCAGCTTCCTGAGTAGTTGGGATTACAGGCACCCGCCACCATGCCCGACTAATTTTTGTATTTTTAGTACAGACTGAGTTTCACCATGTTGGCCAGGATGGTCTCGAACTCCTGACCTCAAGTGATCCGCCTGCCTTGGCCTCCCAAAGTGCTGGGATTAGGGAAGGCACCATGCCTGGCTCCTTCCCCTTTACAGTTGCTAAAACATTATAATGAACCCATGGATTGAAGTGGATAGGGCAGATACAGACCAGGGAGTTGAGGAGGGTACCCTTTCTTCAGGGGCCTTCCAAGGTCTCCTTTTTTTCCCCGCTGAGATGCTGGGTGCATGGGAAGAAGCCGGCAGGAAGAGTAAGTTTCGGGTTTTGACCTCCACACGGGGGCTGATGTGAGGAGCTGACCGCTGCACAGGATGGTCTGCATGAGGGATATGGAATGTCAGACCCTCGGGGAGCCCCCAAATCACAGCAGGATTGGCATCATCAATGGTGCTCACCTCCCACTTCCAAAACGCCACACTCCTGGTCTCCCTTCTCAAGTCCTGGCTTACAGCTCCATCTGCAAGAATGGCCTCCGTGTGTTGGAACCGCAGTGCTCAGCTGGGGCTCTCCTGTCCTGTGATTACCTCTCTCCCTGGTGATTACATCTTTTCCCTGGGTTAAGTACCTTCAATAGTCCGAGGACTCCCAAAATGTGTATTTCCAGGCTGGCTCCAGAGGGTTCTGGGTTTCTTATGTGACATCTCCCCTGGAACAGGCATCTAAATCTGATATGTCTCAGTGTTTGCCTAAACCTGCTCCCTCAGTCTCCATAGACAGCACCATTTCCCACCCAGGAGCTCAAGCCAGACCTCTATTCCCTTCCTCTTCCTCACCCCTGACCATCCATCAGAAATCAAAACCAGGCACAGAGGCTCTCCCAGTTACTCAGGAGGCTAAGGCGAGAAGATTACTTGAACCTAGGAGTTCGAGACCAGCCTGGGTGACATAGTGAGACCCTGTCTCTATAAAATTTTTTTTTAAAAATTAGCCAAGTGAGGTGGTGTACACCTGTAGTCCCAGCTACTCAGGAGGCTGAGCCAGGAGGATCGCTTGAGCCCAGGAGTTCTAGGCTGCAGTGAGCTAGGGGGCACCACTGCACTCCAGCCTGGGTGACAGAGCAAGAACCTGTCTCTTAAATAAATAAATTTTAAAAATCAAAGCCAAAGCCCCCCAACTTCTCTCCACCCTCCCCACCACCATCCTCCCTCAGCTGGTGCCCGTGTCCTGTTCCCAGAGGGTGTCCCTGAGCCTTCTCTGTTCCTTGCTACGCACAGGAGCCAAGGTGATTTCAAAGTATAGATTAGAACCTGGGGCTCCCCTGTTTCAAACGCTTCATTGATTTTCCCATTGCAGGTCCATTTGATGACACCGAGTTGTCCCCATTTGGAGCAGGGACGGGTTGTGGAACAAGGTCTGACTCTTGGGTCTAGGTTCTGACAAGGGCCGATGAGGATCTAGTCAATGAATGTGTTCCAGAGTCACAATTTTGACATTTCCAGAGAAAGAACAGTGCAGTTGTAGTGATCGCTTATTTTTTTTTTTTCTGGCAGCTTCTGCTCTTTGCTCCTCTGGACACAGACCCCACTCCCTGGGGTCTCCTGGTCCATCCTGGCTATGATGACAGGCAATGACTGAGGTATGTCCAACAAACTCTCTTAGCTCCTGGCCACACTCACACTGAAGTTTCTGGGCTGAGTAGCCTGCCAAGCTCCATCATTCTGATTCTCTCTCCTTGAAATCTGAAGCAGAAACAGAGACGCGGATTGCTGGGAAGAGGTGTTCGGAGTCATGTCACGGTAGCATCCCAGGGAGAAGGTCTGTGGATTCCTGCTGCTGCAGTTCCCAGAGCTGTTCTGCTTTTGTATTTGCCTGGGATTGTTCTGAGCCTCCTTTAATGGTCTGAGCTTCCCTGGTATCCTTCCAAAGAAGCCCTCCCTTTTTTTTTTTTTTTACGACAGTCTTTCTCTGTCACCCAGGCTGGAGTGCAGTGGTGCAATCTCAGCTCACCACAACTTCCGCCTCCTGGGTTCAAACTATTTTCCTGCCTCAGCCTCTGAGTAGCTGGTATTACAGGCACCCCGATGATGCTTAAAGAAGCCCTATTTTTGCTTTGCTTAGTGGGGATTGAATGCTGCTACTTTCAGGGTGCAAAGAGGCTGCAGAATTGCACAGGGCTGCACTTGGCCCTCAGCACATACCGCAGAGGCACAGAGGGCACAGAGAGGCTAAGCTTGAACGGCATCGCCCCCTCCCCACCGAGGACACACTTCTGCCAGGCACCCTGAATTCCCAGCCTGGTGCATCCTGGGAGGAGGGGGCCAAGAAAAGAGTAGCTCTGTTTCTGTGTCAGTGTCTCACCCAAAAGTTGCAGTTGTTAAGACTACCAGTGTTTTGGTTTTTTAAAACTTTCATTTTAGGTTTACGGGTCCACATGCAGGTTTGTTATGTAGGTAAGCTGTGTGTCATGGAGGTTTAGTGTACAGATTATTTCATCATCCAGGTAGTAAGCATAGTACCTGATAGGTACTTTTTTTTTTTTTTTTTTAAGATGGAGTTTTACTCTTGTTGCCCAGGCTGGAGTGCAGTGGCACAATTTTGGCTCACTGCAATCTCCGCCTCCCGGGTTCAAGCGATTCTCTTGCCTCAGCTTTCCGAGTAGCTGGGATTACAGGTGCCCCCCACCATGCCTGACTAATTTTTTGTGTTTTTAGTAGAGATGGGGTTTCACTTTGTTGACCAGGCTGGTCTCGAACTCCTGACTTCATATGATCCACCTGCCTCAGCCTCCCAAGTGCTGGGATTACAGGCGTGAGCCACCGCGCCCGGCCAATGGGTACATTTTTTATCTTCACCCTCCTCTACCCTTTGCCTGCAAGTAAAACCCAGTGGCTGTTGTCCCCTCCTTTGTGTCCATGTATACTCAATGTTTAGCTCCCACTTACAAGTGAGAACATATGGTATTTAGTCTTCTGTTTCTGTGTTAGTTTGCTTAGGATAATGGCCCCCAGCTCCATCCACGTTGCTGCAAAGGACATGATCTTGTCCTTTTTTATGACTGCATAGTATTCCATTATATATATTTTGGAGATGGAGTCTCACTCTGTCACCCAGGCTTGTATGCAATGGTGTGATCTTGGCTTACTGCAACCTCCACCTCCTGGGTTCAAGCGATTCTCCTTCCTCAGCCTCCCAAGTAGCTGGGATTACAGGTGCCCGCCACCATACGCGGCCAATTTTTGTATTTTTAGTAGAGACCAGGTTTCACTATGTTGGCCAGGCTGGTCTCAAACTCCTGACCTCATGTGATCCACCCACCTCTGCCTCCCAAAGTGCTGGGATTATAGGCATGAGCCACTGCACCCAGCCTCATGGTGTATATGTTAACTACATTTTCTTTTTCTTTTTTTTCTTGCGATAGGGTCTCACTCTGTTGCTCAGGCTGGAGCGCAGTGGTGTGATCACAGCTCACTGCAGCCTTGACCTCCTGGGCTCAAGCGATCCTCCTACCTCATCCTCCTGAGTAGCTGGGACTACATGCCTGCACCACCATGCCTGGTTCATCTTTTAAATTTTGTATAGAGATAGGGGTCTCACCATGTTGCTCAGGCTGGTCTTGAACTCTTGGGCTCAGGCAGTCCTACCACCTTAGCCTCCTAAAGTGCTGGGATTCCAGGCAGGCCTGAGCCACTGCGCCTGGCCCCTGTATCAGATTTTCTTTACCTAGTCTACCGCTGATGAGCATTTAGGTTGTTTCTATGTCTTTGCTTTTGGGAATAGTGCCGCAATGAACACATGTATGCATGAAACTCCTAGAGTTTAAATAACAAAAGCATTAGAAATGACCTCACACAGCCCAAGTCGGGAAGTACGCGGTTATGGAGCTGGATCAACACCTCAAACATGTCAGGTGCTGAATCTGAGTTTCTGTGATTCTCAGATGGATTTTCATGACTGCAAGATGCTGGTTGCAGCTCTGAGCTTCACTTACCAAGTTAGGAAGGAGGGGCGATCACCCAGATGCTGAAAGAAAGAACCATTCTCATCAATGTCCTCCTTTCTATCAGAGAGGAGAAATCTTCCCTAGTAACCGTCTGGCTTATTTCCCCATTGGCTAGAGCTGTAGTCATGTGGCCACCTTTAGCTCCCTGGGCAGCTGGAATGTGGGCAGCCCATTGGGATTGGAAAGCCTGCTTTGGATTGTCAGGATTCATCCCCTGAGGTTGACACAAAGCTGCCCAAGCCAATGATGGTTAGCAGAGGAGGCAGGAGGACTGGCTGTTGCCAGGGCGGTTAACTGTGCCTACCACAGTGGCCACATCAGATTCTCAACTTTGCTGCCAGGGAGTTGACAAATAACTATCACCTTTTTCTAAAATGGAAACCCATCAGATGGATAGGAGCATCAACTCATAGGTGAAGGGAATTATGCAAATGAGCCTTGGAGGGGTGGCTCACACCTGTAATCTCAGCATTTTGGGAGGCCGAAGTGGGAGGATTCCTCAAGGCCAGGAGTTTAAGACCAGCCTGGGCAACATAGCAAGACCCTGTCTCTACAAAAAATTTAGCTGGGCTTGTAGAGACCCTGTCTCTACAACAATTTAGCTGGGCGTGGTGGTGCATACCTGTAGTCCCAGCTACTTGGGAGGCTGAGGTGGGAGGATCACTTGAGCCCAGGAGTTGGAGGCTACAGGGCTATAGCGAGCTATGATCACACCACTGCACTACAGCCTGAGTGACAGAGCGAGACTCTGTCTCAGAAAAAAAAAAAAAGGAAGTGGCAGGGGGTGTATTTTCAAAGCTCCCAGTGTAACTGACCAACCTTTTGTTTTTTTTTTTTTTTTGAGACAGAGTCTCGCTCTTGTCACCCAGGCTGGAGTGCAGTGGTGCGATCTCAACTCACTGCAACCTCCGTCCCCCGGTTCAAGTGATTCTCCTGCCTCAGCCTCCTGAGTAGTTGGGATTACAGGCACACACCACCACGCCCAGCTGATTTTTTTGTAATTTTAGTAGAGACAGGGCTTTGCCATGTTGGCCAGGCTGGTCTCCAACTCCTGACCTCAGGTGATCCACCCACCTCTGCCTCCCAAAGTGTAGGGATTATAGGCATGAGCCACCGTGCCTGGCCTGACCAACCTTTTCTAAGCAGGATGGGCACATGTGTCCACATCCTTTCCATGACTGGTCCAAGGTCAGATGGACTTTTTCAAGCTTCCTGGCTCCCAGTATCTACACCACAGAGAAACAAGAACCCCATCTGTACTGCACAATGATGTGATGTGGCCCAGCTTACACCACCAACGTGGGTTAGAATTTCAAACAGAGAAATGAATAATAAAATCTGTCCTGACTAGCAAAAGCCCTGGGGACGTAGCGGAAGCAAATATAAAACTGCTCTTCATGGACTTGGTCACAGTCCAAAGGGCATGAAATCCCATAGAAAAGACACTCCCCTCCACCTTGGAAGAGAAAATAATAACAGACATTATAACTCATGGGAGGGAGAGTCCCAGCTGTGAATGTATCAGCTTTCCACGAACTCAAAATGAAGGCACAAGCTGGAAAATTCTATTGAACAGGTACATTTAGTATCATTAAAATGGATAAAGAGAGAGAGAGAGAGAAAGGGAAGATGGAAAACACAATGAAACTATATGTATATATTATAAAAAGGCTCAATAGAACTTCTAGGGAAATTATTCACTGGAATTAACCATCATTTTTATTTTTTTCTTTCTGACAGGGTCTTACTCTGTCACCCAGACTGGAGTGCAGTGGTGTGATCATAGCTCACTGCAGCCTCCAATTCCTGGGCTCAAGCGATCCTCCTGCTTCAGCCTTCTGAGTAGTTGAGACCACAGTCGTGCACCACAGACCATCACTTTTTCATAGTGCTCTTTACTTTTGCACTGATGCTCCCATCCATCAGATGCAAACACACGTCAGAGCAAGGCTACTCTTGGGGCCCCTTGTAATGAATGTGACAGGTTTGTAGGATGGGGAGAAGTGGCCTAGACCTGTGTGTGAACAGCAGAATCATTCCCTGTGCAGGAAATCAAATTCTCAACCTTGGCCTAGAGAATTTTGTATTTTGCTTATATGATGGTGCAAACATTATATATATATATATATATATATATATATGTAGAGAGAGAGAGAGAGAGAGAGATGGAGTCTCACCCTGTCACCCAGGCTGGAGTGCAATGGCGTAATCTCGGCTCACTGCAACCTCCACCTCCCGGGTTCAAACGATTCTTCTGCCTCAGCCTCTTGAGTTGCTGGGATTACAGGCACCAGTCACCACGCCCAGCTAATTTTTGTATTTTTAGTAGAGGCGGGGTTTCACCATGTTGGCCAGGCTGGTCTTGAACTCCTGACCTCGAGATCCGCCTGGCTCAGCGTCCCAAAATTCTGGGATTACAGGTGTGAGCCACCGTGTCTGGCTGCAATTTTTAATATTTGACTGTTCCCAGCCTTTGTGAGTTTCCTCCTTTGCCTGTGAAGAGAATATCGTCTTTGATGCATGCAACTTCACAGTCCACAAGGTGACTCAGCCTTCATCAAATGATTTCCTGCAATTTTTAAAAAATGCTGAATTGAAGAATTTTCCTATGATGAGGGAGAGATGAGAAGTAAAGGCAAGGACTTGATGAGAAAGGCCCAAAAGAGCTGCATAAGAAGGAGAGGGAGGAAAAAGCCACCTGGGTACGGAAAGTGCCTGGAGAAGGAGGAGAGAGACTCCTCTGAGTGTGGGGAAGACAAGTCTGTTGGCAACGAGAGGCTCTGCAGAATACAGGAGCACTAGCCAGGAGAGGAAGAAGAGGACACAGTAAGTGTTGCTAAAGTTAGGGTTTGGATCCTCTGACATTTCTCAAGAGATGCTAGCTAAAGATGGAAATTGCTATTTATTTATTTATTTCGAGGAGAGTCGTTTTTTTTAAATTCCACGTGGCTCGCACGATCCTCTGAATGCGATTCTCAATAGCGATGGGTGTCAGGAGGTTTCCAACTCTCTATGTCCAGAGGTCCAGTGATCAACGCACATATACACGTTAACTTGGAAATCCCTTGAACACAGGTGCACACATCTCCTTTCCCTTGGTCTGGGTTAGTGAGGTGCTCCTTAAAGAGTAACAACCCTTTTGATGGGGGAGCACAAGTGGAAGGTAAACCTCAAGTTGACTGCGGCTATGATTTTGGGGGTATTTAAAACATTTTATTGTGAAATTAACATATTGTAAAATTGACACACCCCTGCCCCCGGTATACAGTTCTATGAGGTTTGTTTGTTTGTTTGTTTGTTTCATTTTGAGACACAGTTTCACTCTTGTCGTCCAGACTATAGTGCAATGGTGCAATCCCTACTCATGGCAACTTCCACCTCCTGGGTTCAAATGATTCTCCTGCCTCAGCCTCCTGAGTAGCTGGGATTACAGGCACCCACCACCATGCCCAGCTAATTTTTATATTTTTAGTAGAGACATAGTTTCACCATGTTGGCCAGGCTGGTCTCAAACTCCTGACCTCAAGTTATCTGCCTGCCTCAGTCTCCCAGAGTGCTGGGATTACAGGCATGAGCCACCACGTCTGGCCATATGAATTTTAACACATATGTAGATTGGTGCAACAAGATGCCATCAGGACACAGAGCAGTTCCATCAACCTAGAACATTCCCCTATGCTACCTCCACTCTCCCCTACCCAGTCTTCTGCCACCTCCAATCTAGTCTCCATCACTATAGTTTGTCTTTTCAAGAAAGTCAAATAAATGGAATCCTCCAATATAAATTATTTTTAGCATCTTCAGTGTGTAAGCAAACTTTTATTTTTTATTTATTTTTAATTCTTTTAATGTTTAATTTTTGTGGGTACATACTAAGTGTATATATTTACAGGGTACATGAGATGTTTTGATACAGGCATGCAATGCGTCATAATCACATCATGGAGAATGGGGTATCTGTTCCCTCAAGCATTTATCCTTTGAACTACAAACAATCCAATTATACTCTTTTAGTTATTTTTAAATATAGAGTTATTTATTGACTATAGTCACCCTGTTGTGCTATCAAATAGTAGGTCTTATTATTTTGAGCTATTTTTTTTTGGTACTCATTAACCATACCAACTTCTCTCCACAGCCCCTCCCTACCCTTTCCAGCCTCTGGTAACCATCCTTCTACTCTCTATCCCGGTGAGTTCAATTGTTTTGATTTTTAGATCCCACAAATAAGTGGGATCATACAATGTTTGTCTTCCTGTGCCTGGCTTATTTTATTTAACATAATGATCTCCAGTTCCATCCATGTTGTTGCAAATGACAGGATCTCCTTCTTTTTTATGGTTGAATAGTATTCCATTGTATATGTGTACCATATTTTTTAAATCCAATCATCTGTTGACGGGCACAGGTTTCTCCCAAATCTTGGCAATTGTGAACAGTGCTGCAACAAACACAGGAGTGCAAATATCTCTTCAAGGTACTGATTTCCTTTCTTTTGGGCGTATACCCAGTTCGTGGGATTACTGGATCTAATGGTAGTTCTATTTTTAGTTTTTTGAGGACCCTCCAAAGTTCTCCATAGTGGTAAGTGAACTTTTAAAGACTGGCTTCTGTCACTCAGCCTTTGAGATCTATCTAAGTTTTTGTGCATATTAAGAGTTTATTCCTTTTTTTTTTTTTTTTTTTTGAGATGGAGTCTCGCTCTGTCGCCCAAGCTGGAGCGCAGTGGCACGATCTCAGCTCACTGCAAGCTCTGCCTCCCAGGTTCACGCCATTCTCCTGCCTCAGCCTCCCAAGTAGCTGGGAATACAGGCGCCCGCCACCACGCCCAGCTATTTTTTTGTATTTTTAGTAGAGACAGGGTTTCACCGTGTTAGCCAGGATGGTCTCAATCTCCTGACCTCGTGATCCACCTGCGTCGGCCTCCCAAAGTGCTGGGATTACAGGCGTGAGCCACCGTGCCAGCCAAGAGTTTATTCCTTTTCATTGCTGAGCAGTATTCCATTGTATGGAAGTGCCACATTTTAAAACATCGATTCACCTGTTAATCACTTGTTGAAGGACATTTGGGTCATTTCCAAATTTGAGTGATAATGAATAGAGACTCTGTAAGCATTCATATGCAGTTTCTTTTTTTGGTGACAACATAAGTTTTTATTTCTCTAAGATAAATATCCAGAAGTGGTTTGATTTCTTTATAAGAAATTGCCAGGCCAGCCATGGTGGCTCACGCCTGTGGTCCTAGCACTTTGAGAAGCAGAGGTGGGAGGATCACTTGAAGCCAGGAATTCAAGAGAAGCCTGATCAACAGAGTGAGACCCTGTCTCCACAAAAAAAAGAAAAAAGAAAATTAGCCAGTTGTAGTAGCTCATGCCTGTAGTCCTAGCTACTCAGGAGGCTGAGGTGGGAGGATTGCTTAAGCCCAGGAGGTTGAGGCTGCAGTGAGCTATGATCGCACCACTGCACTCCAGCCTGGGTGACAGACTGAGAAAGAAATTGCCAGACAAATTCCAGACTGGTTGTACCATTTTGCATTCTCAGCAGCAATGCATAATGCTTCTAGTTTCTCTGCATCCTTGTCAGCACTTGGTCTTTTTTCATTATATCCATTCTAGTAGGTGTATCTCATCATGGTTTTAGCTTGTATTTCCCTAATAGTCATAAGGTGAGTATTTTTTCAAGTGCTTATTTGATTTCTCTGTGTCCTCTTTGATGAAAGGTCTGTTCAAAGACCTTTGTCTACTTTTAATTGGGCTGTTAGTTTCTTAGTGTTGAGTCTTGAGGATTTTTTGTATGTTTTGTGTACATGCCATTTGTTGAATATGTGATTTGCAAATATGTTATTCCAGTCTGTAGCTTTTCATTTAATTTTCTTAATAGGTTTGATGATGTCCTGGCCAAGTGTGGTGCCTCATGTTTGTAATCCTAGCACTTTGGGAGGCCAAGGCAGGAGGATTGCTTGAGGCTAGGAGTTGGAGACCAGCCTGGGCAACATGGTGAAATCCTGTCTCTACAAAAAATACAAAAATTAACTGGATGTGGTGGTGAACACTTGTAGTCCCAGCTACAGTAGCCCTGCTGAGGAAGAAGGATGATATGATCTGGGAGGTCGAGGCTGCAGTCAGCCGTGATTGTACCACTGCACTCTAGCCTGGGTGACAGAGTGAGACCCTGTCTGAAAAAAATAAAAATAAGTAATTTTGATAAAGTCCAGTTTATTACTTTTTTTTTTCCATGGATTGTGCTTTTGGTTTCCTGTCTAGAAACTCCTTACCGACTTCAGGTCTTAAAAATTTTCTCTTATGTGTCCTAAAAATTTTACAGTTTTATATTTTATATTTAGAACTGTCATCTATTTTGAGTTAATTTTTTATAAGGTATGAGATTTTGGTTGAGGTTCATTTTGCACATGGATGTCTACTTGTTTAATATCATTTGTTGAAAAAGCTATCCTTCCTCATTGAATTGTTTTTGCATCTTTGTCAAAGGTCAATTGGCATTTTGGTAAAATTTTTGAATATTGAGAAAAAAAGTGTCAACTGGATATTTGTGTGGGTCTATTTCTGAACCCTCTCTTCTATTGATCTATGTGTCTGTAGCTTCACCAATACCACACTGTCTTAATTACTGTAGTGATACAGTAAATCTTAGAATTGGTTAGTGAGATACCTCCAACATCACATTTATTTATTTATTTATTTACTTATTTATTTATTTTGAGATGGAGTCTCGCTCTGTCGCCCAGGCTGCAGTGCAGTGGCGCGATCTCGGCTCACTGCAAGCTCTGCCTCCCGGATTCACACCATTCTCCTGCCTAAGCCTCCCGAGTAGCTGGGACTAGAGGCGCCCGCCGCCACACCTGGCTAATTTTTAAAATATTTTTAGTAGAGACAGGGTTTTACCATGTTAGCCAGGATGGTCTCAATCTCCCGACCTCGTGATCCACCCGCCTCAGCCTCCCAAAGTGCTGAGATTACAGGCGTGAGCTACCGCACCCGGCCCACTTTTATTTTTAAATTTAATTTAATTTAATTTTTTGGGACAGGGTCTTGCTCCATCACCCAGACTAGAGTGCAGTGATGTGATCATCGCTCACTGCAGCCTCAACCTGCCAGGCTCAAGCAATCCTCCCACCTCAGCCTCCCATATAGCTGGGACTGCAAGTATGCATCACCATGCTTGCTAATTTATTTTTATTTTTTGTATAGATGGGTCTCTCAACTATGTTGCCCAGGCTGGTCTTGAACTCCTGGGCCCAAGTGATCCTCCTATCTCAGCCTCCCAAAGTGCTGGGATTGCAAGCATGAGGCACTGCACCTAGCAACTCTTTTTTTTTTTTTTTTTTTTGAAAACAATTTTGGCTATTCTAGATCTTTAACTTTTTAATATACATTTACATATAAATTGATATTATTTTTATTGATTGGAATTGCAGTATATAGATTAATTTGGGAAGAGCTGACCTGTCTATTATGTTGAGTCTTCTAATTCAAGAACATGGTATGTCTTTTCATTTATTTATGTCTTCACTGATTTCTTTCATCAGTATTTTATAGTTTTCAGCAGCAGGTGCTGTATGTGTTTTGTTAGATTTATACCTAAGCATTATATTTTTAGAGTCGTTTTAACTATTAGTTTTAAAATTCTGGTTTCCAAATGCTGATTTCTGATATGGAGAAAGATAATTGATGTTGTGGTTGATTTTGTATCCTGCAACCTTGCTGAACTTACTTACTAGTTTTAGGAGTTATTTTTATGGATCCCTTGAGATTTTCTATGTAGGTAATCATGTTGTCTATGAATAAGGACAGTTTTATTTCTTCTTTTCCAATCTGTATGCCTTCTATATCTTTTTCTTGCATTAGTTTACTGACTTTAATTTCCAGTGTGATCCTGAATAAGAATGGTAGGAGTGAACATCCTTGCGTTGTCCCTAATTTTAAGGGGTAAAATATTGACTTTTTTCCCATTAAATGTGAGGTGAGCTTGTAGGTTTTTTTTTAATAGATAGACTGTATCAGCTTGAGGAATTTTTCCTTCTAGTTAACTGAGAATCATTGTGTTTTTAAGAATCACATATGGATATGAAGTCGAATATTTTTTCTGCATTCATTCATATGGTCACATGCTTTTTCTTCCTTCAACTGTACTTTGACCCATGTTTGGGTGGATACAGATGGAGAGAAGGGAAAATGAAGAGTGGCAAGAAGGAGACAAAGAATTCAGCAGAAGTAGTGAATTGCAGCAAGAAGTAGCTAGAAGAAATGTAAGCTTTCCCCTCCACTAAAGAATTCTGATGTATTGGAAAGATCTTAGACTTCTTGCTATATAAGGGATGAAGCTCAATGTTTTTATTGAAGTTCTAAAAGACAAGGTTGACTTTAGCAGTCTGGAGGACTTAGGGACACCTGAGACAGATGACTTCTAGGGGAAATATGTCCCTCTACTCTTGGTTCGGCCTTTTGTGTGCAAATTAATCAATGCATTTGATGAAGCTTCCAAGTCATCACCCAGGCCAATGCCCAGCATATGACAGGTACTTTATATACACCTGTCAGATGAGTGACTGAGTGAAATGTCATCAACTAGACAGTATGACATTGTGATTAAAAGTATGAGTTAGGAGCTGAATACCTGAGTTGAACTGTGGCTCTTCCTCTGTAGAGGCTACACTTCAGCAAGTTATTGAAGCTCTTTATAGCCTGGGCAACATGGAGAATCCCCATCTTTACAAAAAATACCCAAAATTAGCCAGATGTGGTGGTGTGTGCCTGTGGTCCCAGCTACCAGGGAAGCTGAGGTGGGAGGATCACTTGAGCCCAGGAGGTTGAAGTTGCAGTGAGTCGTGATTGCACCACTGCACTCCAGCCTGGGTAACAGAGCGAGACCCTTTGCAGGGCTTAGTAAAGTGCCTGGCCCATAATGACTACAACGTAAGTCTGACTGTTCTTATTATTATTCACGTTCATTTTCAGGATTGAACACTCTGCCATTACTTTTTCATTACATTTCCATCATTTTCTTCCTTCCTTCCTTTCTATCGCTCTCTTTTAAAGTAAAGCTTAAAATAGTTTCTCCTATGGCCATAGAATTGGAAACAACTGTAGTGGCAATCTAATTCAAGCTTCGTGCTTTCTGTGTGAGGAAAGGGAGGCTCAGAGAAGCCAAGTGGTCCCCTCATCTGGGGCATCTGGGGTTTCGGTCACCTGCAGCACCATTGCAAAGCTGAGCTTGAGCTTGTTCTCCTCTAGCCACAAATCAGTTGCAGTTCAGGACCCTCAAAACAACCCAAATATTTAATATCTGCATTGTTGGAAGTTACAGTGCAGGTGCCCATTCAGGACCAGGAGACTTGTAGCTTGAAACATGGCAGTCACTGCATCAGTGTGCTGGAAAGTGGACAGGCAGATACAGTGCAAGGGCAGAGTCAGCAACAAACACTGTCCACACCTCCTCCTCCAGGAGGAGGCTGTTCTGAGACCTGGAGAAAGGCTTCATTTCCTGGCTAGTCCCCTGATAGGTCACACATTCCCGGAGGCTGCCTTTGTCGCCCCTCATCTTTCCTGGCCCCTGAAGCCATTTAGTTGCTTCTCCAGCAAAGGGCTGAGGCAGCAGCCTTGCAAATCTCCATGACCCACCTTGTCTTGCCCAGAATGCATTTGGTGCACGTGTCCATAAATATTTTAGGCCGTGCTGCTTAGTTATTAATGGAGTGAAATGAAAGATAATTCTTTAGCCTCTCCCCTTCTCTACAGGTTGAAAACGAGAGCCAGAGTTTGAAGGGCTGGAGTGACAGGTGTTTAGGGACTTGGGATGCTGGGGGTGAAGCTGCAGATGAATTTTCTCTGTCCCGTCCTTATTGTGAAAAGAGGGCCCTGGTCCCTTGATTCCAAAGAACCAGAGTTACCCTCTTTTCCCCTGATCCCTGGAAGGTGGGGTACAGATGTTGTCCTGTGACGCCTGTCCCCACTTCGTGCACGGAGCGGACTGCCCAGCATGCACAGATGGAATGGGAACAACTGCAATGACCACCTTCGGAAGAGTGAGCCTGGGAGGCCCCCTGGAGCCCCAACTTGGGGCGGAGGCTGGTGACCTGTCAGCCACTCTCAGACAGTCCCACCCTATGGCCTGAAAGGGTGGTGGCCAGGTAGGTGGTTGACTTTCCTCCCTGCCCCCTCTTCCTTATTCAGTGTTAAAGAGCTAGCATTTGAGGGTGGCCTCGGGTGACAAATTCCCCACTGTTAAAACCCCCTGTGGGTTGGCAGCAGCCAGGAAGAACCGGCTTTTTGTCTGGGAGTAGAGGCAAGGGCGATGGCTTATCTCACTGTTCCTTTTCATTTGGGACATAATACATCCCACAAAGCTCAGGTCCCGCACTGAAAAAATCAATTACATTGCACAGCATTTTTAGTGCTCTGAGTCTCCGAGCAAAGGAAATAGGTGAGACATTGTCGTCATGGTAGCTGGTCGCAAATCGTCTCTTAAAATAGTATCCACGCTCTGTAAGTAGGGGCTTCATGCTTCAAGACTAATAGCGAAGACATACTCTCACCACGCCTCCTCTTGTGTTTACATGGGAGCTGCCGCTCGACCTGGCTCTGGGAGGAGCCTCCTTCCTGAATGGACTGAAGCTCCCAGCTCCAGGCCACAACCTGGGATTTAGGCTCAGGGATTGCTACTCTTGTCTATTCAATTCATTAAAAGATCCTCAGTGATGTGCCGGGCACTGTTCTAAGCACTGGAGATGCAGCCATGAACAAGAGGACAGGCCATTGACCTTCTAGAGCTTACGTTCTAGTGGGGATGGCTAATCATCAATAGGATACAAAGACATAACTTTGGGGAGTGAAGATGAAAGAGGGACCGAGTGTGTGTATGTGTGTATGTGGGTCAGGGGTGTTTTTTATAGAGAGTGCATCAGCAAAGGCCTCTCAGATCTGAGAGATGAGAATGAAGTGGGCATTTGGAGCCCTTGATTACTGGGGGATGCACTTTCTCTACGTAGCACAGTGCCATCACACACCTGGTGTCTCCCTGCCCCTTTCTTCACTATACCCAGGGCAGGGAGACCTACTGATCTGATTGGTAGAGTTCGGGAGAATACACAAGATACCTTCAACTCTCCCCCTTGGGAGCAAGGTGCTCATGGGGTGCAGGACTTCTCCTCTGCTCTGAGTCTCATCTTGGTGAGACTGGCCTGTGCTGTGTGGTTGGGCTCAGGTCTGGCTGGAGAGGTTCCACTGGTTCTGGGGTACAAGATTCAGGCTACTCAGTGTTTACATCTAGCTCCACACTCCAACCTGGCCTTCATGACTCATGAAAGGGAGTAATAAGTGTCTTTTGCCATTTTGGTGGGTCTTGTTTCTCAAATTGGGAAGATAAGGGCTTTTATTGGAGCCCTTCCAAGACTCCAGCTTTGGAGAAGGAAGCTCCACATGAATCGGAGAACGTGCAATGGTTCTGAGGTAGGAGGGAACTTGGCCCATTTGAAGATGAGAAAGAGGCCAAGTCTGGCCAGGACAGAGTGGTCAACTAGGAAAGTGTTAAGGAAGAAGAGAGAGGTGGGGCAGATGGATGGTCTCAGAGGTCTTGGGGTGGAGTTTTGTTTTAAGCCCATTTGGGAGGATTTTAAGCACAAGGGTGGCATAGTCTGGTTTCTTTTTTTTTTTTTTTTTTTGAGCTGGAGTGCAGTGACCTGATCTTGGTCCACTGCAACCTCCGCCTCCCAAGTTCGAACGATTCTCCTGACTCAGCCTCCTGAGTAGCTGAGACTACAGGTGCCCGCCACCATGCCTGGCTAATTTTTGTATTTTTAGTAGAGACAGGGTTTCACCACCTTGGCCGGGCTGGTCTCGAACTCCTGACTTCAGGTGACTGCCCACCTCGGCCTCCCAAAGGGCTGGGATTACAGGTGTGAGCCACCATGCCCAGCCTGATTTCTATTAAACAGAACAAAGCGGAAGGCGAGGAGACCAGTTAGGACAAGGCAGCAGTTTTCTAGGTATGATACAATGGCAGCTTGGAGAAGGTCTTAGTGAAGATGGAGAGAGAGGTTGCTGTATTCTGGAAGTAGACCCAAGAGGACTTGTTGAAAGGTTGGAAGCATTTGGGGAAAGAGGATTACAGAGAAAACCTAGGAAGTCAAAGTGGGCCAGCTGTGCTGACTCACATCTCAGACTCAGTGCGGCTGGGGTGGCTGATCCAATGGCCAATGGAGAGGCACAAGGCTTGATGGGGAGCCCATGTACCAGGAGGACACAGGGTAAAGAGCCAGGAGGGAACCTGGCCAGCCCTAGTGTCTTAGTCTATTTTCTGTTGCTTATATTAGGTTGGTGCAAAAGTAATTAAAAGTAATGGCAAAAACCACAATCACTTTTGCATCAACAAATAACAGAATATATATTTTTCTGAGATGGAGTTTTGTTTTTCCCACCTAGGCTGGAGTGCAATGGCGCGACCTCGGTTCACTGCAAACTCTGCCTCCCAGTTTTAAGTGATTCTCCCACCTCAGCCTCCTGAGTAGCTGGGATTACAGGTATGCACCACCATGCCCAGCTAATTTCATATTTTTAGTAGAGACAGGGTTTCACCAAGCTGGCCAGGCTGGTCTCGAACTCTTGACCTCAGGTGATCCACCCACCTCGGCCTCCCAAAGTGCTGGGATTACAGGCGTGAGCCACTGTGCCCAGCTTAATAACAGAATACTTGAAACTGGGTAATTTTCAAAGAAAATGAATTTCTTATAGTCCTGAAGGCTGAGAAGTCAAAGTTCAAGGGGTACATCTGGTGAAGGCCTTCTTACTAGTGGGGACTCTCTGAACAGAGTCCCCAGGCAGTACAGGGCATCACACGATGACATAGTTCGGATATTTATCCCTGCCCAAATCTCACATTAAATTGTAATCCCCAATATTGGAGGTTGGGCCCGGTGGGAGGTGACTGAATCATGGGGGCAGATACCTCATGAATGGCTTGGGCCATCCCCTTGGTGATAAGTGAGCTCTCGCTCTGAGTTCACACAAGAACTGGTCATTTAAAAGCGTGTGTCATCTCCCCCTGCTCTCTCTCTCTCTTTCTTGCTCAGGCTCTGGCCATGAGATGTGCCTGCTCCCTCTTTGCCTTCCACCATGATTGGAAGCTTCTGGAGGCCTCCCTAGAAGCTGAGTAGATGTCAGCACCCGCTTCCTGTAGAGCCTGCAGAGCTGTGAGCCAATTAAACCACTTTTCTTGATAAATTACCCAGTCTCAGCTATTTCTTTTTTTCTTTTTGTTTTTTGGTTTTTTTTTGAGATGGAGTCTCGCTCTGTTGCCCAGGCTGGAGTGCAGTGGCGCAACTTGGGCTCACTGCAAGCTCCACCTCCTGGGTTCCCGCCATTCTCCTGCCTCAGCCTCCCTAGTAGCTGGGACTACAGGCGCCTGCCACCACACCCGACTAATTTTTTGTATTTTTAGTAGAGACGGAGTTTCACTGTTAGCCAGGATGATCTCGATCTCCTGACCTCGTGATCCACCAGCCTCGGCCTCCCAAAGTGCTGGGATTACAGGCATGAGCCACCTCGCCTGGCCTCAGCTATTTCTTGAGAGCAATGCAAGACTGGCCTAATACACATGGAAAGGGGGCTGATTGTGCTGACTCAGTTCTCTCTTCTTCTTCTTATAAAGCAAACAGTACCACTCCCATGATAGCCAATTCATCCATTAGCCCACTATTCCTTTAATTCATTAATCCATTCATGGATTAATCCATTTGTGCAGGCAGAGCTGTCATGATCTGATCACCTCTTAAAGGCCCCACCTCTCAATACTGCCACATTGGGGAATGAATTTCAATATGAGTTTTGGAGGGACAAATATTCAAGCCATAACACCTAGGAGGAGGGCAAGGTACAAGTCTTCCTTCACACAAAGCCATGCTTATTTGTTAAATGAGCAGACCCTCACACCTTATCCCATTAATGATGTTATGGTCCTTTGGGTCTACCAAGCTAGAACCCTCAGAATAATGATCAATGCCATTGTTCCCCTGACCTCCTCTCTCCAACACTTTGGCAGTCACTACTCTACTGACTCCACCCCTACCCCACCGCAAATGTCTTTGCCTTTTTCTTCTCTCATGCCTAGCATAAACTTTCTTTTTTATTATTTATTTACTTATTTGAGACGCAGTTGCACTCTTGTCACCCAGGCTGGAGTGCAATGGCGTGATCTCGGCACACTGCAACCTCCGCCTCCCAGGTTCAAGCGACTCTCCTGCCTCAGCCTCCCGAGTGCTGGGATTACAGGTGTGTGCCACCATGCCTGGCTAATTTTTGTATTTTTAGTAGAGACAGGGTTTTGCCACATCGGCCAGGCTGGTCTCGAACTCCTGCCCTCAGGTGATCCGCCCACCTTGGCCTCCCAAAGTGATGGGATTAGAGGTGTGAGCCACCATGCCCGATCACCTAGCATAAACTTTCATCTCCTCCCAGGAGTTGTTCTTTTTTATTTCTATTTTTTGAGACAGAGTCTTGCTCTGTCACCTAGGCGGAAGTGCAGTGGTGCGATTATAGCTCACTGCAGCCTCTGGGACTCAAGCAATCCTCCCATCTCAGCCTCCTGAGTAGTTAGAACTACAGATGCACACCAACACACCTTGCTAATTTAATTTTTTTTTTTGTTTTGAGACAGGGTCTCACCACATTGTTCAAGCTGGTTTTGAACTCCTGGCTTCAAGCAATCCTGCCTCAGCCTCCCAAGTAGCTGGAACTACAGGCAGACATCACCACATCCAGCTTATTTTTAATTTTTTTTGCAGAGATGGGATCTTGCTATGTTGCCCAGGCTGGTCTTAAACTCCTGGCCTTGAGTGATCCTCCTGCCTTGGCCTCCCAAAGCTCTGGGATTACAGGTGTGAGCCACTGCACCTGGTCCTCCTTGGAGTCTTACACCAGCTTTGCTTTCCTCACTGAATGCTCCTTTCCGTTCTCTCCTCTTTACTTCTCATTTCGTCTTTCAAATTGTCAGAACAGCCTCTCTAAGAAATACAGGCGGAATCGCAGTTCTCCGCCCAGAAAATCACTCAGTGCTGAGTTTTATAAATAATAATAAAAACTTCTTAGCATGACATTCAGGGACCTCTATAATCCTTTCATGCTCTTCCAGTTACTATGGCTGCAAAACCAGCCACCCCAAAACTTAGTGGCTTAAAACAGTGGCATTTGTGATGCATCTAGATTGTGTGGGTGAGGAGTTCAGAAACAGCTTGGCAGAGTCATCCTTGCTTGGGGTCTTTCCTTTTGCCCTTAGAGGTCAGCTGCATGCAGCTTGATGATTTTGGAGTCATCTGGACACTTGACGGTGGCTGAAAGATCTGGTTTCAAGGTGGCCCACTCACATGGCTGGGGAGCTGGTGCTGACTGTTGCCTGACGGGATCTCAGTTTCTCTCCACAGAGCTGCTTGAGCATCCTCATGGTATGGTAGTGAGCTTCCCCCAGAATAAATGATCCAAAAGGCTAAGTAGAAGCTGTAATGTCTTTCATTATTTAGCCTTGGTAGTCTCACCTTGTTAGAGTAGACAGAGAGCTAGACATGAGCAAGAGTGGGGATATTACTGGGTATATACCCAAAAGAGTATTAATTGTTCTATTATAAAGGCACATGCAGGCATATGTTCACTGCAGCACTATTCACAATAGCAAAGACATGAAATCAACCTAAATGCCCATCAGTGATAGACTGGATAAAGAAACTGTGGTTCATATACACCATGGAATACTATACAGCCATTAAAAAAGAGCGAGATCATATTCTTTGCAGGGACATAGATGGAGCTGGAGGCCATTATCTTAAGTCAATTAACACAGGAACAGAAAACCAAATACCGCATGTTTTCATTTAAAAGTGGAAGCTAAATGATGAGAACACATGTACACAAAGAGGGGAACAATAGACACTGGGGCCTGTGGGAGGGTGGAGGGTGGGAGAAGGAAGAGGATCAGGAAACATAGCTAATGGATACTAGGCTTAATACCTGGGTGATGAAATAAGCTGTACAACAAGCCCCCATGACACAAGTTTACTTATAACAAACCTGCACCTGTACCCCCTGAACGTAAAATAAAAGTTAAATTTAGAAAAAAAAAGAAGAAGGCAAGGCACAGTGGTTCACACCTATAATCCCAGCACTTTGGGAGGCCGAGGTGGGTGGATCATTTGAGGTCAGGAGTTCGAGACCAGCCTGGCCAATACAGTGAAACCCCATCTCTATTAAAAATATAAGAATTAGCCGGGCGTAGTGGCGGGCACCTGTAATCCCAGCTACTCAGGAGGCTGAGGCAGGAGAATCTCTTGAACCCGGGAGGCGGAGGTTGCAGCGAGCCGGGATCGCACCATTAGACTCCAGCCTGGGTGACAGAGTGAGACTCCATCTCAAAAAAAAAAAAAAAAGAAAAATTTTAGGGGTAAAAAAAGAGAGGTCTGGAAAGTCTTATACCCCAGGGACCACCCAAAACCTGAATGCTCCATATAAAGAGAGGGGAAGAAAAATAACTAAGCAAAAAGAATTTCTTCTCAAGATGCCCAATAATCACTCACTCTACAGTTACCCCGTCAAAACATAGCTACCTACTAATAAAGAAGACATGGAAAAATTCTTAAAATATACACAGGAATAATAAGTAGAGATTTAATCACTATACGACCTTCCTGGGGTGACAATAATAAACAGCACAGTGGCTCATGCCTGTAATCCTAGCACTTTGGGAGGCCGAGGCAGGAGAATCACTTGAGCGTAGGGGTTTGAGACCAGCCTGGGTAAAATAGAAAGACGCCCCATCTCTACAAAAAATACAAAAATTAGCCAAGCATCATGGCACACGCCTGTAATCTCAGCTACTCCAGAGGCTGAAGTGGGAGCATCACTTGAGCCCAGGAAGTCAAGGATGCAGAGAGTCATAATTGTGCCACTGCACTCCAGGCTGGGCAACAGAACAAGACCCTATCTCAAAAAGAAAAAAAAAACAAAACCAAACTCCCAAATAAATTATGCAGCCATTAGGTAGGATTTGTATCCAGCACTACTAATCAGGAAGGGTCCTACAAACCTAGAGCGGGAATTAGGCAGAGACCTAAGGGAGGAGCCAAAAAACTAGACAAAGAAAAAAGGCAGAGACTTAAGACAGAGGCAGGAACTTCAAAAAAGAGTCGGACATCATCAAAACCCAACACAGAGGCCAGGCGCGGTGGCTCACGCCTGTAATCCCAGCACTTTGGGAGGCCAAGGGGGCAGATCACCTGAGGTCAAGAATTCGAGACCAAGTTGGCCAACATGGTGAAACCCCATCTCTACTAAAAATACAAAAATTAGCTGGGCGTGGTGGCGGGCACCTGTAATCCCAGCTACTCAGGAGGCTGAGGCAGGAGAATCGCTTGAACCCAGGAGGTGGAGGTTGCCGTGAGCTAAGATCACACCACTGCACTCCAGCTTTGGGGGTGACAAGAGTGAAATTCCGTCTCAAAAACAACAAACCCAACACAGAACTCCCAAGCTGCTGCTGGCTCACTGCCATCTGTAGCCTGCTCTGCCTCATCTCTGCAGCGTACTTCCCTTTAAACAACTCTCTGCTCCTTATTTCCCTTCAATAAATTCTGTTTTTTGGCTAAATTAGTGGTTTTGTCCAAAATCTTTCTCCCAAGATGACAAAGATCTGAGAATTCCTATAATTCCCGGTACTGGCATCACCACTTCTGCCATATTCCACTGGCCAAAGCAGTTCCAAAGGTCTGCCTAGGTTCAAGGAGAGGGAATGCAGACTCCCGCCTCTTGATGGAGAAGTCAATATCATATCCTGAGAAGAGCAAAGAGGTTGGGATATATACTAGTGCAGCCATTTCTGCAAAATGTGCTGGGTCACGCAGCCCCATCTTCCACATTTCTCCAGGCACCCAGGCTTCACATACTGGCCACACGCTTTCACAACCTTGTTTCTTTCCTTCACTGTCCCATTGAACAGAAATGCCCTCACCCACTTCATCATCCTTCAAGGGCAGCTCAGATAACACTTCCTGGATGAAGTTTCCCTGATCCTTTGGGGCAAAATGAATTATTCTCCCTGTGCACTCCCTCTGCACCCTGATTGGACCTCTAGTTAGCATGTTTTCCTCTCTGCTATATTATTACTATTATTATTTTGAGACAGAATCTCACTCTGTTGCACAGGCTGGAGTGCAGTGGCATGATCTCAGCTCACTGCACTGCAATGTCTGCTTCCCAGGTTCAAGCAATTCTCGTGCCTCAATCTCCTGAGTAGCTGGGACTACAGGTGCAGGCCACCACACCAGGCTACTTTTTGTATTTTTAGTAGAGATGGGGTTTTCCCATGTTGGCCAGGCTGGTCTCGAACTCCTGACCTCAAATGATCTGTCCACCTCAGCCTCCCAAAGTGTTGGGATTACAGGCATGAGCCAGCGCACCCAGCCTCTGCTATATTATTTAAGTCCATCTCCCCATCCCCACCAAGAGACTGTTAAATTCATCTTCCAACCTCCATTGCCTAGTGCATGGTCTAGCCCAGGGGAAGTTCTGAATAATTATGTTTGCCAAGTTACGTGTACACCTGAGAGATGGCCCAGGGGAGAGAGCCAGTCATGGCAGGGCAGCCACACCATGATTCTGTGTGGAGCATCAGCTTCTAGACCCATCAGGCTTGTTCTGAGTTTAAGTCAGGGACCTTCTGTTGAGGAGATCCTGCATATTGATGTCAAAGCTGGTTCTGGTGTCCCAGATCCCAAGATTAAGGTAGATATGCAGAACCATGTCTGTGAAGCAGAATTGCCCCTGACTGACTCTGGAGTGAGGAAGTCGTGGAGAAAAACATGCTTAGTTACAGTTACACTCGCTCAGCCTTGACTACAGCCTGACACTGCAGATTCACGGTCTCAACTTTAACATATCCAAAATATTCTGTTTCTCCCACCCAGTCTCACCATGGCCCAGCCTCTGCCTCCCCCAGTCTTCCCATTTCAAGACACAGCCCTCTTTGCTCAGGCTGAAAACCTCTCATGACCATTCCTCGACTCCTTTCCTGTGTTCACACCCCACACACCAGCCATCCTCAAGTCCCAGCAGCACCACCTTTGAATAAACCCTGAATCTGACCACTTCTCCTCTTCTGCCCCAGCACCCGGGCCAAGCCACCACCATCTCATCCAGATAGTTGCAGAAGCTCCAGATCATTCTCTACTTCCACTTTCTCCTCTGTCATCCTGACCATCTGCACAATAGCTCAAGCGACCTTTCTGAAACACACATCAGGTTGCATCACTCTTGTGTGCGGACCCCTTCCAAGGGCCACCCATAATCCTGGGGGTGAAATCCCAGCTCCATACTTGGTGTGAAGGCCCTGAGTGATGTGCCCTTTGGTCACCCCTTCCTCTCCTCATGGTCATTCCGGTGGCTCTCCAAGCTCCAGCCACACTGGCCTTCCCCTCTTTCTCAAGTATGCCAGCCTTGTTCCCATCTCCAGCAATTCTCACTGGCTGTTCCCCATCTTTGGATGCTCTTCCTCCCATCTCATGATTGACTCTTTCAAAGAGGAGCTCTAGCCTCTGGTCACCCTCTCCCATTACCCTGCGTTTCTTTCCTCTGTGGTTCTTATCCCTCCTAGAATCATAATATGTAACTATTGGTGGACTTTGTAAACCAAAAATAAAATCCTAAGCTCCCCAAATGACTGAATGGACCCCCTCAAATCTTGGACAGAGGAGTCCCAAAGAAAACCTGAAAACCTAGTTCAGGCCATGATGGGAAGGGAGGTTGGACACACCTCACACACTTCCATTTTGGAGTTTAGGTACAACTGAACAGCATTAACAATAAAATAGAGACCATAAGACAAAAAAAGAAAAAGACTCTTTGTAGTAATAAGGTACCCAACTCCAACTTGACCCTGGTACAGTGTCACATGATACATAGCAGGCCCTGAAGGAAATCAAAGTATTTTACCCCCGAATATATTTGTCTGACATATTTTGGAATGGCCCTGCAAAGCTGTCTCTTGAGGGGGAAAATTTGCACTCTACAGAGACTCCCCTTCCCTTCCTGGGTCTATTCCTCATCCAGGAGAGATTGAACGAAGAGTCTGACACCTTTTGAGGTCTAATAAGATACAGTTACCATCAATTTTCTCTGAAGCCTGCTACTCAGAGTCTTCATCTACATAACAAGAACCTCAGCTTCCACAACTCTCCTTATCCTAGCTCAAGCGTTCTTTCTCCTGACTTCAACTCTTCAGGCAAAGCTTAACTCTTTCAACCAATTGCCAATCAGAATATCTTTGAATCCACCTATGACCTGTAAGCTTCTCCTACCCCCTTGAGATGTCCTGCCTTTCTCAGTGAACTAATGTATACCTTCCATGCATTGATTTATGTCTTTGGCTCTAACTTCTGTCTCCCTAAAATGTATGAAACCAAGCTGTAACCCAACTACCTTGGGCACATGTTCTCAAGACCTCCTGAGGCTGTGTCATGGGCCATTTGGCTTAGAATGAAACTCTTCAGATATTTTACTGAGTTTAGATTTTTTATTTTTATTTTTTGGTCACCAACTTGTTTGTTGTATGTCTCTTCCAGTAAAATGTCAAGTCCAGGAGACCACAGACCATGTCTACCCAGGGCTGTGTTGGTGGTCCCTGGCACCTCTCCTGTCTGCAGCATGCTTTGCACTGGGTGTGGATTTGGGGAGGCAAGTGGCAGGAGGACCCTGTCTCACCTAAAGCAGTCAGGGAAAGAGGCAGTATAAGAACAACAAAACAGAGAAAAAAACCAAACAAACTAACAGCTGGGATCAGAAAAGAGTGGCTGGTCTTCCTGAAGGAGATCTGCTGCCTTCTGGGGGTATCGTACTCCTAGCCTCTGCAGAAATGGGGTCCTTATCCTTTGGGACTTTTTCCTTGGGACCCTCTATGTGTGGGGGCTTCAGGGTTGGGGAGCTTCCAGGGAAATGTAGAACTGCCCCCACATGTTCTGCAGCCCCTTGCCTGTTTTCTCCCTTCCCAGAGGAGCCTTGGAACTGGACCTCGCCCAAACATAGCTGCCCCGTCAGCTTCTGTTCATCTTTTGGCAGGGGGATTATATTCACCAAGCTGAGCAACTAGCGACCTCCTTCAGCACCCACTGGGAAAGAAATCATTAATGCCAAACACAAAGAAACTCCAATTTGCAGTTCCTTTGCAGCCATTCCCAGCATTGGGATAATGAATGTGTTTCACACACAGTTGTAGGAGGTAGGTCTTCAGGAGAGGGAAGTAAAAAAGTCCCATGTCTTTGAGCACACGCAGCTCTGCCAATTTCAGGCAGTGTGACCTGTGACCTGAAGTCTTCCTTTGTGAAATCGGGGTGGTTGTACATACCTGCTTACCTGGCAAGGGTGGTGGGAATCACCAATTATGATAATGGACAGGTCACTCCTTGGTAGACAGTTTCGTTGCACTCTATCTTTGATTGCACCTCACTTGGATAATCCCCTTTGCAATGTAAGGAGCTTGGCTCCAGCTTTCCTCAAAGAGCTTGAACTTGGCTTTCCCTTAGCACTGTCATGTAGTTCATGATTGTTGTTACCACCTGGGCAATTCCAAATAACAAGAAGGCCAAGGCTCATATAAAGAACTCACTTGCCCCTTAGACTTGGAGTTAATGTTCAAGAGGAACATAGGAAGATGCTGTGGCCTTTTCAAGGGTCCCTAGAACCGTCCTCTTCCCTCCTTTTCTTGTGAATCTCCAGGCAGAGGGAGATGGTCAGGTCCTACTCTGTCCAAGTAAGTGGATGAGGCAGGGGAACCAGGGGGTCTCCACAGGGGGATGGTTAGTGGCTCAAGGACAGGTTGGGAAGGGCACAGAGACAGGCAGAAGAGGGTCTGGCACCTGTTGAGTCTAAGTGGTGGGTCTATTCCTCAGGGAGACCATGAGAGACACACAGCATTCCTGCTTTTCAAGAGGAAAATTGAGTGTGCTCTGTCCCAGAACTGTCCTGGATGAAACACCTTCTCATCTTTGCCCTGCAGTGACTCCGGGCCTGAGAGTCCCTGGGCCCCAGCCTATTCTTGGGGGCTGGAACCCTTGTGCTGAGAATGCTGACCAGGAAGCCAAAAGTTATGAGTTTGTCATCTTGATACCCTGAAGGAGTGCGTGTGTGTGTTTGAATGAGTATCTGCCTCACGCTCATTGTCCATCCATCCATCCATCCATCCAACCGTCCATCCATCTGTCCATCCATCCATCCATCCATCCATTAATGGATGGATCCATTAATGATCCATTCAATCATTAATCAATAAACTTATACTGGGCTCCTAACATACATGACTTCCACACTTGTTATCTTCTGACCTTTTCAACCTTGTGAGTTCAGGCCTCTTATCCCATCTGACTACCAGTGCCACTGAGGCTTAATGGGGCTAAGAGCTTCCAGGGTCATACAGTGACATCATGTAGGGTTGGGATTAGAACCTAGATATTCTGCCTCAAAGTTGACTGTTCTATCTAGCATAATAACCGTTATCATTATGTCCTGTTTCTGCTTCATGTCAGAGCCTGAACTAGGGGTTTTATGCATATCTTATTTAATGCCCCCTGCTCTGGTTTGAATGTGCGTTGCCTCCAAAATTCATGTTGAAACTGAACCTCCATTGTGGTGGTATTGGGAGATGGGGCCTTTTTGGGACGTGATGAAGTCATGAGGGCTCTCACTCTCATGAGAGGATTAATGACCTTTACTTCTTTTATTCTTCTGCTCTTCTGCCATGTGAGGACTCAGCATTTGTCCTCTTTCCATCCCTTCCTCCATGTGAGGACATCTGGATGGCACCATCTATGAGCAATGGGCCTCCTCCAGACACCAAACCAACTGCTGCCTTGATGTTGGACTTCCCAGCCTCTAAAACTGTGAGAAATAATTTTTTTTTCTTTATGAATTGCCTAGTCTATGGTCTTTTGTTATATCAGTTGATATAGTTTGGATATTTGTCCCCTCCAAATCTCAGGTGAAAATGTGATCCCCAATGTTGGAGGTAAGGTCTGGTGGGAGGTGTTCGGGTCATGAAGTTGGATCCCTTATGAATGCCTTGGTGCCATTTTCTCAGGAGTGAATGAGTTCTCACTCTTAATTCCCATGATAACTGATTCTTAAAAGGACTCTGGCACTTCCCTCCTATCTCTCTTGCTCCATTTCTCATCATGTGATATGCCGGCCCCCTTCACCTTCCACCATAAGTAGAAACTTCATGAGGTCCTCACCAGAAGCAGATGCTGGCACCATGCTTCTTGCACAGCCTGCAGAACTGTGAGCAAAATAAGCCTCTTTTCTTGATAAATTACCCAGCAAATGGTCTAAGACACCCACCTTTTGAGATGAACAGTATTCACCCAACTTTACAGCTGAGTCAATAGAGGCCAAGAAGGGTTAAATGATTTGCCCAAGGCTATTCAGTATGGAAGTCTTGGTACCCTGAGTGGGACAGACTGGACAGCTGGCAGCTGCCATGGAGCCTGCAGCCCAGGAAGAGGGAGAACTTTGCCCTGGAGAATAGAGGGTGTGGAAGCTCTCTCAGGCCTCCAGAGGTCCAGCCAGCCCTAGGCTGAAGCATTCTGCAGAAGTCTTTCATAGAGGAGGTCCTGTGAGCCCAGGGGCCCAGGGATTTGAAACTGGGATTTGAACTCTCATCCTTCTGAATTGGAGGTCATGCCTGTGCTACAAATCCCACCCTCCACCCCCTGCTTGCAATGCATAGTTAAAAACCAGCTTTATTGAATATAATTCACATGCAATGCAATTCATTACACAACGCATTGGGTTTTATTATATTCACAGAGTTAATTGTTACTACAATTTTAGAACATTTTCATCACTGAAAAAGGAAGCCCCACCTTTTATCTGTCATCCCCCAAACCCCATACCCCTGGGCCCTAGGCAAGCACTAAGCTACTTTCTGTCTCCATAGATTTGCTGATTCTGGACACTTCATACAAATGGAATCATACGATATATGGTCCTTTGTGACTACCTTCTTTCACTTAACGTGATGTTTTGAGATTCATCTACATTGTAGCATGCATCAGTACTTCATTTTTTTCTCTATGGCTTAATAATATTACATGGTGTGGATAGTCCACACTCCATATTTTGCTTATCCATTCATCAGTTGATAGTCATTTGAGTTGCTTCCACTTTTGGCTATGGTGAATAATGCTCATAATGCATATTTAAAATTTTGTATTTAATTTTTAAAAACTTTTTATAGATTTGAGCGTACACATGAAGTTGTGTGTTACCTGAATATATTGAATAGTGGTGAAGTCTGGGCTGTTAGTGTACCTATTACCCAACTAGTGTACATTGTACCCAATAGGTAGTATTTCATCCTTCAACTCCCTCCCACCTTCCCACATTTTGCAGTCTCTAATGTCCATAATTCTACTCTGTATGTCTGTGTGTACCTATTGTTTAACTCCCACTTGTAAGAGAGAAAATGTGGTTCTTGACTTTTTGTTTCTGAGTCATTTTACTTAGGACAATAGTCTTCAGTTCCATCCATGCTGCTGCAAAAGATGATTTCATCCTTTTTCATGGCTGAGTAGTATTCCATGGTGTGTATATATGTGTATACACACACACACACACACACACACCATGGAATACTACTACCACAAAAATGTGAGATATATATGAGATACATGTATATATCTCACATTTTCTTTATCCAAACATCTGCTGGTAGACACTTAGGTTGATTCCATGACTTTGCTATTGTGAATAGTGCTGTGAAAAACATATGACTACAGGTGTCTTTTTGATAAAATTTCTTTTTCTTTGGATAGCTACCCAGTAGTGAGATTATAGGACTGAAGAATATTTCTATTTTCAGTTCTTTGAGAATTTCCATACTGTTTTCCATGGAGGTTGTACTAATTTACATTCCCACCAATGATGTATATGCATTCTCTTTTCTCTGCATTTTTTCCAACATCTGTTGTTTTATGACTTTTACTAATAGCCATTCTGACTGGTATGAGATGGTATCTCATTGTGGTTTTAATTGTATTCCTCTGATGATTAGTGATGTTGAGCATTGTTTCAAATGTTTTTTGGCTACTTGTTTGTCTTCTTTTGAAAAATGTCTGTTCACGTCCCTTGCTCACTTTTTAATGGGGTTATTTGTTTTTTCCTTGTTGAGCTGTTTATGTTCCTTATAGATTCTGGACACTAGCGATTTGTTGGATGCATTTACAATGCATTTAGAAAAGAGAAGATAGAGAAAAAAACACACAGAAGATAAAAGAGACCCAAGGCCTGGGCAGTTCACGTTGCCTACTTGCCCATCTCAAGAATGGACAGTGTGCTGGGCGCAGTGGCTCACAGCTGTAATCCCAGCACTTTGGGAGGCCGAGGTGGGCCGATAACCTGAGGTCAGGAGTTCAAGACTAGCCTGGCCAACATGGTGAAAAAAAAAAAATTGGCCGGGTTTGGTGGCACATGCCTATACTCCCAAGTACTCAGGAGGCTGAGGCAGAAGAATTGCTTGAACCCAGGAGGTAGAGAATGCAGTGAGCTGAGATCCCGCCACTGCACTCCAGCCTGGGTGACAAGAGTGAAACTTCGTCCCAAAAAAATAAAAAAAAAAAACCTTAAGAATGGACAGTGTGAGGGTGGCCATGGCGAGGACAGAGAGCTGACCTAGTTGCCATCCACCCTGAGGCCACGCCCCTAGGCTTAAATAACCAATTCTATGACAGACTTCTTCAAAATGCTACAACCTAGGGCAGACTGGACCTCTGGAGGCCTAAGAGAGCTGCCACACCCTCTCTTCTCCAAGGGAAGGTTCTCCCTCTCCCCAGGCTGTAAGCGCCATAGCAGCTGCCAGCTCCCTGGTCTGTTCCACCTAGGACAGGGATCAGGGAGAGACAGGGTGCTGGCATTTTCTCTGCACACTTCTATAGCCAGACAGCCCCAGGCCCCACCCCTCCTGACATAGTCACATACCTCAGCCTTTCAATCAATTTAACACCAGCCAGGGCACCACTTAGCAGGTTCGTTAGGTCTCCGTTGCTCTGCTGGAGAGGAAACTCATTTGCAGGGTAATTTAAAAAGGCTGTTACATGCATCTGATTTCAGAAATGAACCTTTTGATTCCTCAAAGAAGAAAAGGTAAAAAACTTGAAAGGCGTTTATTACTTTTTTAATGAAATGGGCAAGATGTGAATTCTACTTCAGGAGAAAAAGAGCAGGACAGATTGTTGGCTCAGCGGGGACCCCTACCTTCAGCCCTTGCCCTTCCAGTGGCCGAGAGAGATCAAGTGTTGGTTATCTCCTTAGAAAGGTGTCCTGCAGTCTTGGTGGCAGCCACTGTGAGTGAGCCTTGGAGATACAGAGGTAGGATAGGTTTTGGTGGGAGCTGGGCCAGTGGATGTCGGTGGGGAAAAGTACCAGGAGCTAAATGTGGGAGCTACAACAGAAGAGCGTGTTCTGGACAGCATCATGGGTCTCATAGTTGCAGAATCATTTAGAAGAATGAAGACAGAAGGACAGGAGACTCCTAAGTAGATAGCATCAACGTTGACCCGCTCAAAGTGGAAAGTGGGCTCAAAGTCAGGAACAGAGATTTTCTGGGCCAGCAGATTACAGAATCTGAAGATTTCTTGGAACAAGAAGATTTCTTAGAACTGTGGCCACCAAATGAACCACGGTTATGGAGGCCTGGGGCAGGCAGGACAGGGAAAGCAGAAGCCCTCTTGGTGCCACCGTTAGGAGGACAGAGATGACTCAGTGGTTTAGGGGAGACATATCAGTAATAGGATATGTGCTGTTACTCACAGTTCTGCATTACTGAGGATACATCTGCAGAGCAGTCCTGGGTTAGCAAAGGGACCAGACATCCTTAGGGTTTCTACTCCACACCTTTCTCCTTACACAGGTGTCCCCGTGTGACAACAAGCTGGCGATACTCGATGTACTCCTGCATCTGGGGTGGTTTGCTGTGCACTACCCAACGATGTGGACTTGGGACCATGGGAGAGGGTGCTTCCTCATTCCAGGGATTCCTGGGCCCCTCTGCTGGCCTCAGGCAGGAAAGGGCTGGGGAGTTGTGATGGGGTACATGAATGATGGGTTCGGAGATCCAAACTTGGGGAAACCATGAATCTCGGAGACTGAAGAAAGAACCTCAAGTCATGGGGAGCTGCAGAGTTTACGAGTCTTTGGGGCTCCTCGTTGAGGCAGAGCTAGTCTGCATCTCAGGGACTCCCTTTGCCCCTGGGTCACAACCTAAATAGTTGGAAAGCTGTTTGTTCTCTGGGTGCCCTGGGACCCATTTAGATGCAGTATCAGAGCATGGCATAGCACAGCTGGAAACTGTCTTAACAGTGGGGTCCTGGGGTTTTAAACAGATCCAAAAGCCCTAAGGGGTTGCTTAAAAGGAGTCTCTGGGAAACTAGAGGCAAAGAGGGCATGACAGAATTGGCCACCAGCTGGCCTACATAGAGTCTTTGTGCAAATTAGAAAAAGCAGCCCTGTTGGGCAGGTGCATCCCTTTGGGTACATGCCTGGTACCAGCCAGAATATTTTTGCAAAGAAAAAGACATATGATTTGGCAAATGAACTGCAGGCTGGATTTGTGGTGCCTTTATGCAGTGTACAACCTACTCAACCATATGTAGGCTGCATCATGACCCTTTGAAAAATCTCCACGTCTTCATACCCAGAACTTGTAAATGTTATCCCTCATGGCAAAGGAGACTTGCAGATGTGATTAAGTTAATGATTTTGAAAGGGGAGATTAGCCTGGATTATTGAGTGGATGCAATGTAATCGCAAGTGTTCTTATAAGAGGGAGGAAAGAAGGTCAAAGGAGGAGGTAGGATTCCTGTGATTCCAGGAATGGGTCATGCGCCAAGAAGTGCAGGTGGGACGCTTCTAGAAACTGGAAATGGGGAAATGGCAAGAAAACAGATTCTCCCCAAGAGCTTCCAGAAGGAATGAGTCCTGCCAATTCCTTGACTTCAGCTCTGTGAGATCTGGACTTTTGACCTCCAGAACAGTAAGATAATAAATTTGTGTTGTTTTAAGCCACCAAGTCAGTGGTAATTTGATACAGAAGTAGTAGTGTATTAGTTCGTTTTCATGCTGCTATAAAGAACTGCCTGAAACTGGGTAATTCGTAAAAGAAAGAGATATAATTGACTCACAGTTCCGCATTGCTGGAGAGGCCCCAGGAAAGTTACAACCATGGCGGAAGGCAAAGGAGAAGCAGGATGGAATGAGTGCAAGCAGGGGAAATGCCAGATGTTTATAAAACCATCAGATCTCGTGAAACTCTCTCATTATCAATGAGAACAGCATGGGGGAAATTGCACCCAGGATCCAATTACCTCCAACTGGTCCTGCCCTTGACACGTGGGGATTATGGGAACTACAATTCAAGGTGAGATTTGGATGCGGACACAGAGCCAAACCATATCAAGTAGGAAATAGCTCTTCCGTTGCCTCCTTCCTCAAGCAAGCCTTCTATTTTCATCTGTGACGTATGTTGGAATTCCAAGTAAGATTTCAACTGAAGAAGCAGGACTGCTGCTGAAAGCATTTGAAAAATGCATTGCTAGATGGCAAAGTATTGTTTCAATGTTAAATTTACCGAAGTTGATAACTGCACTGGAGTTCCAGGAGAATCTCCTTATTCTTAGGAAATACACACAGAAACATTTAGTGTAGTGCATGGAACTTATTCTCAAATGGTTCAGAAAAATGTGTGTGTGTAACATGCACATACACACACATATGAAGAGACAGAGTGATAACATAAAACAGGTGGAAACATCTTCACAATAGGTAAATCTCAGTGCAGGCACATATATGCATGTTCTTCATGTTCTTACAACTTTTCTATAAATTTGAAGTTATTTCCAAATATTAAAGTGAAGAAGAAAACCTGCTGTGATCCAATTTGATATGATTTGGTTGTGTCCTCACCCAAATTTCATCTTGAATTGTAGCTCCCATAATTTCCACGTGTCATGGGAGTGACACCGTGGGAGGTAATTGAATCATGGGGGAGGTTCTTTCCCATGCTTTTTCTCATGATAGTGAAAAGTCTCACGAGATCTGATGGTTTATAAAGGGGAGTTCCCCTACACATGCTCTCTCTTGCCTGCCGCTACGTAAGACGTGACTTTGCTCCTCTTGCTTTCTGCTATGACTGTGAGGCCTCTCCAGCCATGTGGAACTGTGAGTCCATTAAACCTCCTTTTCTTTATAAATTACCCAGTCTTGGGTATGTCCTTATTAGCAATGTGGGAACAGACTAATACACAACTTCTCTCAGGTTAGCGTTGAGAACTTGGAGAAAGTCATAGGACCTCAGAAATAGTTTGTAGCTAAGCTGAGACCCCTGGCCCCTGATCTTAATGGTGTTTTTTGAGGCAAACACTCCTGGGAGTTGCAGTATATTAAACCAGTTTATTCTAAGTGTTGATGACTTCCCAGGGGCTATTCTTCTGACTATGGGATGTTGGTTGCCCAATGGCTTTCTGACTGTAGGTGGAGCAGGGAAATGATCTCAAAGGGTGACAAAAAGCCTAGAAACTTTCCAGTTTTCTCTATGAGTGATCTTGTCCTAGAGACATCCCATCATGTCATTATTTGCCACTATCCTGAGCATGTAAAGGTGTTGGGATTCACGAACTGTCCTTCCACTAGGTCCCAGGGAAGACTCTGATCATTCATTCATTTATTTATTTAATATATCAATAAACATTTATTGAACAGATGCTATGTGCTCAGTTTATTATAAATGCTAGTCACACAATAACAAATAACATTGCATGAATAAGTGACATAGGTTTGCATGGAGCTTACATTCTAGGGGAGAGAAAGGATTAAGAAGTAAAACAAAAGAAAAATTTTGTTTAGTGGTAAAGAAGATAATAAAAAAGGGTCTTATCATAAGGCAGCAGTTCCCAACTTTTTTGATTGCATGCCTCTTTATCAGAGCATTTTGAGCAGGCTGGGCACAGTGGCTCATGCCTGTAACTCCAGCGCTTTGGGGAGGCCAAGGTAGGAGGATCGCTTGAAGCTAGGAGTTTGAGACCAGCCTGGGCGACATAGTGAGACCCCATCTTTACTCCCCAAAATTTTTGAGCACTTGCCATAATACATGCACACATTTAGACATATGCATAAATAATTGTTTATACCTAATATGATGTACCATTGTACTAAGGCATTATAAAACACACAAAATAGAGATGTTATAAAAGTGGGGTGAAACATAACAGATGAAAATTCTCTCACTTTCTTCTTGCTCCTCATTATGTCATCTTTGGCACCCCAGGGGGGTGTGCGGTGCTCTGGGGTCCCCTGAGGGAGAGGAAAAGGGTCAGAATGTCCAAGGAAGGTCTCTCTGGGGAGTAAAAGGAAAATAAAATCTTGCAACCCCAAGCTCACTGTGCTAAAGAGAAAGTTAAGCTTGGAAAACTGATTCAGTAAAACTACCTTCTTTTTGTTCCCAGACCGCTGTAATTTCACATGCTTAGTTTATCTTATGTAAAATGTAGATCTACCAAGGGAGATGAACGCAAAATTGACTTTTCCCCCAACTCGGCTCTTTTCACACGTGAAATGTGGATTCAGTGAGTGCTCTTCAAAGCCTCACAATGATGTGGCCACTTGCCTCATGGTCTATCCTCCCCCTCCTGCCCACTCTTTTCCCTTGAAATATTGAAGTTCACAAAATCCTCTTTGGAAAAAGCACAGGCCACAGATCTGACTGTAACTTGTGTTTCATTTTCCCAGGTGCGTCCTCAACCATGGCAAATTAAACCTCTACATCCGCTGAGATTTGTCTCTGTCACCTTTGGTTTACAGGGGAGATAGCATTTGCTTTGAGCCATAACCATGGAGAAGGAGTTGCCAAGAGATCTTGGGGAGAAGCTTCTAAGTAGAGGGATCAGTAGTTACCAGACCCAGAGGAGGGAGTGGGCTTGGTGTTTCTGAGGAAGAGATAGAGGGTCAGGGTGGCTGGAGCAGAGGGAATGGAAGGAAGAATAGCCAGAGTGCAATCTAAGAGGAAGACGGAAGCCAGATCCAGGAGGCCTGCAGGACTCTCTGGGAGTGTGGATTTCATCCTAACATCACAGGAAGCCATTAGAGGGCTCCCAGCAGGAAAATGGTATAATCACCTAGTGTCTATATATATAGACACACGCATATATATATAGATACATACACATATACATGTATATACATACAGATATAGACACACACACACACACACACACACACACACACACACACATATATATATATATATATATACACATTTTTTTTTTTTGGCGGGGGGACAGGGTCTTACTGTGTTCTCCAGGCTGAAGTGCAGTGGTATGATCTACTCACTGCAGCCCTCAAACTCCTGGGCTCAAGCCATCCTCATGACTCAGCCTCCTGAGTGACTGGGACAAAAGGTGCACGCCACCACAACTGGCTAATTTTTAATTTTTGTAGAGATAGAGGTCTTGCAATATTCCCCAGGCTGGTCTCGAACTCCTAGCCTCAAGGGATCCTCCCACTTTGGCCTCCCAAAGTGCTGGGATGACAGGCATCTGCTACTGCACTTAAACCATATGTACATTTTAAACAATTTTACCAGCTGCTCTTAGAGAACACATTGTAGGCTCGGAAGCGGAAATAGGGAGAGCAGGTAGAGCTTTTTGCAATAGTCTGGGTGGGAGATGATGATGGTTTGAATTAGGGTGACCAAGGAGCAAGAGGGGAGCGGATGGATTGGGATCTATTTTGGAGGGAGAGTTGACAGTTTGGGTGGGCTATAAAGGGGTAAAGGGTCAGGGCTGCCTCCTGGATTTCTGGCCCGAGTAACTGGATGAAGGGTGGTACCCTTCACTGACATTGGAACCTGGGGTGAAGGAGGGGCTCAGTGCCACTCCTGATGGGAAAGAGAACAGGTGGACTCTTTTTTTTTTTTTTTTTTTTGAGATACAGTCTCGCTCTGTTGCCCAGGCTGGAGTATAGTGGCGTGATCTCAGCTCACTGCAATCTCCACCTTCCCGGTTCAAGCGATTCTCCTGCCTCAGCCTCCTGAGTAGCTGGGATTACAGGTATGGGCGACCACACCCGGCTAATTTTTTTGTATTTTTAGCAGAGATGGAGTTTCACCATGTTGGTCAGGCTGGTCTCGAACTCCTGACCTTGTGACCTGCCAGGTGGACTCTTATATGTGTGAGTCTGTATATGCATGCAGGGAAGGTCAGGACTGTGGGTGTACATTTGAGCAATGTGGAGGAGAGAGGTGGAGGCTTCTGGGCATGGCTGGCCTGTGCATGGTGTCAGAGAGCAGTGTGTAAGTAGCAGGGGATAGCACAGGAGCCCAGGACAGGAAAAAGATGCAGAAAGCAAAGCATCACTAGACAGGTACTGCACACTCATTCAGATTTTGCTCCCATTCAGTCAAAATTGTTTTGCATTGTGAAGTGATGTAGCTTTATTGCAGCAGCAGCCATGGGGTCCTGGAGCTGGGAGGCTCAGAGGACCTTTGCTATGGAACAATGTCAAGTTCAGCTCTCTGGCAACAGGTGGCTAGCTCAGAAACCTCCACGTGCAGGAGCCCACACTGGTCCCTGAGGAGGCACTTGTGCAGCACCCCCCGACTTGCCTCCCTAACTCCTCCCTTCCTTTGCATTGCAGCTGGTTCCCAGGGCCTGGAGCTCACGACACCTTGACAAATGATGCAGCCCAGCAAAGCAAATCGCTATTCCAACAGGAGAGATGTAGGCTTCCCCAGGAGGGCCGAACGCATTTTCACATGTTTGTCTGTAGAGCTGGTACAGTCCCCAGTCACAGATTCCTACAGTAAGCAACAGCATTTTATTTTCTTATAATAACACTTAATATATCTTTTTTTTTTTTTTGTCTAGAGACAAGGTCTCACTCTTGCCCAGGCTGGAGTATAGTAGTGAGATCATAGCCCACTGCAGCCTCCAACTCCTGGGCTCAAGTGATCCTCCCATCTCAGCCTCCCAAAGCGCTGGGATTACAGGCATGAGCCCACCCTGTCTGGCCCAGCATTCTCACCTTAACGTAAACATTATTTTCTGCTAACTCCAAGTTTTAAGACAAAGTTTTGCTTCTTTTTAATGAAATGCAGGTTGAAGAATCATTTCTGAAGCCACCTATGACTTGTAAGTTCCTACTTCAAGATTTCACCTTTTTGAGGCCAAACCAATGTATACCTTCCATGTACTGATGTATGTCTTTGCCTACAACTCCTGCCTCCCTAACATATATAAAACCAAACTGTAATCTGACTGCCTTGGGACAAGTTACTCGAAACTTCTTGGGTTTGGGTTTTCCCTGGGCCATGGTCACTCATATTGGTTCAGAATAAACCTCTTTAAAACATTTTACAGAGTTTGGTTTTTCCATTAACAAGTTCAAAATACTAATTTTTGAGCTAGCTCCCAGGCATCTAATTAACTGGATACTGGAGGCCCAGGGCTGGCAAGGACCCAAATGGAGACTGAGGGCATCTTTCTCTGCTAAGCCTGAACCCCCATAACTTCCCACAAACACATCCTATGATAGGGAGCTCTTTGCCATAATCTTCAGCTGTTTCTGACTTTAGAAAATTCTTCCTTAATTCAAGGCAAAACTCTGCCTCTTGTCATTTCCATTTATTGATCCTGATTCTGTCCTCTAGATAGGAAACAAAACAAAGCTTTTCCCCATGAAAGCTTAGGATGAAATGTTCAGTGTTCTTCATAATCTTCAAGAGCTAAACCTTTTTTTTTTTTTTTTTCTCCAGACAGTGTCTCACTCTGTCACCCAGGCTGGAGTGCAGTGGTGCGATTTCAGTCACTGCAACCTCCACTTCCCGGGTTCAAGCAATTCTCATGCCTCAGCCTCTTGAGTAGCTGGAATTACAGGTGCACGCCACTATGCCCAGCTAATTTTTGTATTTTTAGTAGAAACAGGGTTTCACCATGTGGCCAGGCTGGTCTTGAACTCCTGACTTCAAATGATCCACCTGCCTTGGCCTCCCAAAGTGCTGGGATTACAGCGTGAGCCACCGCCCCCAGCCCAGCTAAACCTTCTTGAAACTAAATGTTCCCAGGTCCTCTGATGGCTCTTCTGATTATGGCATTTAAGAAGTTCGTCCTTCCGGTCACAGCCTGGGGCCAGGCTGGCCTTGGCTGGCAATGTAGGAAGAGAGGGACCAGATCTGCCCCCCTGGGGACCCAGTTGGTATGGATAGGGCAGAACACAGGCCCCAAGGGGTAATAATGGCTAACATTGATCAAGTGACCAGTATGTGCCAGGATTCAGCTAACTTTTGTTTTTGTTTGTTTTGTTTTTTTGAGACAGAGTTTTGCTCTTGTTGCCCAGGCTGGAGTGCAATGGTGTGATCTCAGCTCACTGCAACCTCCGCCTCCCGGGTTCAAGCGATTCCCCTGCCTTAGCCTCTGGAGTAGCTGGGATTACAGGCATGTGCCACCAAGCCTAGCTAATTTTGTATTTTTAGTAGAGACAGGGTTTCTCCATGTTGTTCAGTCTGGTCTCAAATTCCTGACCTCAGATAATCTGCCCACCTCGGCCTCCCAAAGTGCTGGGATTACAGGTGTGAGCCACTGTACCTTGCCTCAGCTAATTTAATGATCACAACAAGCCATTAGTCCTTATTCCCACTCAGCAGATGATGAGACAGAGGCATGAAGAGGTTAAGTAACTTGCCCCAGGTAACAGAGCCAGGATGTGGCAGAACCAAATACAAATTTCTCTGTTCTCTCCAGGTCCCCTCTGCTAACCATAATGCCCCCGCAGCAACAACAGATGGTGACCAATGGATTACTCAGAAATTGGGGGTGAGATAGGAGGACTCTCGGTGGCCTCCACATTCTCACTGCCTGCTTATAAACCCAGACTTGGCTCAAGGGCTCCTGAGACTCAAGACCCACTTTTCAGAGCTCAGGAGTTGATGTCACCCAGCAGGAAGCTGGAACTAGAGCAAGGGCTGCTTGGGAGGAGCTGGGATACAGAGGGAGGGGCTGTCAGTGTAAGTGGGAAGCCCAGAGAAATCTCACCACTGCCAGAGGAGAAGGAGGGTGGGGATACACCCTGGTTGCTCCTCTCCTCCTCTCTTCCAGGCTTCTGTTTGTTACTTGCACTGGCAATAGGGCCTAGGAAATGTTGACTGCAGTGGTCAGACCCTGTGATAGGAGCAGAGCAGAGAAACAAATCTTGGAGCAAACAGACAAACGACTGGCACATTAGCGAATAGGTGACCTCCAGAAAAGGGGTCTCAGCAAAACAGGTTGAGGAAAGACCATCCCACTGGGCCAAGGTAGTCATGAACGGATCCTCAGACCAGACACATGTCCACTGGGGCACCCTTCGTCTTTTTTTTTTTTTTTTTTTAAACATTTTTGACCTCCTGGACTCAAGAAATCCTTCTGCCTCAGCCTCTTGAGTATCTGGGATTACAGGCATAAGCCATCATGCCCAGCTATTTTTGAAAAATATATTTAAAAATTACCACCCTTCACCATTTATTACCATTTTTAAAATGTATTATCATTATACAAAGAAAGATATTTTGTACAATAGGAAAAACAAGTGAAGTAAAGATATTTTAAGATGAATAAAAACTGACAAATCCCTTACAGCGTGTCTGCACTTGAAAAAAGCTAAAGGAAGTCCTTTATACTGAAGGCCAGTTATACCAAAGGGAAACAGACAGTCAAGAATTATGGGCAGAAATAGCAATCATGTGAATACATATGTAATCTACATTTTCTCTTTTTAAAATAGTTTCATTGAGGTATAATTGATATACAAATACCTGCATAATCTAGTGTATACATTTTGATGAGTTTGGACATATGCATGCGCCTGTGATGCCATTGCCAGTTAATACATCCCTCACCTCCAAAAGTTTCCTTGTGTCCCTTTGCTTTTTGTGTGTGTGGTAATAACACTTAAAATGAGACCTACCCTCTTAAATTTTTTTTTTTTTTTGGTTTTTGAGACAGGGTCTCACTCTGTTGCCCAGGCTGGAGTGCAGTGATGCAATACTAGTTCACTGCATCCTTGAACTCCTGGGCTGAAGTGTTCCTCCTGTCTCAGCCTTCTGAGTAGCTGGGACTACAGGTGTGTGCCACTATAAAAAAATTTTTTTTTGCTTAATTAATTAATTTATTTATTTATTTATTTATTTATTGTAGAGATGGGGGTCTCTCTATGTTGCCTAGACTGGTCTGGAACTCCTGGTCTCAAGCGATCCTCCTGCCTTGACCTCCCAAAGTAGTAGGATTCCAGGCTTAAGCCACTACACCTGGCAGTCTCTTAAATATTTAAAAACACCTCCAGCTTGAGTGGGAGGCTTGTGTCCTCTGGGCAGTCACAGATGAGAAGAAACAGGACATCTGGTGCCTCTCCTCAGTCCTGAGGGAACCCGTGTTCTGTCTGTGAAGGAAGCAAAGCAGAGAAATCTGGTTGGATCACAATTGTTCCATGAAGCTCTGAGGAAGTCCTGGAATATTTGGACCCTCTTTAGGGACTCTGACATTCACTGAACTGTGCTTCTAAGTGGCTGATAAATATGAAGGGATTGATTCCTTAACTTAAAAAGTATTTATTCAGCCTGGACAACATAGCAAGATCCTGTCTCTATGAAAAATATTTTTTAAAATTAGCTGGGCATGGTAGTTCGTGCCTGTAGTCCCAGCTACTCAGGAGGCTGAGGCAAGAGGATCACTTGAGCCCAGGAGGTCAAGGCTACAGTGAGGTATGGTTGCACCTCTGCACTTCAACCTGAGCAGCAAAATGATACCGTCTCAAAAAACAAACAAACAGAAAAGGATTTATTGCAAGCAGAAGGCCTCCCTTTGTATTGGGCATAGTAGAACTCTCTTGATGGCTAATTTTATCTGTCAACTTGGCTGGGCCATAGTGCCCATATATTTGCTTGAACATTCTTCTAGATGTTTCTGAAAAGATGTTTTTTGGATGAGATTGACATTTGAATCAGTGGACTTTGACTGAACCTGATTACAATCCAGAATGTGGGTGGGCCTTGTCCAATCAGCTGAAAGCCTGCATAGAACAAAGACTGATCTCCTCTGAGCAAGATGGAATTCTGCCAGCAGGCAGCCTTTTGACTTGAACTGAAACGTCAGTTCTTCCCTGGGTCTCCAGCCTGCTGGCTCACCCTACAGAGTTTGGACTTGCACCTCCACAATTTCTTAAAGGCAGTCTCTCTCGCTCTCTCTTTCTCTCTCTCGCCATACACACATGCACGCGCGCGCACACACACACACACACACACACACACACTATTGGTTCTGTTTCTCTGGACAATCCTGGTCAATACACCTCTGATAAGAATTTTTTTTAAATTATTTATTTGTTTCTTTTAGAGACAGGGTCTTGCTATGTTGCTCAGGCTAGTCATGAACTCATGAACTCCTGGGCTTAAGTGACTCTCTTGCCTCAAACTCCTGAGTGGCTGGGACAATAGGCATGAGCCACCATGCCTGGCTAGGATTTTAATGTTCTCTTTTGTAGCCAAAGCACATAGGTTGCCACCTAGGTGGATCTTAGAAAATCGTCCACTTTAGGTCACCCCAGGCATTTCATCATTGAATCAAGCTGGAGGGACTCTCCATGGAGAAACTTGTCCTGCAGATGGGACACGCATTCCCCACAGGCACGGGGCAGATTGACCTTTGGATATCCCATAGCAGCTTGCCCATCTAAGAGGAGCCTCACAGTTGCCTAGGTCCACTCCAAGTACCAAGTCTCCCCCAGCCCAGGACCTCAGGTACCTCTAGATTTTGGCATATTCTGCATTGTGCAGAGACTGGCTTTGTGTGTTTACAGGGGGCTGTTGGACCGATCCTACCCTGTGTCTCCTGGGAAAGAGCCTCATTTGAATTCAAACCTGCCCTCACATCCTGGAGCTTGCACCACCTTTATCCTTGTGTGCTGCCTGGAGGGTCCACTTTGCTCAAGGCTCAAGACCACTCTGATCTTGGACACTGCACACGTATACACATGTGAGATTTCCTGATTCTATGGCCCACCTGACATCAGTCTTTCCCATCTCTCAGGGGCCTCTTAAAGCTTCTTCTTGAGAACAGAGAGTGTTCCTTTTATCTTCCTCTTCCCAACCTCCAGAAGGAGACTGAGAATATAATAACTAACTCATGCTTGTTAAATAAATAAATAGATGAATATGACTTTCCCCACCCTTTTCCCAAAGAAGCAGGTATACCCCAAGCTGGAAGATTCCCACCTGAGGCCAAAGTAGCTCTTGCATGGCAGCCAGATGTTTTTGTGAACAACTTGTCCACAATAGGGTCTAGACCAAGGCAAATTAGTAAGAAGGATGAGATGGAGACATATTATGCTAGCAAATGTTGGTAGAGAACTTGCCCTGCCACCAAGGTGTTTGCCTTTTTGGTTCCAGTTGGGCTTGGTTAAGGCAGAAAACCCACCTTCATTTGACACTAGTTAATGACTTTTTGGTGTACTTCACTACTCATCCTTCTGGCCCATATCATCTCACTTCTCCATGTACAGAGCCTGCCTAGGACTGGTGGCTTTGGCTTTACCTGTCTCGGATGAGGTATCAGGAGGTTGCCACAAATGTTCTGAGGGAAAAAACTAAAAACAGAACTACCATTTGACCCAGCAATCCCATTACTGGGTATATACCCAAAGGAAGATATATTGTCCTACCAAAAAGACACCTGTACCCACAGCACTACTACCCACAGTAGCAAGGACATGGGACAAACCAAGGTGCCCATCAATAGTTGATTGGATAAAGAAAATGTCGTAGATATACACCACTATGCAACAATAAAAGAGAACAAAATCATGGCTTTTGTAGCAATATGGATGCAACTGGAGGCCATTATCCTAAGTGAATTAATCCAGAAACAGAAAACTAAATACCACATGTTCTTACTTACAAGTGGGAGCTAAAAAATGGGGACACATGGAACAATAAACACTGGGGATTCCAAAAGGAGGGAGAAAGAAATGGAGGGAAGGAAGGGAGCAAAGTTTAAAAAACTGCCTACCAGGTACTATGTTCACTACTTGGCTGATGGGATCATTAGAAGTCCAAACCTCAACATCATGCAATATACCCATGTAGCAAACCTGCAGAGGTACCCTCTGAATCTAAAAACTCCCCCTAAACCAAAAAAACTCCAAAGGTATTTCCAGATTCCCTAAGTGTATCATCTTTCTCTTCCCTGTCAATCAACATATCAGACATCTTTTGAGAACTAGTTTCTTTGTGTATTCATGAATAATTCTAGCTAAATGTATGACTATCCCAGCCATTTTCTTTGGATCTCTCTTCAGTCTTACAGGGATTGGGTTCCTAGAGTTTAAAAGGAGCTGTAGAAGGCCACCCTCATTGCCAATAATAATCAGCCATAAGGGCCACTGATTTTCTCCTAGGTCTTTCTCTCCTACCCATCCTAAATATAGAACTCTTGCAGGAAGACTAGAGGGGTCATGAAGTTGAAGCAAGGAGTGTGTAACTTGAGCTACTGCTTCTTGGAAAAATGTCCAAATTCCTTTTTGCAAGAACTAAGAGGGACTCAATCTAAGATGCTGGCCAGGGGTCACAGTGAAGGTGGGATTCTATTCTGTGACTCCCAAGAGTGGAGTAAGTCTGAGAGTGGATGAGAGGGCACTCGGCAAAATCAGTGACCAAGACCAAAGGCCAAATCCATAAGGCCAGGACACAAGCATGAGTGGCCAAACTGTAACGAAGGGAAAGTCAAGCCAAGGGGTGTCAGAGGCAGTTGCAGAGACTGCGATATTACAGGTTGAATTATGTTCTCCCAAGAATGATAGGTTGAAGCCCTCCCCTCCCCCAACCCAGTATTCAGAATGTGACTGTATTTGGAGACAAAGTCTTTAAAGAAGTGTCTTAGTCCATTTTGTCTTGCTATAATAAAATACCACAGACCGAGTAATTTATAAATAAAAGAAATTTATTTCTCACAGTTCTGGGGGTTAGGAAGTCCAATATCAAGGTACTGGCATCTTATGAGGGCCTTCTTACTGTGTCATCCCATAGAAGAAGGCAGAATGGTGACAGAACATACTCAACAGAGAAAGGCAAGAGAGGGCCAAATTCACTTTTATAGTAAATCTACTTTGTGATAATGAATCCACTCCCATGACAACAACATTAATGCATGCATGAGGGCTCTGTCCTCTTAAAGGTCCCACCTCTCAACATTGTTGCATTGGGCATTAGGTTTGCAACATATGAGCTTTGGGGGATACATTCAAACCACAGCAAGAGGTGATTAAGTTAGAATGAGCTTGCCAGAGTGGATCCCTAATCCAATCTGACTGGTGTCGTCATAAGAAGAGAAAGAGAAATCAGGGATGCACTCACATAGAGAAAAGTTCATGTGAGGATATAGGGAGAAGGTGGCCTTCTGAAGCCAAGGAGAGAGGCCTCCAAAGGAACCAACCCTGCCAACACTTTGATCTTGGATTTCCATCCTCCATAACTGTGTGACAATAAATGTCTGCTATTTGGGTACCCCAGGTATTTTGTTGTGGCAGCTTAATGATACGGCTAAGGTGTCCCTGCCTCAATGTTGCTGGTCACCAGTCAGGTGGATCAAAGCTGGGTTGGGCTGAGTTAAGGATATAAAGTTGGGATTGGGTAACTACCATGTGGCTTCCTTAAACTTAAGAAAAAGGGGACAGAAGGCAGCTCTGGATGTTGACAGAATCTCCTGACCCCTCAGTTGGAAGGAGAACAAGCTCAAGCCTCCTTGTGGTTTTGGTCTCTGAGGAGGGATGGCTTCGCTTCTGTTAACCCCTCCCTGGGTCTGGCCCTTTAAATTACTCAGGTTGTTGAGGTTCTAAGAGGCTCAGGTCTCTCAGCCTGCCCTGCTCTGACTCAGCCTCCTCATCTGCTTGTCTGCAGTAAGGTCTAGACCAAGACAAATTAGTTAGAAGGAAGAGATAGAGACATATTATGCTAACAAATGTTGGTAGGGAACTTGCCCTGCCACCAAGGTGTTTGCCTTTTTGGTTCCAGTTGGGCTTGGTTAAGGCACAAAACCCACCTTTATTTAACACTAGTTGTTTGGGTTAGGTTAAACAATTGCGTTGGTGTGGTTCACTTTGTAATAAATTGAGGTGGAGTGATTTCAGCATGTTGGCAAGCTGGGTCTGATGATACCTACATATGTAGTTCTAAATGAAAGTTAGTATGAAAAAAGGATTTTTATCACACAACTCTGTTTATGTTAAATATATCTTTTGCCCAAAACACCAGTGACAACTTTTAATCCAATATAATAATTCACTGTCATACAAAGTCCTATAAGTTATTAATGTGCTATATCTACATCTTTATTCAGGAGTCATAAACACCCTAAGAGACAGGCAGGATGCATATTAGTTAACTCTGTCTTACCAAGAAGGAGAAGTAATCACTGGATCTGAAATCTGAAGCTCCCTTCTCTGTTCTGGCATTCTTTCAGTTTCTTGGTATTTGATTTTCATGAATAATAATACTTTCCCCTGAACTGCCTGGTTTTGCAATACGTACCCTTATGGAAATAGGGTACCTCTTCACCTACTCTTTGGCCTGATGTAGATATGGCCTAGAATGCATGCTGACTCTCCTATGTTCTGTAGCTGTAGGACAAAATCCTTATTGTATAAATTTTTGTCCAGCTCTGGGAGACAAGAAAATGACTCCAGTACTCCAAAGTGAGTATCAATCTCACTGTGCATCAGAATCACCTAGGAGCTCTAAAAAATGATACATGTCTGGGTCCCACCCCAGTGATTTGTTTTCATTTGGTGTTACTTTTAAGTTGTCCAAGGTGATACTCACATGCAGGCAGAGTTGAGTACCACTGGGCTAAGATAGGATCCATTTTACGTTTGGTCACCAGTTAAGGAAGCATCCCCTTTCCAGGTATTGGACATTAGGAGCATTATTTCTCCTCAACAACGGCATTGGCTGATCCTTATACTTAAACTGTTTCTCCATTGGGTCTTCTTCAGTGTGCCTGATTCCCATGGGTGAAATCAGAGAGGATGTCATCTGCTTTCACTTAAGAACTGAGTTATAGCCAAAACTGAATTATAGACTTCACTGGGGGGAAAATGTGAGATAACAAATCCTCAGGGGACTTGCCAGGGAAACGGAGACTTGGTTGATGGCTGCTACAAATAATACACATAAGCCCCCTCATCTTTGTCCCATCTGGGATCTTAGGAGTTTGCTTTGTGTGGGGGACCCTGAAGGGGCAAGCCATTCTGGGTTATTGGCATGCTGGCTTTTTCTGGGCCTGGCTCTCCATGGACCCCGAAGCATTGATCCAGTATGAGGGAGCACAGAGGAAGAAACAATGCCCATAGGGAACACCCACAGGGAGTTGTGAGTTCACTCTGGGCCCTGTGGATTTCTTGATGTTTCTTTATCATCATCATCCCGTAATCAGAATTTAATGCTGTTCAGTGTTCAATGCCTCTCTCTGCATGTGAGTATCACCTGGAGAACTTAAAAGTAACACCAATCAAAAACAAATCACTGGGGTGGGACCCAGCCATGTATCATTTTTTGGAGCTCCCAGGTGATTCTGATGCACAGAGAGATTGATATTCACTTTGGGATGCTGGAGTCCTTTTCTCATCTCCTCAAGCTGGACAAAAATTTATACACAGAGGAGGAGGAGCAAGTGAGCCTTCTCAGAGGAAGCAACATTTGAGCTGGACTTTGGAGGCTAAGCAGCAGATCATAGAGGCTAAGATGGAAGGAAATGAGAGCCTGCTAGTCCAAGGGCAAAACAATTTCTCTCCTTACACTCATGTATCATCAACTCAGTGCAGGAGAAATGGGGAATTGGCCAATTTGGGCCCATGCAAAAGGCTTGGCAGGCATTTGGGTTTTCTCAGGTGCCATATGTAGTTGTGGCTGTGGACACCTGGGAACACTGAGCAGTTGCACATACTACAGAAAGGGCCAGGGGACACCCTCAGGGACTTGTGAGTTTACTCTGGGCCCTGTGGATTTCTTGGTCTTTCTTTATCATCATCATCCCGTAGTCAGAACTTAATGCTGTTCAGTGTTCAAGGGTGCCATTGTCTCACAATTTTGTGAAGTGAACAGAATGGGGATCACTGTCACCATCTGACTGATACAGAAACTGAGGCATTTTGATTGGTGTTACTTTTAAGTTCTCCAGGTGATACTGGAGAACTTAAATGACATGGCTAAGGAATAATAGAATGGCAACTAGAAACCTAATTCTGGGCTCTGAGCACCCAAGGGTTTACAAGTGTTACCCAACCAATCTGGGTCTGTTAGCCTGAGCGCAATGGAAAGCCAAACATAGAAGCATCAGGTTTTTGCATTGAGAAAGTTTATTGCAAGCCAATGGGCAAGGAGACAGGAGGAAGTGCTCAAATCTATCTCGCCGAGCTGGGGATTGGGGCAGGTTTTATAGTCAGAGGGTAACGAGGCATAATCTGGTTGGATCTTGCAATGGGGTGATGCCAGGCCTGGATCTGATTGGATCCTGGATCCTGCTATGCTGTGTCCACTGTGTAATTCAGTCCCTGGTCCTCAATTCAAGCCCTTAGGTTCCATCCATGGATGCATACTTGGTTCATCTGGGCATGCTCAGGTTATCTGACCTTCAACTTGGCAGCCACAGGAACTGAAAAACAACCCAGAACTTTGTTACATAAAAGTTGAACAGGATTGGTCTGATGAGGCTACACGGACTCCTTTTTAGACCTCAGACACATTTGTGAATGGGGTTAAGATATCTTTCAGAGACATTACCATCAAGACATCCATACTTTGGCCCTGTGGTTCACTGACAACACAATCAAATGCGTACCATGATCTGTTCTGAGCACCTTAGTCTATTAATTAACTTCATCCTCACAATATCTCCATTTTACAGATGAGCAAACTGATGCATAGGGGTTGAGTGACTCCCCACAGAAGAGTCCTGCTCTTCATCATGCTGCCTGGATACAGCAGGGGCTTAAGAATCAGACAAATGTGAATGACAGCCTGGTGTTGCTACAGGTTTGCTGCAATCATGAGCCCATTTGAGTCTGCAGGTCTGCAGCTGTGGACAAGGAGGGCCAGGGAAACACTTACTCTGTTGGGTTGTTGTGAAGGTAAAATGAGGTCACCTCTGCAAAGCACCCAGCATGGTGTCAGGGACCTGGTAGCGTTCCATCCGCATTAGGGTAGTCTTACTGAGCAGGTCAGAGGGGACAGGAGCAGGAGGTGTGGTTGCTGGGGAGGGCCTCTCAGGCTCAACGACATGATCATGCCCTTCTCAAGGTCTGTGTCATCCACCATGCTGCACTCTGTAAAAGCTGCTTCCGTGGCCCATGCAGAACATTAGTGGCCATGTGGCATTTCAAAAATGGCCATGGCGGAACCAGCAGCAGCTGAGGAGTCAGGGAACAATAAATTAAATCAGGCTTCCAGCTTATATGGCTTCATGGTGACCTCCCAGGAACACATTTCAATATAAATAACTTACCCGCTAAAGGGATATTGAGCCCGCCACTAGGAGCCACAGGGATAATAACAAATTCTTTATTTTGTGAATCAAAGAGAGGCATCCCATGGTAAAAGTGAGAACCCTGGACCGGGAGCCTGGAGTTCTGGGCCCCTATCCTTGGTTGGCCACAAGGCAGCAAACCTGAGCCTCCTTGTCCTGTCTGCTCAGGCCAGAAAAATCTCAGAAATATTTCCTCAACGTTGTCTTGCCTCTTGTGCACGTCTCCACAGACATTGAGCACTTGGACAAGTCAGATCAACTGCTAGTGGTTTGAGCAGCATTTCGCACCCACAGGCACAGGCACACACAGTGTCAGAGAAAGAAAAGGCCCTTCTCCCAAATGTTACTTTGAACAGATAAAAATAATTCAAGTGATTTTTCAATCCAAGGGCAGCCAGAGGCAAATGGACAGGAGGGCATAGTGGAAATGATAAGTGCCAGAGCTCCTGCCTTGGAAACATTAACTCTGTCCTTGGGATGGCTTGGGCAGAGGAAGCAGCTATTATGCGATGAAAAGAGCTGGGATTTGTTCTTGTCATGGCCTCTGCAAACCTCCCTCCTTTTGTTTCAGGCTGGGTTGGCTTCCCAGGCCCAAAGATCATTTTCTCTTCTTTCATCAGGACAGCCTCACTCTTGATGAGCTGGACTCCTCTTGCTGGGTCACCACGCCAGACCCGGTGACATCTGACCCAGCCCTTGACTTCCAGCATTGGCTCAACTTCAGGTTATCTTCTGCTCTCGAGAGGCTGTTTTCATTGTTACCACTGCACAGAGCTGAAAGTGTGTGGCATCTCTCCCCTCTTTTGCTCCTGCTCCGGCCATGTGATATGACTATTCCCACTTCACCTTCTACCATGAGTAAAAGCTCCCTGAGGCCTCCCCAGAAGCCAAGCAGATGCCGGCATCTTGCTTCCTAAACAGCCTGCAGAACCGTGAGCCAATTAAACCTCTATTATTCATAAATTACTCAGTCTCAGGTATTCTTTTATAGCAATGCAAGAATGGCCTTGCACACAGTGTCTCACTCTGTCACCCAAGCTGGACTGCAGTGGTCAGTAGCTGAGTGTCAGAGTCTACAGGGCTAGCCAGCCACATCTATCTCAGCTAGGAAATAAACAACCTGAGAAGTGAAAAACTGTCCATCTCCAGATTAAAATTTTAAAAAGGCTTAAATTCTAACCATACCTCCATTATGGAAGAGAATATGTTCCACAACACACTTTGTGGTCACAAATGTGTACTGGTGGCATACAAAGTCACCTCAGGGCACAAGAATTCCCTCTCTCCTTTCCTTCTTTCTTCTATTTGGAAATATTTCTCAAGTACCTATTACAAGGAAGAAACTCAGAGAGACTCATAAAGGAGTTGGAGAGAGAGAAGACAGAGCCTGTGCTCCCCAGTGGGAGATACAGAAACACAAAGCAAGTATTCCAAGGTGGTGCATTAAGTCCTATAACAGCGGAAAAACAGGAGGCCACAGGACAAGGACAGGGGGCATCTTATTCAACAGTGAAATGAACAGGGGAGCAGGGTCAGCAAAAATTATAGAGGAAGAGATGGTTGAGCTGAGCTTTGAGAACAAGGAAAGGCATGGAGTAGCTTTCCAGACAGAGGGTGCACAAAGCATTAAGCCAGAGAGGGTGGTGCTGCAGCCACATGCAACAAGACCTGCCAGGCTGGAGCTCAGTGTGCAACCTGGACCACATCCAAAATGGATACATGGCCTGGACGGGGCTTCACGGCACCATGCAAAGAGATTGGAGCTTTACCTGGAAGGCTCTCTGGAGCTGTATCAGTCTAGGTCCAGTTGGGAAGACTACAGACTCCCACTAGGTATTTCAAACGAGGGTATTTAATACAGGGAATTGGGTTTGGTATGGTGGCTCATGCCTGTAATCTTAGTGCTTTCAGAGGCTGAGAAGAGAAGATTGCTTGAGACTAGGAGTTTGAGACCAGCTTGGGCAAACTAGTGAGACTCTGTCTCTGCAAAAAATAATAATAATAATAACAAAGCTGGATGCAGTGACATAAGCCTGTAGTCCCAGCTGCTAGGGAGGCTGAGGTTGGTGGCTTCCCTGAGTCCAGGTGTTCAAGGCTGTAGTGAGTGAGCCATGATTGCACCACTGCTCTCCAGCCTGGGCAACAGAGTGAGACGCTGTGTGCAAGGCCATTCTTGCATTGCTATAAATGAATGCCTGAAACTGAGTAATTTGTAAAGGAAAAATGTTTAATTGGCTCATGGTTCTGCAAGTTGTACGGGAAGGATGACGACGGCATCTGCTTGGCTTCTGGGGAGGCCTCAGGGAGATTTTATGCAGTGTGGCAGGCTGGCATAAAAAAGGAGATGGGATGTCACATGGCCAGAACAGAAGGAAGGGAGGGGAGAGATACCACACACTTTCAAACAATCAGATCTCGTGAGAACTCACTCACTATCTTGAGGAAAGCACCAAGCCATGAAGGATCCAAGCTCATGACCCAAACACCTCCCACCAGGCCCCACCTTTGACACTGAGGATTACAATTCAACATGGGACTTAAAGGGGACAACATCTAAGTCTTATTACCCAGTCTCTAAAATTTAAAAAAATCTCTCTCTCATACATCAATTCTATCTATCTATCTATCTATCTATCTATCTATCTATCTATCTATTTAATCTATCATATCTATCAACCTATTCTATAATCTATCTATCATATCTATCTATGTAATCTATCATATCCATCTATCACATCTATTTATCTACCATATCTATCTATCCTATCATCTATTTATCTAATCTATCATCTATCTCTATCATATCTATCATCTATCTATCATATCTATCATCCATCTATTATCCTATCATGTCTATCATCTATGTATATATGTATGCATGTGTGTATGTATCTATCATCTATCTATCATATCTATCATCTATCTCTTTCATCAATCAATCAATCAACCAATCAATCAATCATCTATTGAATTAGTTGCCCATTTGCTGGAGGGGCTAGAAGAGTAGAAAGGAATGGTGGAAACTCCAAGATAAAAACTGCAGAACATGGCTACCAGCTGCAGGGCTTGGGGAACAAAAGGAAGAGGTTTCATGAGGACCTAGAGGCTCAGAGGAGGGGCATACAGAGTGAGTGCTCGAACCTCTGAAGAGGGGTTGCTGCCCAGCTGGTGCCTGTGTCTCAGAAGCCACATGTCAGGCTGGTTCTGGGAGGGTCAAGAGAAGCCACGCAACTGCTACATGGGGCTCAATGTCACTGCTTGTGAAACTGTGTCCCCAAAGAGTTAAAGAAACCAGTGACTGATAAAAAATTCTTGAGCTTGTAGGATGGCAGATAAGAAAAGAGACAACTTGCTGAAACGCTGAAACTCCCTCTGTTTGTGAGATTTAAAAACTGGTTAAGATCAGTTAGAACCAATATGCCCAACTGAAGTCCGTATAGAATGAGCTTGCTGATGTCACAGCCTGATTTCCACCCCATGTTTCACACTAACTCCCCCTGAATTTTCACTAACTCCCCACAAAGTTGCACATGAGACCCACGAGGAGACATGAAGAGATAACTGTGCATGCCTGAGGACTTTTGAGACCTCCCCTTTCCTTTCGTTAATCAACTGCTAACCCCAGAATCCCACTGCTAAGACTTTTCTGATAAAATTACCTCCTTGGCTGGGCGCCGTAGCTCATGCGTGTAATCCCAGCACTTTGGGAGGCCAGGGAAGTAGGATCACTTGAGCCCAGGAGTTTGAGACCACCCTGGGTAACACAGTGAGGTCTCATCACTATAAATTTTTTTTTTTTTAACTTAGCTGAGTGGTGCTTGCCTGTGGTCCCAGCTACTTGGGAGGCTGAAGCAGGATGATGGCTTGAGCCTAGAAGGTGGAGGCTGGTGTGAGCTATGATCACACCACTGCACTCCAGCCTGGGCAACAGAGCAAGACCCTGTCTCCGAAAAAAAATGACTGCCTTAAAGCCAGCACAAGGAGACAGATTTGAGCTGGACTCCTATCTCCTTGTTAGTCAATTTGTAATAAAAAGCTTTCCTTTTCTCAAAGACCCAGTGTCATAGTATTGGTTTCTAGTGTTTCGGGAAGCGAGTCCTTTTTGTTTGGTAACAATTGGGCAAAGCTGATGGGAGTAACAGGGGCATAAGAAAGAGAAGCGCCCTCTTCCTCATGCAGAGCCTCTTGGGAAGTTGGCTGGCAACGCAGAAATGTGATCTGCAGAGCCTCAGCCCAAGCATCCCACAGCAAAATCTAGAAGGTGGGTGTGCTGAGAGATAACAGCTAAAGCGTTGTGCATTTGGGTTTTAGGGAGGCCATTCTGGATGCAGTGTAGGGAATGAATTGGATGGGGAGGGAGGCCAGTGAAGAGGCAGATGCTCTACCCCAGGAGGAGATGGTGAGAACCTAGGGTAAGGGTGAGAAGAGGTGAATGAACTTGGGGCTCAAACCACCCAGTGGGTGTGGCATAGAAGTGGCAGAAAAGGGTCTTGATCCAGACCCCAAGAGAGGGTTCTTGGATCTCATGCAGGAAGGAATTCAAGGTGAGTCACAGAGTGCAGTGAGAAGAGACGGTTTATTGAAAATTACTCCATTAGAGAGTAGGATGTCCTCAGATAGCAAGAGGAAGAATGCCCCGGCTTTATTTTAAGTTTTTCTTATACAGGAGTCTTGTCTATGTAAAGACTACACTAAGCTGTGTCTGTGTGCAGATGGGCTGACAGCATGATGAAATTTATTATTCTATTGATTTAAAGACACTTATTTGTATTAGTCTGTTCTAGTATTGCTATAAAGAAATACCTAGGACTGGGTAATTTATAAAGAAATAAGCTTTAATTGGCTCACGCTGTAAAGGAAGCATGATGCTGGCTTTGCTTGGGTTCTGGGGAGGCCTCAGGAAACTTAGGATCATGGAGGAAGGGGAAGGAGAAGCAGGCACCTCTTACACAGCCAGAGCAGGAGCAAGAGATGGTGTGAGAGATGTGACACACTTGTAAACAACCAGATCTCGTGATAACCCACTCACTACCATGAGAATAGCATTGAGGAGATGGTGCTAAACCATTCATGAAGGATCCAACCCCATGATCCAAGCACCTTCAAACAGGCCCCACCTCCAACATTGGGATTACAATTGAACATGAGATTTGGGTGGGGACAGAGATCCAAACCATATCACTATCCTTGACATTTCGTGTGTAAATACATCAAAGCATAACTATAATGATCTTGAAAGGTATATATTGTTACGGGTTTGGGGACATTTGGACTTTCTGTTGTTGTAGGAGTTTGTCCTTGCAGACATTGCTAAGCTGCTCCCTTAGCTGCAAACGTCTTAGAACCATGGGTCATGACTGGCAAGGAATGTGTCTTATTAGTCTCAAGATGCAGTTGAACTGGAAATGGCATTACTCTGGCTCTTCTAAGCTCCTGCTTCCTTAACAGAAGGAGAGATGAGAATCAAGGGTGAACTCTGCACACCTACATGGGCAGGATGAGCAATGTAGTACTGTTCCCATCATTAGTGCACATAGCAGGAAAATAAAGAATAAGAAAAAATGAGGGAGAAAGGAGAAGAAGAATACGAACAGTTATTCTACCTCTGCTTGTCAACTGCTGAGAACAGGAGGTCATTTCTTTGCAAGACATGCCATTCTAATGTTAGCTTTAAATGCTAACAACTTTGTCCTTTTACAGAAGAAACAACTGCCTTTCCATAATTTCTACACACAGGTCCTAATGCTGCCCTCTAGAGTGACACAAAAAGTTTACCTTCCACCAGACAAATATTTGAAGACAATAGTTGGCAAAAGGAATGAATAAGAGGTGTGTAAAGGGTTGTAATTCAACAGAAAAAAGCCTGAAATATTTGGTTTGGAGCCAAAAGCAGCACTCACTAAGCATGTGTTAATAGCAGGCTTGTGGCTTGAGACCAAGGGGAGAAGTTGACAGATGTCTCAGATTCTAGACAGGGACTTTTCTGGGAGGGTGCTGAGCCTCTTGGAATAATGGAATTCCCTGGAGTCTACATCAGTCTCTGTGTTATCTTGTTTTGTTTAGAGACAGGGTCTTGCTCTGTTGTCTAGGCTGGAGTGTAGTGGTGCCATCATAGCTCACTATAACCTTGAACTCCTGGGCTCCAGCGACTCTCCCACCTTAGCCTCCCAAGTAGCTCTAGGAAAGCAGGTGGTGGTTTGCGCGGCAGAGTGAGACTACCAGGAGATGCTTGGGGAGATCAGAGAGATTCCCAAGGATTCCCAAGGGGGATCAGTTAATACGTGCTTGTTGAGAGAATTAAGGACCGAAGACTCTTTGATCAAGAACAGAGGGCTTTCCAGGTGCAGTGGCTCACACCTGTAATCCCAGTGCTTTGAGAGGCTGAGGTGGGATATCTCTTGAGCCCAGGAGTTCAAGACCAGCCTGGGCAATGTAGTGAGATCCTATCACTATAAATATTAAAAAATTAGCTGGGTGTGGTGGTGCACTCCTGTAGTCAGTCCCAGCTACTTGGGAGGCTGAGGCGGGAGGACCCCTTGAGCCCAGGAGTTTGAGGTTATAGTGAGCTACAGTGGCACCACTACACTCCAGCCTGGGCAACAGAGCAAGACCCTGTCTCTAAACAAAACAAAAAAGCACAGAGGACTGAGGTAGCCTCCAGGGAATGTCTTCCTCATTGGGGAAGTGACAGAGACCAAAGGAGACATAAATACCACCCAACGTCACCTTGCATGGTCAGGTGACCAGGTCAGAGAAGACCCTGGGAAGAAATCCCACATGCTCGTAGCCACAGATGATGCAAATAATTGAGATTGTGGAAGGCAATACAATCTGGGGAATGACAATGATAAAAAATAATAAAACTGATGAATACCTTGTATTAGTTTGCTAGGGTTGTGATAATAAAATACTGCAGGCTGGGTGACTTGAAGAACAGAAATTTATTTTCTCACCATCCTGAAGGCTAGAAGTTCGAGATCAGGGTGTCAGCAGGGTTGGTTTTTACTAAGGCCTCTCTCCATGGTTTGTAGTTGACCCTCTCCTCCTTATCTTCACATGATCTTCCCTTTGTGTGTCTGGGTCCTAATCTCTTCTCATAAGGACAGCAATCATATTGGATGAGGCCCTGCCCTTATGACCTCATTTTAACTTAATTACCTCTTTAAAGACCCTATCTCCAAATACAGCCCCATTCTGAGTTAGGAGTCAGAGCTTCAACAGATGAATTTTGCAGGGGACACAGTTGAGCCCATAACACCCCCTAAAATCAAGGACCATGTCTTATATTTTTAATGATTAATTGATATTTCTAGAGATAGGGTCTTGCTCTGTTGCCCAGGCTGGAGTTCAGTGGTGCAGTCACAGCTCACTGCAGCCTTAAACTTGTGGGCTTAACTGATTCTCTTGCTTCAGCTTCCTGAGTAGCTGGGACTACAGGCATGTGTCACCACACCCAGCTAACTTTTTAGATTTTTTGTAGGGATAGGGTGTCTCACTATTTTGCCCAGGCTGATCTCAAAATTCTAGCCTCAAGCTATCCTTCTATCACAGCCTCCCAAAGTGCTGGGATAATAGGTGTGAGCCACCATGACTGGCCTAGTTTTTTTTAAAAATACAGCTCATTCTCAAGCCTCAAATGTAACTGGACTATGTTAACTGACCAGAAAAAAAAAATGGTCAGGAACCAGGCGCAAAGCATGCCTCATTTATTCTGTTGACATCTGATCACTTTTTCAGGACTTACATTGACCCACAGTATCCTTCCAGGCTCTGTCTAAAAATACAGCTTGAGTTAATAACTCTCAGTAAACCACGAAGTATTTGTGAATGAAATTTATCAAAACTCTGCAAATTAATTATTCATGCAGTTTCCATGTATAGAATGATAATCTTGTTTTTTTAAAAAATTTTTCCTGGAAGCCTAGTTAGATTTTTTTTTTTTTTTGGTCCAGTGGGAGGCAGATATATTAACAATTTTCAGGAGAGAAAGTTAATAATTCAATATGATGCATTATACTCAAACACATACAAATGTATGTCTCTCAATATTTTAAGAGGTAAAGGAGGAAGTAATATGATATGTTATTTTACCATTAGGTCCTCTAGAGAAGGCAAAAGAAAGCCTTAACCAATCAAGAAAACTGCTGGAATTCTTTCTAAACTTCTTTGAAGCATGAATACTCAATATAGACATCTTTGTATTTTCCCTGTTGGATTTCTCAATTTAAATGGGCTTGAAGACTTGTTTCTTATTTCACTGGAGATATGAAGTATATGATGAAGCTTGCTGTTATACCCAAACATAAAATACCATACATTTTTAATCTCATATGCCTTTGAAAACCAAATTCATCAAAAACTTATTAATTCAAACTTGCCTTAGAGCTTATGATTGCCAACGGTTTTAAAAAGATTACAGTTTTGCTCTACATGCCTATGGAGGAACCTTCATATTATTAATAATAATGGCTAACATTTATAAAGCTTTTACTCTGAGCCAGGCACTCTGCTATGTATTTCACATTGCATCACCTTGTTTAATTCTCACAGTAACTTTATGAAGTAAGGGTGATTATTTCTCCATATTCCCAAAACTATAAATTACCCTCAGTCATGTAGCTAGAATGTGTTGGCGCTGGGCTGGGTGAGGTGGCTCATGCCTGTAATCCCAGCACGTTGGGAGCCCAGGGTGAGAGGATCACTTGAGACTGAGGGTTTGAGACCAGCCTGGGCAACATAGTAAGACCTCATCAGTAAAAAAAACTGGCTGTGTGTGGTGGCATGTGCCTGTAGTCCCAGCTACTTAGGAGGCTGAGGTGGGAGGATTGCTTGAGCCTAGGAGTTGGAAGCTGCAGTGAGCTATGATCACGCCACGGCACTCCAGCATGGACGACAGAGTGAGACCTTGTCTCTAAAAAATAATAATAATAAAATAAAAAGAAGCCAACGATGAATCTGTGGCCTTACAACCTGGATATTTGTGCAATTTTCCTGATAGCACTTGGTGATTTTGGAGGAAGAAAAGAGAAAATGAACAGTTGGATTGGCCCCAACATGGGGATTTACAGGCAGGGTGGTGGGAAAGTGGAGAGGCATGAACTTGCAAGTACTGGCTGCTATGTTGCTGGATGTTTACCTTGGATGTCAGGCTGGGCAGGAAAGCGATGGAGCCAAAGGTGGGGGTGGGGGATGAAGATCAGAAAGCATCAAGGTCAGAGCTCTAGATAATATTTAATAATCATACTAATAAGGGCAGGCAGAAAACAAGAGGGCTGAACTGTCAAGGTGCATTTTAAATTTTTATTTTTTTTTTGAAAGAGTCTCACTCTGTCACCCAGGCTGGAGTGCAGTGGCATGATCTTGGCTCACAGCAACCTCCACCTCCTAGGTTCAAGTGATTCTCCTGCCTCAGCCTCCCGAGTAGCTGGGATTACAGGTGCGCATCACCACACCTGGCTAATTTTTGTGTATTTTTTAGTAGAGACAGGGTTTCATCATGTTGGCCGGGCTGGTCTTGAACCCCTGACCTCAAGTGATTCACCCACCTTGTCCTCCCAAAGTGCTGGGATTACAGGCATGAGCCACTGCACCCGGCCTGTTTTAAAACTTTTAAGAAAGAGCATTCTGGGTAATGTTGGGGTCCAGGATGTGACTGGGGCTAGGGAGGGGAAGGTCAGGCGTGGAAGAGCTATTTCCCTTAGTGACATCCTTTCCCTCTTGCGAACATTTTCCCCAAGCGTATGTCTGGTCCACTTTCCAGGGGAAGATAGAGATGCTGGCCGAGGAGGCACCAGCAATGTCTGTGGGGTCCTCCCAACTCTGCAGCCTGCAGCCCACACGGGCCACTGTGCCAAGACCTAGGCTCAGCCCACAGAATCAACCCTTATTGGCTGCAAGCAGCTGCCAAACTAATCTCCTCCCATCCCCAGATTTTTGGAGTTTCAGTTAATTAAATGGAGATGGGTACACTGTTTTACTTATTTATTATTTTTGGAGATAAGATTTAGCTCTGTTGTCCAGGCTGGAGTGTAGTAGTGCAATCACAGTTCACTGCAGCCTCGAACTCCTGTGCTCAAGGGACTCACCCACCTCAGCATCCCGAGTAGCTGGAACTACAGGCATGCACCAGCACACCAAGCTGATTTTTAAATTTTTTTTTTAGAGATGGGGTCTTGCTATGTTGCCCAGCCTCAACTTGAACTGCTGGCTTCAAGGGATCCCCCCACTTTGCCCTCCCAAAGCACTGGGATTATAGGCGTGAGCCACTGCGCCCGGCTTCTTTTCCTTTTACAAACTAAAACATGCTTAGATTATTCCATGGAAAGAGAGTTAGTGCTGCATTCCATTGAGATCACTGTCATGGGAGTTACTTTTGACCACATGTGCAAAAGCAGGTTGTCAACTTGCCCCTCCACCTGGGGCTGACCGCTCAGGAAGCCTGATTTGGATTCTCAGGTGCCAGTGACCCTTGGCTGTCCTTTGGCCTGATGTGAGGGTGGCGGGCCTGACACATGCCTCTGTCAGGACACTGAAGGTGCCTACCTTCCTCCAGCTGCAGCATCGATTCGTCTGTCTCAGCCCCACACCTGCCAATAACTGCAGCGCCACTCTCGGTGGGCTGCAAATGTCTAATGCACTTGTCTCTGGGTTACGGGGCGTGTCAGGGACACCATCCTGGCAGTCCCAGCACTGAATCAATGAGGATCACCCACAGAATACTGAGTGTGCCAGAGGACAGAGGGTCAGGGGAGAGGAAATAATTGCTTGCGGCTGTACAAAGGCCCCTGGCTGGGAGAATTAAGGAATATTTTTCTCTCCAAAGACTGTCTGTGAAAGATGCAGACAGCAAATCTTCAAGAAGCATTCATAGGCATTCATAGTTTCTCTGCTCAATAGGGCCAGGAAGTCTCTGCTCTATCCGAGTGGTCTATATGGCCAGGACTGATTAAGGATAGTCACGAATCTTCCCTGCTCCTGCCCCCAAGACAGCTTGGTTTTTACATCTGCGCTGAGACATCCAGACAACCAGACCAGAACTTTCTGGTTTCTTTCTGCTCTGTGATTCTGTGTCTAAAAGGTAACACCCTGGACTCAATTGAACATGCAGTATTGGATTTTTCTTTCCCTGAGTGAGTGAAAGTGCAATGGAGGTAAAAAGTGCCATTAGTCCTCTCAACTAGAGCCTTCACTCCAAAAAATGACTTTGCTTTTTGGCAAGAGGTTCCAAAAATAAAGTTGTTAAAAGTGATGTCTTCAGGGACTTTTAGGCTAGCAGAGTGACTCTAGACCATGACTACTCTAAACACCATTGCTCTTAAAAAAATTACTTACCAAAAAAAGCAAGGGCTCTCAGCTTTTTGACATTTCTTTAGTCTCTCAAAAATGCAAGCTTGCCAATGGTAGGGAGTGGTAATGTTGTAAGGCTCTGATGAGCTTCTCAATCAAAGACACACAGTCAGCCATTTCTGGTGGCCCTGGACTCTGTCCTTACTGGTTTGACCCAGTACACTCAACTGAGATTGTTTGACTTCTTAGAGAATTCCCAAGCTCCTGTGTTCTTGTATGCAGGACAGAATGACTGCCTCTATTGTAGATGAAAATCTACTACTTACAAAACCCCATTATTAGCTAATCAACAACAATGTCACACATATACATGCAACTAACACTGGCACTTCAGAAGACAAATATACCTTTCCCTAAATCTACAACTGCAATGACACATTAAGGCATTTTGCTGAGTGCCCAAGAAGAGCAATTATTGACAAAAAGCATTTGCAAATCTCTCTAGGTGATGCTATGTCTTAATATAAAAGTGATCTTTTTTCCAATATGTGTTTTTTGTTAAAGCTGTAACAACATTAAGGTTATGAAAAACAGAAACAGTCAACTTATAATATCTTCACCTAAGCACAACTGTTATAAATAATACCATAAGTATGTCTTAGTCATAAATCTTTGTCCACTTTTCTGGTTATTTCCTGAGAATATATCCCTAGAAGAGGCAGGATTGGTTATGTGAGCAGAGGCATTTTTGAGATTATTGATACATTTTGCCAGATGACTTTCCAGAAATAGTAGTTTACCACCTCATTGTTATTTAATTTATATTTCTTTGAATATTAATGATCTTAAGTAATACTTTAAATATTTATTAGTTATGTATATATCTTCCTATGAATTATTATTATTTTTATTATAAATTTTATTTTATAGAGACAGGGTTTCCCCATGTTGCCAAGGCTGGTCTTGAACTCCCGGGCTTGAGTGAGCTGCTCACCCTGGCCTCCCAAAGTGCTGGGATTACAGATATGAGCCACTTTGCCCATCCCCTGTGAATTATTTTTAATTTTTATTTATTTATTTCAGTTTCTACACACAACACTGACCTATAAATTACAGTCTTCTGTCCCTTTATCCGCTAGGGTCTTTATACTTTTCAATCAATTTATAGAAACTGTTTATTTATTTATTTTTCTATTTTTTGATGTATATTATAGTAATTTACATATTTATGGGGTACATGTGCTTGTTACATGCATTGAATGTGTAATGATCAAGTCAGGGTCATTGAGGTATCCACCACCTTGTATGTTTATCATTTTTATGGGTTGGTATTATTATTTTATGAGTTGGTATTATTTTATGGGTTGGTATTATTATTTTATGAGTTGGTATTATTTTATGGGTTGGTATTATTATTTTATGAGTTGGTATTATTTTATGGGTTGGTATTATTATTTTATGGGTTGGTATTATTTTATGGGTTGGTATTATTATTTTATGGGTTGGTATTATTTTATGGGTTGGTATTATTATTTTATGGGTTGGTATTATTTTATGGGTTGGTATTATTATTTTATGGGTTGGTATTATTTTATGGGTTGGTATTATTATTTTATGGGTTGGTATTATTTTTATGGGTTGGTATTATTATTTTATGAGTTGGTATTATTTTATGGGTTGGTATTTATGAGTTGGTATCCTATCTTCCAGTTACTTTCAAAGATACATAATATTGGCCGGGCGTGGTGGCTCACTCCTGTAATCTCAGCACTTTGGGAGGCTGAGGTGGGTGGATCACGAGGTCAGGAGTTCGAGACCCACCTGGCCAACATAGTGAAAACCCGTTTCTACTAAAAATACAAAAATTAGCTGGGTGTGGTGACACGCACCTGTAGTCCCAGCTACTCGGGAGGCTGAGGCAGGAGAATCATTTGGACCTGGGAGGCGGAGGTTGCAGTGAGCCAAGACTGCGCCATTGCACTCCAGCCTGAGCGACAGAGTGAGACTCCACCTCAAAAAAAAAAAAAAGATACAAAACATTGTTGCTAAGCATAGTCCCCCTAGTCTGCTATCAAACATTAAGACTTATTTCTTCTATCTGTGTGTTTGCACCCATAACCAACCTCTCTTCATTCCTCCCCCAGCCGTTCCCCTGTCTCTGGTATCTATCACTCCATTCTCTATGTCCATGAGATCAAGATTTTTAACTCCCATATATGAATGAGAACGTGTGGTATTTGTCTTTTTGTGCCTGGTTTATTTCACTTAACATAATAACCTCCATTTCTAGCTATGTTGCTGCAAACGATAGGATCTCATTCTTTCTTATAACTGAATAGTCTTCCCTTGTGTATATTTACCACATTTTTCTCTATCCATTTGTCTGTTGATGGGCATTTAGGTTGTTTCCATATCTCTGCTATTGTGAACAGTGCTGCCATGAACATGCAAATGCAGGTACCCCATTGATATACTGATTTCTTTTCCTTTGGGTAGATTCCCAGTAGTGGGATTGCTGGGTTGTAGGGTATAAACTTTTTTTTTTATTAAGGCTATCACTTGTTGCAAAAATTTTCCTGTTTGTCTTTTATTCTTATTAATGTTTTGGTATATACAGAACTTAAACATTTTTATGTATTCATATTTATCCAACAATCTGTATTATAGATGCTTGATAAATGCTATATATTATTTCTTTAATAATATGTATTATTCAATAATGATATATTCTTATTTACATTATTAATATGAATATTCAATTATTCAATTATTAATATGAATATTCAATTATTCAATTATTAATATGAATATTCAATTATTCAATTATTAATACGAATATTCAATTATTCAATTATTAATATGAATATTCAATTATTCAATTATTAATATGAATATTCAATTATTCAATTATTAATATGAATATTCAATTATTCAATTATTAATATGAATATTCAATTATTCAATTATTAATATGAATATTCAATTATTCAATTATTAATACGAATATTCAATTATTCAATTATTAATATAACATTCCTATTAACAATATGAATATAAATATTTATATTAATATGACTATTTTATTGATATGAATATTAATATTAATTAATAGTATGAATATTATTTCTCGAATAATATATAGTATTTATCAAGCATCTATACTATGCTTGGCAATGTGCTTGAGGATTTATGCTTATATTTGATTTGATCCTTATGACAAGCACTAGAGACAGGTGATAATATACCCATTATACAGATGAGACCATAATAATAATAAAGTAAGATAATAAAAAGAATAATAATGATGGCTAACATTGAGGAATTACCATGCTCTAGGTATTGTAATAAGCACTTTAAATGCATTCTTAACTCATCTAATACTCAATACAACCCCACAATGTAAGTATTATTTTGATTCTTATTTTATAAAGAAGAAAACTGAGGACAAAGAAACTGAGTTAATTGCTCAAGGATACACAGCTGGAAAGTGTGTCAAGCTAGTGGAGGGCAAAGAACTGGCCCCAAGTCACAGAACTGGTCAATGGTAATTGCATGATTCATCTCAGGGTCTAAATCCACAGCCTAGGCTTGCCCTTTTATGCTAAAATTCTTCCCTACTCAACCTTAACACTTGGCTTACCTTATGTTGTCCCGAGTTTCAGATCTATGTTTATATGATTCTTGTTGTCTTCCTTCTCTTATGTCTTTTGTTCCATGTATTATGTCCTACTTTCTTTCATCCGATACACAGCTTTGGAAGATAAACATCTTATGTTTTATCCCATGGAATGAAACAACACAGTACTTGGAATTTTGCTACTTCAGTGCCATGAAACCAGCCCAATTGTTTTACAGAACTAATGCTTATGGCTTCTTTTGAATAAACATAGAAATCAACCTTCCTAGTCTTGAAACTTGAGGAAGTTGCATTTGTCTTAGTTGAGTTCCTTACTCAGGAAACCAACCATTAGGCCTACCAGATAGTATCAAGGAATGGAAACTTACCAGATCATTGCTTCTAGGCAAAAAGACACCAGACCCCTCATCCATCATGATTGCCTAAGCAACCACCTGCTTCCTGTGGACCAACTCCTATTTCTTTCCCCTCCCTAATTCCTATTTTCCCACACATGATTACATTTCTTCCTTGCTATATAATCCCATAATTTTAGTTATCAGGGAGATGGATTTGAGACTGATTTCCCATCTCCTTGGCTGCAGTACCCAGTTAAAGCCTTCTTCCCTGGCAATACTTGTTGTCTTAGTGACTGGCTTTCTGTGCAGTGAGCAACGGGACCTAGACCAAACTCCTGGCATTTAGTAACAGATACACAATGTTCCAAACAAAGTACAATAAAAATAATATTTTAGACCATCCAGACTATGCTTTAAAGGGGACATTATGTCTCTAATGTGAATTATATACATCCGTTTTTTTTCTTTTGTGATGAAAGCTATGATCACTTCCAGAAGTCATGTTTCTATGCAATTAACATAAAGTGAGTAGTTGGGACATTTAGACTTCTCCAATTTTTCTTTAGCAAAAACACATGAGACCAGGAAGAAGAGGACTGGGAGACAGAAAGAGCTGCCTATGTGCAAAGGAAGAAACATATGCATAAAACACATTGCAAATCAAAGAACCAGCATGGAGTTAGGTTTTTAGGCAGTGGAGCAATGCTGTGTCCCATTCACCTCCCGCAAATTCGACTATACACATCTCAGGGAGAGCATATGAGAATACGTTTGCCTGCTTCTTAGAATGTCAAATCATATTTTAGTTTGTTTTCTTCTTTCAAATAGTGTTGTGTCCTTGGCACACAGGTAAGTTGCTTGTAGATCACTTTGCTCCATTTGAGCTTTGCTGGGGTAGGTCTAGAGTAGCCTTCACTTCAAAGAGAGTTGAGCCTTACCGCTAGAGTGGGGGTCTCTGGGATCTCCACTGGATGACCCAGTGATCAACAAACACCAGTCTGGCTGGTTGGAGCTCAGACGTCTTTCCATTTTGTGTGAGCTCTGGCAATTGTTCAGCTTACAACTCCTAAGTCATTTTTTATTTGGCCTGGTGCAGTTTTACTTTATGCACATACAGCCTAGTACTCAGCGAAGAAACAAGGGCATTCCTATGCAGATTTATGAAGCAGTTTAATTGCATAGCTCCCTCCTTTCCAGGACTCTGTCCTGAATTTCCAGCTGCCTCAGCCTCTCCAAGCTTCAAGCTCTATATTCTCTACTAAGAAGGTCCTGTTGTATTGTCCTCCCTAGGTCCCTGGTCTGGAAGGGAGCCTGGGCAATTTTAGGGCTTACTTCCTTTGTTTCTCTTCTCCAGGGTTCATAGTTCTTTGCCATCTATGGCCCAACGTCTGAAAACAGTTGATTCAGGCTGGTTGTGATGGCTTACACTGGTAATCCCAGCACTTTGGGAGGTTGAGGTGGGAGGATCACTTGAAACCAGGAGTTCAAGACCAGCCTGGGCAACAAAGTGAGACTCTCTGTCTTTACAAAAAATAATTTTAAAAAATAGCCGGGCATGGTGGCATGCACCTGTAGTCCCTGGTACTCAGGGGGCTGAGGCAGGAGGATCACTTGAGCCCAGGAGTTTGAGGCTGCAGTGAGCCATGATCATGCCACTGCACTCCAGCTTGGGCAACAGAGCAAGATCCTGTCTCAAAAAAAAAAAAAAATCAAAATTTAAAAAAGGATACATAGTTAAAAACAGTTTGTCTAGTTTTCAAGTTATTTATGATGGGAGGGGAAGTTCAATCCTTATTACTCCAAAATAGTTGGACAAGAGTGACAACAATTTAAATACTACGGACTATTTAAATATCAGGTCCACCTGCTGAATGTGTGCCCCAGCAGACTGTGTGTGAAGGGAGGTGTGAATCTGCTTCTTGATTTGTCTTCTGGTCCTAGGGCTACTCTGGGCTGAGTGTTCATCTTATGTTTCAAGAGATATATTTTTTCACAGGCCAGGTGTGGGGGCTCATGCCTGTAATCCCAGCGCTTTGGGAGGCTGAGGCAGGAGGATCGTTTAAGGCCAGGTGTTCAAGATCTGCCTGGGCAACACAGAGAGACTCCAGCTCTTAAAAAAAAAAAAAAAAAGTGAAAATTAGCAAAGCATAGTGGCATGCGCCTGTAGTCCCAGTTACTTGGGAGGCTGAGGCAGGAGGATCATGTGAGCCCAGGAGTTTGAGGCTGCAGTGAGCTGTGATTGTGTCATTGCACTCCAGCCTGAGTGACAGACTTTGTCTCCTACCCAAAAAAAAGATGTATTTTTCATAGAAAATGGCCCCTCAGTGCAAGTCAATTATGTCATCTGGTACTCATTCAAAAAACAATAATTCTGTGTCAAAATATCACATGTGCCCCATACATATGTACAAATATTATGTACCAATGAAAAACAATGTTTAAGAAATTGGAAGCCTATTTTAAAAGTCCCAAAAAACAAAACAAACCAAACACAAAAAGTGAAGTTCTGTCCTTGCAGGAGAAAACCTTGCCTGGTTGGACTTACTGAGAAATAGAATGTTAATCTCATTGGACAGACTTTTCAAGGGCCATTTTTACATGACACCGTTCTCATCTTATAGGCTGACTTTAGAACCTACCCTCCTCCTAAGACACAACTCCACCATACTTAGATCAACTTTCAGAGGTTGAGTGAACCTTTCTGTTGCTTAGGAGACCTGAGGTGAGGTGTTTTGCTCTTGGCTGGGTTCCAGCTTCTTCTCCTCAACTGGAATTCCCAGAATGCTCTGCCACCAACAGTGCGCTATTTATGAGCAGTTGTTCCCACTTTAACCCAGGCCCTGCTTCTACCTAATGACATTTTTATACCTATTAGCTTTCTTTAATGGAAGAATCCAAGCATTGTAAATCCGGGCAGGCTTGGCATTAAATTTTCACTCTTCTCCTGCAATGTAAAAACCAAAGGCACATTCTTTACAGCTCTGAGCCTTGATCTCCTCATTTGTAAGTGATGGTGATGATTCTCACCTTGTAAGGTAGTTTGAATCATTAATTGAGTTCACGCCCATTTATTTTCAACTCTCCAGTGTGGCTTTCATACTCATTTCACCATGGAAACAGCTCCGGTCAGAGTTACCAACGTCCACCATGTTGCAAAATCCAAAAGACTTTTCTTGCCCCTTATTTTACTAGATTCCTCAGCAATATTTGATACTGTAATCACTGTTTTTTTGAAACATTTTTTGGGGGATGGAGTCTCACTCTGTCACCCAGGCTGGAGTGCAGTGGCATGAACTTGGCTCACTGCAACCTCCACCTCCTGGGTTCAAGTGATTTTCCTGCCTCAGCCTCCCAAGTAGCTGGGATTACAGGCATGTGCCACCACACCTGGCTAATTTTTGTATATTTTAGAAAGAGATAGGGTTTCACCATTTTGGCCAGGCTGGTTTTGAACTTCTGGCCTTAAGTTTATATGATTCTTGTTGTCTTCTTTCTCTTATGTCTTTTGTTACATGTATTATGTCCTACTTCTTTCATCTGATCTGCCCTCCTCGGCCTCCCAGAATGCTGGAATTACAGATGTGAGCCACCATGCCTGGCCTGAAACACTTTTTAAAAAACTTCTTGACTTCCTATTTTTCTAGTTGCTATAGTTTGAATATTTGACTCTTCAAACCTCATGTTGAAACTTGATTCCTAATGTTGGAGTTGGAGCCTGGTGGGAAGTGTTTGAGTCACTCATGAATAGGTTAATGACCTGGGTGGGGGGAGGTGAATGAGCTCTTACTCTGTTGGTCCCTGCAGGAGCTGGTTGTGAAAAAGAGCCTGGTGACTGGGCATGGTGGCTCACGCCTGTAGTCCCAACACTCTGGGAAACCAAAGTGGGCAGATCACTGGAGGTCAGCAGTTTGAGACCAGCCTGGCCAACATGGTGAAACCCCGTCTCTACTAAAAACACAAAAAATTAGCTGGGCGTGGTGGTGCACGCCTGTAATCCCAGCTACTTGGGAGGCTGAGGCAGGAGAATCACTTAAACCCAGGAGGCGGAAGTTTCAGTGAGCCAAGATCACGCCACTGCACTCCAGCCTGGGTGACAGAGCAAGACTCTGTCTCAAAATAAATAAATAAATAAAATAAAATAAAATAAAAAGAGCCTGGCACCTCCCTCCTCTCTCTCTTGCTTCCTCTCTTGCCATGTGATGTCTGCACACATCAGCTCCCCTTCACTTTCCACCATGAGGGCAAGCAGCCTGCAGCCCTCACCAGGAGCAAATGCTTGTGCTGTGGTTCTTTGTAGCCCACAGAACTGTAAGCCAAACAAACCTCTTTTCTTATCTTTTTTTAAAAGACAGTGTCTTGCTCTGTTGTCCAGGCTGTAGTACAATGGTGCAATCATAGCTTACTGTAGTTTTCAAGTCTTGTGCTCAAGGGATACTCCTGCCTCAACCTCCTGAGTAGCTGGGTCGTCAGGTATCTGCCACTGAAGGAAATAATGTATACAGTAGTCAATTTCCAAGACAAAGCGCCTTAACTTGGCGCTTGGTAAGCAAGCTACAGAAGAAACAGGATATATTAGACCACTGCTTGGATAGCCAATACCTGCTTCTTGGCATCCCCACCCCCTTAGTTGCCCTCATTCGAACCAAAAAAGTTTAGTCTAAGATAAAAGTTTACTAGCTGGCAAAATAGCCCCCTTTGTCTGTTCTTATCAGCCTGCTCAGCTACTTAGCTCAGAAGTCAAAAAGCCCCTGAACTAACTAGAATTGCAATGCATTGTGGACTGCAACAACATGCAGCAAGACAACACCCCCCCCAAAAAAAAAAAAAAAACCTAAAGCCCCTACCCAACAATCAATAGGCGATGTCCAGGAAGATTGTGATCCCATAGTACTCAGCCTATGAGGAACCAGAGGAGGGGCCTGCACGCTAGGGGATAAATTGCTTGTTGAAACTGTGCTGGGTGTGCCTGCCCATCAGACACCTGATCTTCCAAAACTGTCATTAAAAGTCTCACTTTCGCTGTTCTCCGGTTCTTTTCTCACAAAACCATGGCTGGTCAATCCTTCCTTCCTTCCTTTCTTCCTTCCTGCCTGCCTGCCTTTTCTTTTCCTTCTTTCTTTCTTTCTTTCTTTTTTCTTTCTTTCTTTCTTTCTTTCTTTCTTTCTTTCTTTCTTTTTTCTTTCTTTCTTTCCTTTTTTCTTTCTTTCTTCTTTCCTTCTTTCTTTCTCTTTCTCTCTCTCTCCTTCCTTCCTTCCTCCCTCCCTTCCTCCCTTCCTCCCTTCCTTCCTTCCTTCTGTTCATTTATTCATTGGGTCTCCCTATGTTGCCCAAGCTGGTATCAAACTCCCGGCCTCAAGAAATCCTCCTGCCTTGGCCTCTCAAAGTGCTGGAATTACAGGTGTAAACCATTGTGCCCAGCCTCTCTTTTCTATATAAGTTACCCAGCCTCAGGTACTCCTTTATAGCAACAGAAACAAAGACACTAGTTTTCCCCCTTCCTCTCTAGCCACAGCTTGTTTGGCTCATATTCTTCTACTTCAACCTCTAAATCAGTAGCCTCCCAATTTATATTAATTTCTATTTTAATCAGTTTTAATTTTAAAAATCTCATCCTCCAAAATTTCGTGTTTGTGTGGGGGTGTGTGTGTGTGTGTGTGTGTGTGTGTGTGTGTTTTATGGTAGACACAATATTTAAGCACAGTAGCACAAGTACAAAATTTTAAATGAACATGTGCACTGGGGGTATAGACTAAAAATGTTTACTGATGGAGGTGAAATCAGAAACACTTTGGAGAGTGCCACTGCTCTAAGTGTTGCAAATCCTCAGGGCTTGACCACGGACCATCCTCTCTTATGCTTGTTCCCCTGGTGGTCACATCCATTTTCACTTATATGTCAATAACTCCTCAATTTACATGCCATCCAGACCTTTCTTCTAAGCCATTATTCATGTATGCAACTTCTAATTTAATGATTCGCTGCTTTTCACTGACTTTTCCAACCAAAGAGCTCCTCAACTAAACTCTTTTTTTTTTTTTTTTTTTTCTGAGACAGAGTCTTGCTCTGTTGCCAGACTGGAGTGCAGTGGTGTGATCTCGGCTCACTGCAACCTCCGTCTCCTGAGTTCAAGCAATTCTCCTCCCTCAACCTCCTGAGTAGCTGGGACTACGGACGCCCACCACCATGCCCAGCTAACTTTTGTATTTTTAGTAGAGATGGGGTTTCACCATGTTGGCCAGGATGGTCTCGATCTCTTGACCTCATGATCTGCTCGCC